>NC_000003.12:135523755-135826786 GCF_000001405.40 Homo sapiens
CATATGAAAAAAAGTTCAATATCCCTGATCATTAGAGAAATGCAAGTTAAAACCACAGTGAGATATTACCTCACCCCAGTCTGAATGGCCATTACTAAAAAGTTAAAAAAAAAAAAAAAAAGATGCTGGCAAGGTTGCAAAGAAAAGGGAACACTTACACACTGTTGGTGGGAGTGTAAATTAATTCATTGTGGAAAGCAGTATGGTGATTCCTCAAAGAGCTAAAAGCAGAACTACCATTTGACTCAGCAATATACCCATTACTTGGCATAAACCCAGAGGAATATAAATCATTCTATCATAAAGAGACACGCATGCAAATGTTCATTGCAGCACAATTCACAATAGCAAAGACATGGAATCAACCTAAATGCCGATCAATGACAGATTGGATAAAGAAAATGTGGTACATAAACACCATGGAACACTATGCAGCCATCAAAAAGAACAAGATCATGTCTTTTGTGGGAATATAGGCATTGCTGGAGGCTATTATCCTTAGCAAACTAACATAGAAACAGAAAACCAATACTACATGTTTTTACTTATAAGTGGGAGCTAAGTGATGAGAAATCATGAACACAAAGAAGGGAACAGACACTGGGGTCTACTTGAGGGTGGAGGTTCGAAGGAGGGAGAGGTGCAGAAAAGGTAACTATTGGGTGCTGGGCTTAATACCTTTTTACAGAAACAGTTTGTACAACAAACCCCCATGCCATGAGTTTACCTATGTAAGAAACCTTCACATGTACCCCCGAACCTAAAATAAAAATTTTAAAAAGAAAAAGAAAGCTGCATATACCATGATTTTCTATATCCACTCTCAAAAAATTAAAAATAGGATTACCATATGCTCCAGCAAGTCCACTTATGTGTATATACCCAAAATAAATGTATATATACCCAAAATAAATGAAAACAGGGTCTTGAAGAGATATTTGTAACCCATCTTCATACTAGCATTGTTCACAATAGCTAATACATGGAAGCAACTCAAATGTTCATCAACAAATGAATGGGTAAACAAAATGTGGCATGTACATATAATGAAATATTACTCAGCCTTATAAAGGAAGAAAATTCTGCAATGTGCTACAACATGGGTGAACCTTGAGGAGATTATGCTAAGTGAAAGAAGCCAGTCACAAAAAGACAAATACTGTGTGATTCCACTTCTGTGAAGTACTTAGAGTAATCAAAATCATAAAGACAGAAAGTAGAATGGTGGTTGCCAGGGGCTGTGAGAAAAGAGGAATGGCGACTTATGGTTTAACAGGCATAGAGTTTCAATTTTATAAGATGAAAGGAATTATGGAAATGGATGGTTGTGATGGTTACTCAGTATTATGCCACTGAGCAGCCTGGAATTGACTAAGTTTCACATGAGATTAACTTGGACTCTGCTCTTAGTTACAATCTGAGATGATCCAGGAATACCTTTACACTATCAATGGTAAGTTTTATTTTATGTGTATTTTACCATAATAAAAAAAAATAGAAAAAAACTTATACCACCTCTCTCACATACTTACATTACCTGCCTGGCCCTGGAATGTTGGGAACCCCTGACCCAGACCCTAAATTCTAAGAGAATCCTAACCCAAAGATTTAGAGATTCTCTGTATTCTGCAGCATTTTGAAACACTTTCTGCCACAAATCCTTTGGATGTTGCTAGTCTGCAGTTCAGTCAAACTCAGTAAGCATTTTTTGACCCATTCTACCTCTATCTTTAAATCTTGAATCCAAAAGATTTTATTAATATCAATTTATTGACAAAAATATCTTTGTATGACTCAATGAAATATTTCACTTTATCCTGTTTTCTAAACAAAAATACTTTTAGATTCTTAAAAATCATTGGTTTGATTTGACCTAGTGAGAAAAGTGAAGCCAAAGTAGCATATCTTATTTAGATAAAGTAATTGCAGTGGCATGAGTAACTGTGTTTGTCCTCCTTGATTAACTTTAAGATGAATCCCGAAATTAGTTCATGGATACCACAATAGAATAATTCTGTTGGGGAAACCCTGCCTCTGAGGAGCAAATGACTGGCCTCTTTCAAACTGCTTTAGAGGACTACAATTTGTAACAGTAAAACAATCTGGGGGTAGTGGAATGAACTATACCTAGAATTAGTTTACAAGAGTTTGAAGATTGACTCTGTCAGTACTTTGCCTTGGGCAAGTCATCCTACCTTTCTGAGCCTGTTTCTCAGATTTCTCTATGAAATAGATAAATAGAATAGGAATAATTTTATCCACTTTTACAGGGATGTTGGAGGTTTAAACAAGATCATGAATGGAGAGAGAGAGACTGGCAGATAAATGTTTACTTATTGCTTCCTCCTTGTTATTTGAAGGTGGAGTGAAACCATATCTTAGCAAAAAAAAAGAACATGGTATGTTCTTCCAAAATTCACAGAAGTACTTTAGAAAAAAAATCTTCGTAGATATTTTCCAGTTAGAACCATCTTAAAGTGAGGAGACAATGACTCTGAAGAGACACTGCACTGTTGATTCAGAGGAAAGGGTAAGTTGCTATTTGGAAGAAGATAAAGATGTGGAATTGAAGATAACATATTTCTTACAAATTTCTAGACTTCTCAATGGTTCTTGCTCCTGAACTGGATGATTTATAGAAAACTATAAGCTGTGTCCAAAATGGATATATTATACCCACAGTATTTGCCCTAACCAATGTATTAGAACTGATAAGATTGTTTTATCTATAGATTTATGTCATGGTCCCTGGCAAATAGCCATGGAGGAGGTATCTCTATAGCAACACTTATAACACCAATTGGGATGTTGGATTTTAATGAGTTCAATTTGAACCAAGAACTGTTTATGTCTTTACAAAGGTTGGTCAATGAAATATACAAAGGGCTGAGCACTTTTACCATGGCCTGTGTTCATAAAATTGCTCTATTCATCGATAGTGTAAAGGTATTCCTGGGTCATCTCAGATTGTAACTCAGAACAGAGTCCAAGTTAATCTCAAGTGAAACTTAGTCAATACCAGGCTGACTCCCAGGACCCAAAGTTGGTAAAAAGATAGAATGCAAGAGTCTCACCTTGTTATTTTTTGGCCAAATTACACCTGGAATATTGTGTTCAAATTCTGTTTCCCACACTTACAAAGGGACTTTAACAAACTGTAGCATCTTCCAAGAAAAGCAAAATTTCTGGAAACCATTATGGATGAGGTCTTGTTCAAAGATTGAATAAAAGGTGAAGATTTATTGAGAGCCAAAACCTGTTCTTAAATGCTCCACAGTCTGCCAAAGCATTGGGATTATTTTCTGTGGTCCCTGAAGACAGAATGAATGGGTAGAGGTTACACATAGGCAGATCTCAAATCACAACCAAAATAGTGTTTTCTTATGCTTATGTATGACTGAATATACATAATGGGCTATCCAAAGAGATGGTGCATTCTCTGGCACTAAAAGTAAGCATGCAGAATCTAGACAACCACTTTCCAGCAGTGCTGTAGAGGAGCTATAAGCACCAGCAGCAGAGTTGCTTGGAGGACCCCTAAAGTCACTGTTATTGTCTGAATGTTTGTGTCCTCCTAAAACTCATATGTTAAAAATCCTAATCCCCGAAATGATAGTATTAAGAAATGGGCCTAATGGGAGGTAGTTAGGTCATATGGATGATGTCCTCATGAATGGAATTCTTGCTCTTATTAAAGAGGCTCAAGAAAGTTGCCTTGCTCCTTCCACCATGTAAGGTTACAGCAAAAAGCTGCCAACTATAAGCTAGGAAACAGGCCCTTATGAGACATCAAATCTGTTGGCCCCTTGGTCTTGGACATTTCAGACTCTGGAACCATGAGAAATAAACTTATTTTGTTTATAGACTACTCAGTGTATAGTATTTTGTTATAGCAGCCTGAACAGACTAAGACCGTCACCTAGCTCTGACATTCTGTGCTTCCCCGAAAATTGCAGTTTGTGAGTAGCAATGTGGCATAGTGGTTCTCTTGACCTCTTGGCTTGGGCAAGATATACACCCAGGTTCTAATTCTAACTCTGCCAACTTGGCCAAATGTTTTAACATCTCTAAAGCTCAGTGTCCATTATAAAATAAGAATCATAATATGAACTATCTCCTACTGCTTTCTAAGAGTTCAGTCATCTTGAGCTCAGCATCCCCAGGAAAGACAAAACAGGTCTTCCTCACCAGTTTGACAACACTGGGCCTTTTATAGATGTATCTAATGATGGATTAGATGCTGTGTTCTGTTTCCTTTTGACTTGCTTCTATAAGAAGATAAGAACTTTAAGCAGGCTGTGAATTCTTTCAATACAAAGCAATCTCCAAGGGGAAACATTAGCAGTGGTTTTGGTGTCTGTATATTTTGAGTCAGGAGCTTACCCTATGGACAGATCATCAGCAGAGCTCCTAATGTCCTGCCACATGGGGTGTGGGGATATCAGGCTTCCAGTTAAGCACTCAGACTGCTGGGGATGAAAACAGCTGGCATACGAGCTTTCTGGACTGGAAAAAGGGAACTGGCCTGCAGTAGTTCCCAGATTCAGCCTCAGGAATGGTGCACCCTAACCTTTGCCTAAGATGGCAGAAAAAGAGAGGGGTTGCCTGGGGGCATCTAGTGAGGGTTGCATGGATTGTAGAGTAGGTAAAAAGGAATTATTCCACAGTTAAGCAAGGAGAGGTGAGATGAGAGGTGGATTTCCAGCCATACTGCCAAGCCGACCTCACTAAGCTGACCTCAGCCATGTTCAGGCTCAGCTTTCTTCCTTGTCCAAGAATGAGAAACCCAGAGCCTGTTCTTCCCATCAACTTCCTGCTAGTGCATAAAGAAAGCTCACATCTCCTGGCTGAGAAAAAGCAGCCCCACAAGGCTTGTGAATAAATGAATATGCACTCCAACCTACTGATGCATCTGTGAACTTTGATTTCACTTCTCAGGAGCACAATTTTATTACAGCCAAGTGCTTCATTCTGCAAAAAAATGCCACAGAGGGAAACAATGAAATTATACCCGCTTTGTTTGGACTTCAATGGCATCACAAACCACAGAAACTTTCCATGATATCACCTCCCCTTAATGGGAATATTTACTGCTTAGGTCCCTTGAGTAATATCTTCTTTCTTTCACACTCTGTTCAATTTCAGGTTTCAATTTCAGTAATTTTATTGACATGACAATGTACACAAATGCTGCTGGAGTTAATCCAGCAATGCTCCATGGCTGGGGCCCGTTTTATATCATCACTGTCTTTTCTATTATTCTCCATCTCTCATTTGGTGATAGGCTGTCACAGAACAGGAGAGTTATCTGGTTGTCCTTATTTTCCCTGAAAATTACAGAGAATTTCTCCTTCCATCTTAGAAGAAGCCAGTCTATTGCACCTTTGGGCAATTTGAGAAAAAAACACTATCCATTTTCTTCATATTTTACACACAGGAGGCTCCTCTTCCATCTCCCTAACTCCCCTGATTTAAAAGTCTGTCTTGTGTAAGTTTCAAATCATATCTGGTTATTGTTGCTTTTTTACATTTCTGCTTTGAATTTGGAATTATGTATCTTAAACCTATTAAAGGTTTGGGACATGTATTCACTTATTGGACTGTGGTAAGAAATTGCCACAAACTTGGTGGCTTAAAACAACAGAAATGTATTGCCTTCCAGTTCTGGAGGCAGAAGTCCAAAATCAAGGTGTTGGCCAGGCTATCTCCAAATCCTCTAGGGGAGAATCCTTCCTTAACTCTTCCTAACTTATAACCTTCATGTTCCTTGGCTTGTAAGTGCATCATTCCAATCATGGATCCCATAGTCATATGATGTTCTCTCTGTTCTGCCTGCATCTGCATCCACATTTCCCCCTTCTTATACAGACAACAGTCGTTGGATTAGGGCTGACCCTAATCAAGCTTGACCTCATTTTAACTTGATTATATTTGCAAACATGCTATCTCCAAACAAGGTCACATTCACAGATACTGGGGTTAGGACTTGAATATCTCTTCTGGGGGACAAAATTCAACCCATGACATGATATTTTAAGGAAATGTAATAATCTGTTAATATGACTCTCAGGAACCCCATTCTGGAACAATTGAGCAGCACAATCACAACCTGTGGCTTACAGCCCGGATTTTGGAACATTTCTACAAGAGATGTTTAAGTCTCTAAACAAACCAACAACTGAAGCATCCAACACTCCCCATGCTCCCAAAAAGTTCTCATACTTACCTATCTGCATTGTTTGCTGGAAATCAAATACACAGAGGCTGAGACCATGAAGCACTAACAGCTAAGTTACTCACCTCACCCCATCACCTATTGCATACAAATGCAGGTACCAGGAAGATAACAAAATAATTGGAATCCAAACAGAAATCCCATACCATAGCATTCCCTAGAATGTGCATGTGCACACACACACATACACTTTACACATTCTTTTCATTAGCACTACTGGTTTTGAGATGTTTTCTCTGTCTGGAATAATCACTCATCTTTGTGAAGTAGTTCTGATGACTCAGAAAGAGCTCTTGCTTCCTCACTGTGAAGGTCAATGGAAAGACGTACCTAATGAGCACATGGGTGTTAAGGTGCATTGGAGAATGTCCCCCTCCCTATTAGCTGGCCTGACCATACTGGGCCATTTCACTGTAACCTCAGTCACTGCAACAAATGTCCCCTGACCCTCACCTTCCAAATCCAACTGGTCTCAAAGTCTGTCAAAAACATTTTCACCTTTCACCCCTGTGCTCTTCTCCCCAGTTCCTCTGTTTCTGCCCTGCTTATATCTTGGTCATTTCTCAACTGGACTGTTGGAGCAGTCTTCCAGTTGGTGACTCTGTCACAGGGTTTGCCCCTTCCAATCCTGCTTCCACATTGCTGTAAGAGAGATGTTTTTAAACTATGCATTCCCAATGCTCAGAACCTGCTGTGGCTCCTCAACCCCTAAAGCAGAGGTTCTAACATCTGTGTGCATCAGAATCACTTGGAGATCTTGTTAAAATTAGGATTTTCAGCTATATCCCCAGAGTTTATCATTCAGCTGCTGGAGTAGGGGTGGAGAATCTGCATTACTTTTTTTTTTTTTTTTTGAGACGGAGTCTTGCTCTGTAGCCCAGGTTGGAATACAGCGGCACGATCTTGGCTCACTGCAAGCTCTGCCTCCCGGGTTCACACCATTCTCCTGCCTCAGCCTCCCAAGTAGCTGGGACTACAGGCATCCGCCACCACACCCAGCTAGTTTTTTGTATTTTTAGTAGAGACAGGGTTTCACCATGTTAGCTAGGATGGTCTCGATCTCCTGACCTTGTGATCTGCCTGCCTCGGCCTCCCAAAGTGCTGGGTGTACAGACGTAAGCCACCGTGCCTGGCCAAGAATCTATATTTCTAACAAGTTCTCAAGTGATGCTGATCCAGGAACAACATTTTGAAAACCACTGGCCTAAAGAATAAAGGCTGTGCTTCTAGGTATATAAGACAATCTTTGACTTGGTCCTGTCTATTTCTCCAGCTTCATTTCCTTTCACCTTTCCCACTGATATTTTAAACCCCACCAAAACTATCTACCTGTATTTCTCAACAGACATCATGCTGTTGCCTGTGGTTGTCATATCTTTCTTCCTGCTAGCAATTTGCTTTCCCACTTTATCTGTCTTCAAAATCTTGCTCAAGCATCCCCGCCTCAAAGATGTCTTCTTTGTCCCCTGTTAGGTACCTTATACATGGTTCTATTATTTTTCTATTTTTATACTCCCTCAGTCCCTCCCTAGCTAGACTATGGGATCCTTAAGGGTTAGAATTATACCCTTTGACTTGCTTCCCAGAATTGTCAAGAGATGCTCAACCAACACTTATATTTCTGCACTTAACCAGGAAAATTGGTCAAAGAAGTCTGCACAGTGAGGTGTCTACTCTGCTCATTTGTGAGCCTTATAAATCCTCAGTTTCATCTGTATATAGGATATCTCTTAAAATTCTGTTTGTGATCATCCAAACTTAGAGGATGAGGAAATGTACAGCAAGGTCTGTCTGTGTATAGGACTTTTCCTTCATAATACTTTCATCGATGAAGAATAAAAGGAAATATACAAATATGTCTGAAAAATACTTCAGCTATAAACAGACATAAACTGGAGAAAAACAGGCTCTGCCACAGAATGAAAAGTACAAGGACGGTGGAAAATGATATATGCTGGTTTAATATCAACTGGGGTGAGAGAGCTGTCATAGGGAGGAGATTCTAGATCACTGAAGTCCATTACAGTCTGCACACTTCTCAAGGAAAATCAGCCAGGGTCATCACTGCAGAAGGAGTACTAAGGATAACAAACAACCACCTCCACGTAATGGTAATATGAAAGCTGAGCAGAGCCAATATGCAGACCTTGGGTAGGGAGTGGCTTGGGTTTTCTGATGTTTACAAATCCAAGCCAGCCTGATTGGGAGCTGCTGGGATACTACACACCTGCCACTTCACCTGCTGGTCCTGGTGAGCTCGGTGTAGGTAATAATCATGAGCAGAGCCATATTACTTTGGCTTTCTGCCAACTAGTCCTCATTGCTAGGGGCAGCAAAACGGAGTGTTCCCTCTCCTAATGCCCAGGGCTATGGGCCTGGGACTGGACTATCCAGGAAAACTGTTGCCTGGGTGGCTTTCCTTGTCCTAACCTCTGAGACCTGCCAGAAGGAAAGAATAACAGAGAATGGGCAATTACCATTTTTCATATTTAGAGAAAAGAGCAGCAGAAGTCACACTTAAGTGTAATGTTGAGAATAACATAACTTTGTGCTGATCAGCCCAACCCTGTCAAAGAGAGACTTTGACTCCTAACATTACTGAACTCCGTCTCACCTAAGTGAGATAAAGTAGATGACTTAGTAATTAATTTAGATGCTCTTATGGGCAGGCATGAGGAAGATATAAGCTAGCTGAAATAGTGTATCATTTTTTTGTAGTGGTCTTGGGGAATATGGGCCAGGAAATGGGGAGAAGATCTAACTGTAAGGAAGCTGAGACTGATTAGGGATGGGGCTGCTGTGGTGAACATTTTCTAGGTTCAAAGACCATGATGATGCAGGTACCCCTGGCATCAGCATCAGCTCAGACTCCAAAGCTAATCTCGTATTCCCCTTTTGTAAGCATGCAGTTAACCTGGCAAATGACTGCAGGTCACTGTGGAGAAGGGTCTGTGAAATACTTGCCATACACACATGCAATTATACCGCAAGGTTTTTACTGAGTGGATGTGGCCTTCTATTCACAGAGCAGACTCTGGGATTGTGAACTGGAACAGGTGAAGGACTGTGGCTTTCCATTGTGGCAGCTGAGATGGCCTTTTTTGTTATTTTACAAATGGAGCAACACTGTAATCAGCTATCCCTCTATCACTGCACACTGCCCTTCCCCACCACTGCCATGATCTGTTTAGTCATTTCTACAAGCCCCTGTAAGTCAATGCACCCCAATTACCACTTGCCTATTATAGCAACCTCTGACCCTAAGTGCTGCCACCTGCCTCCATCATCCTATAATCTTATCATCCCATTGGCATTAGGGAGCCCAGGTTCATGACAGCATCTCCTGTAGTTAACCCCGTCCCACAGATGACAGCACCACCAAGTTTCTTAAAAGATTCTAGTGTTCCCCTAGCCTGTGCCTTCTGTATTGCCTTAAGGAAAGGGTGCACTTAGAACCCCCCAAGGGAATATATCCAACATGGTTCTTGTGTCTTACTTAATAAATCCATTCTAAAAGTTCCATTTCCCTGAGCCCCTGACTCTTTCCTTAAATACTGTGCAAAAGAAATTCTAGTTTCTCCACCTTATTATTATAGGCCAGTGGTTTTCAAAATTTAGTAATCATCCAAATAACCTGGAGGGCTTATTAAAACATAGATTGTAGAAGTCCACTCCAGCATTTCTGATTCAGTAGAGGAATTGCATGTCCCCAGGTGATGCTAAATCTGCTGGTCTGGGACCACACTTTGAAAATCTCTGTGAACTGTAATCCATTGTCATATACAAGCTTCAAAGGGCCATCCAAGGAAACTATTATGACCAATTTCAAATGCAAGTGTCCCTGTCAAACCATTGAATCCTAATTCATGGGCAAGTGCCCCAACAATAAATTTCTATCTAGTCATATTATTTTATGGTTCAACACCCATAAGATCCATGGACACATGTGTTCTAGTCCCTGCTAGTACATATTAAATAAGTCCTTTTTTCACACTGTAAGCTATTTTCTCCTGCAGAAGAGCTGTACTTCTCTACTTAGTATGTGTTGACATCTGGCTTTTGTTATTGGCCTAAATGAATTGGAGTTGGAGGAGTAAGAGAAAATCTTGTGAAAAACAAGCAAAACCTAGTGAGGTGCCTACCTCAGGTGAGGTCATTGCACAATCTGCAGGAAAGAGGAGTCTTCTGTCCTCTAACAAAGGATGGAAATCTTTTGCCATTCCAGAAAGTTCAAAGAAATCTGAGAATTCAACATCCTCTGGCTCATCTACCAAATTGCCCTTTCCCAAGTCTCAGGATTCCGCTATTTTTTCATGCAAGACATGACCATGACATGGGAGACTTGTCCAGCTACACATTCTGTTTCCTTTGCAGCTCCAATGCCCTTACAATTAAATGCTGGGCCTGGTCTCAGCACAGCCTGCCCTGTGGCTGCAGAGATAAACATCTCTTTAAAAGCTTCCATAGGAATTTCTGATTTCCACGACATAATTTATCAGTTGCCTGTTCTGAGATTGTCATTTTTAAGGCTCTAATGAGGTTTTTTAAACCATTACATTATACAACTCCTATAATTATCATTGCCCCCGTACTGTTCAAGAGCCATAACCACCATGTATTATAACACTTCACTTTGTATCTGCACTTCATCCCAAGTAAACCTAAACAGAAACTTTAGTTGTTATAATGCCACTGCCTTTCAGAAGTCACCACTATCCCACTTATTACTGGCATAAAAATTCTTATTCTCATCCAATGCATGGATAGCATAGCTCCAAAATGCCATCCAGGAGTTGACTTCCTTGAACCACTGCTAGTGCCAGCTTTCAAAGCAGGAAACAGAGCCCGATGCAAGGGGCTTATGTGCTTTACTTACTTAAGGAGTTCAATCTCAGGTGGTAGGAGTGAGGGTCAAAGAGACTAAAGCTGGAAAGGCAGGGAAGTGAATACAGGAGCATTATATTTGCCACCACTAAGTGAGGCTGATTGCTCAATCCTGCAGGACCATCCCTGAGAAGTAATGTAAGGTCCATCCATTAGGAAGTGATGAGATAAAATGTATCCACTGAATCCCATCTCCCATTAAAAAGGTTCATCCCATGAAGGAAACCTCACTTCGAAGTAATATATGTTACCTGAACGGGCGTCTTGCAGCAGCATCAACAATAAAACTCTAGAGCATGAGGCAAGAGGCACCAGATGCAAGCATGAGGCAAAACTCCAATGGTTTTACAAGAGACAAGTTGTGTCTCTTGTAAAACCATTGGAGTTTATGCATATTTGGTCACCAAAGTGCCAGGTGGGACAAGAGGGAAAGAGGTACGGACAGAGGTAAATATATAAGAAATATCCAATACAAATAGTGTACTAAACACAATTCCTGTTCTCTTTCTATTGGCCGGGGGGGCAGGAAGATTGACATTTAACAAATTAATATATTTGCAGTATGTCAGATGGTGGTCAGTAGACGTATATTAGAGAGGGTCCATCAACAAATGCTCACTGTTGATTATAGATATGTTTTAAATGCAATCCTTTCAAAAAGTATGATCAAGGGATGTTAGCTTTCATGTTGCCATCTGATGTCACTAAAAGGCATGAAGAATTAAGAATCCTGGTCACTGTCTGATAAACTGGTTTTAGGTAAGTCAACTAACTTCCCAGGATATCAATTTCCTCATCTTTAAATATATATGATAATACCTTCTAATGCCTTTAAAAATTTTTAGTTTTATTGAGGTATATTTAACGTACAGTAATTACACTTCAAACATTTAAAGTGTACAATTTGTTAAGTTTTGATATATGTATACACCCATGAAGTTATCATCAAAATCAAGACAATAAACACAAACGTTACTTCCAAAAGTTTTCTCCTCCACTTTGTAATCCTCTCCCACCTTTTCTTGTCCTCCACATCTGCAGGCTTCTTTTGCATTTTCCAGAATTTTATATGAGTGGAATCATACAGTATATATACATATGTGTGTGTGTGTGTGTGTGTGTGCGCGCGCGCGCGTGTGTGTGTCTGTGTGTGTGATTTCTTTCACTTGGCATAATTATTTTGGGATTCATCATGTTGTATTGCAAATGAATAATGTTATCAGTAGTCTCTGTTTCATTTGAGATCATTTCTGGATCTTTCATTCGGCAATGTCTAATCTTCCCTTAATTTCATCTAGTGTATTTTTTATTTTGCACACTGTAATTTTTGTCTTTAGTTTAATTTTGATCTTTTTAATATTTTCTGTCTTTCCTTAACCTTTTGAACACATGAAATACATTTACAACTCTTTAAATGCCCTTGTCTGTATTAGTTCTGAATTGATTTCAGTTGACAAATTTTTCTCCTCATTCTGGTTTGTATTTTCCTTCTTCTTTGCATGTCTGATAAATTTTTATTGGATGTCAGACATTGTCACTTTACCTTGTTGGGTGCTGGATATTTCCGTATTCCTATAAGTATTCTTGAGATTTGTTTGAGGATGCAGCTAACTTACTTAGAAACTGTTTGACCCTTTCAGGTGTCATTTTAAAGATTTGGTAAATGGGACCACAGCTCTCTAGAGCTAATTATTCTTATTAAAGGAAATTTCTTCTGAAATCTACCTAACACCTTTCAAATCATGATATTTTCCAGTCTGACTATTGCGAACAGGCATATTCCCAGCCATGTGTGAACACTGGGCACTGTAACCTCTAATCCTTTTGGGTGATTCTTTTACTGGCCTCAGTTGTTATCCCCATACTCATATACTGATCAGTACTCAGCTAAGTAGTTGAGAGAGACCCTCTGCAGGTATCTGGATGTCTCTCTATGTGCAGCTTTTTCCTTGTTGGTGCACTGTTCCACACACTAATTGTCCTGATCTTCTCAGACTTGCAGCCTCCTTAATCCAGGTTGTCTGCTGGGCTGTACCAAAGTTCCCCTTCCCTGTCCCATGGCCTGGAAGCTGGGGAAATCATTGGATTACCTTGTTTGTTTTTCATCTTTCAGGTATTACTGCCCTCTGTTGAAATATATGAAATAATGGTATTGAAAACTATTATTTTTATATATATATATATAAAACCATTATTTCATGTATTTTGTCATTTTTTGGTTATTTCAGATAGAAAGATAAATCTGGTTCTATCTGGGCCCAAAGAAGTAGTCCTTTGTAATCGTTCTAAGGATTATGCTTTAATATACTTACAGATCATGGCTCAGTTCCTAGCCCCTGGTAAGCATTCAATAATGGCAATAATTGTGGTGGTTGTGACACTAGTAGTAGAGGGTAGTTTTGTGTTGATTTTCTCATTATATGTATTATAATTCAGTTGTCCCACAGCTCAACAGTTTGTAAGTGTGTGCGAGGTCACATTAGCAGCAAAAATCAAAGACAAGAAAACATATTCCTGTCCTGCAAAATCTCTCCAGTGTCTCTGAGTGGTTTCAGGGAATCTCACAAATATACTCACAACGAAGCATTCTCCTTCTATGACTGTTGCTCCTTCAACACTCATCCCAGTTCTTTACCACTACTCCTTAGGGTACTGCAGACCCTTTATCTTCCACATTACCACTCTGCTGGGCCTTTGTTTTCACCTGCACATCTGCCAAGCATTGTGCTCTTTGTCACTGAAATAGCAGGTGCTATGGTCTCCATTTATGCTGTCCTAGAGCCAGAGATGTCTGCTTTGCTGGATATAATCTCCTCTTGCTTTACCAAAAAGTACCAACAATACCTCAGAGTCCTTATGGTGCTGAAGGGCCAAAGTGGTCAGCTTTGGGTGATGGGGTGACCATTCTCCATTCAACACCTGGTTTTAGAGAAAGCGAACTGCTTATGCTCCAGTTTCTGCCAGACTGTTCAGAGCACCAGCTCTTTCAAATTTTACTCTCAGCCTCCCTAATGTCCACAGAATACAAATACTCATTGTCTCTATCCTGTTCACTGTTGCAATTATACACATAACACAGTGACTGCTACATATTAATGCCTCAGTAAAAGTGTTTTAAATGAAGGGATGAGTGAAACGGGAACTGGGCTAGGAGAAAACATAAAGACTCTCAGCCAACAACTAAGGCTTTTGTTCTAGACACATGAACTAGCCTGGCTCCTTCTCCCATTGGGGTGAGTTCACACAGGAGGCTTGTCAGTCTCCATTAAACACAGCAATCTGGCAGAATAGCCCCTCCAGTTTTCTATTCATGCCAAGATATATCTGGAACCTCAACTACACCATCAGGCAGTAGGCCAAGAAGTCACTGCTATCCTATTTCCCATCTTAAATAATGCCCAGCCATGTTGTCCAATCAAGCTCGCCAGACAGTGTTAAACAATATGCCGCAGATGATTAACAACATAGTCCAAAGAACACAATGCCTACATAATAAAATGTCCCAAACTGGCCCATAAAATTTAACATTGTATTCCTTCTCCTTCTTCCAAGTCCTTCCCTTGTTGATGCAGAAGAATCCAAATTCTAAAGAAATCAGTTTTCTATCCCCTGTTGTCATGAGTAAAATTCCAAAATATATGCAAACTTTTTCCTTCCACCACTTGCTTTCCTTTCAGCTCACCCCAGCCAGAGGGGTCGCACTCAAGGCAAAAGTACCTTTGTACTCCTTCTTCAGCAGCTGTGGCATGCTCCACCTTCCCCTGGAAGTGAGGACACCACCTTCCCACCTAGTCTCTCATCTGTTCCATTTTCTCAAAAAGCCAGGGAATTAACAGGCTACATAAGAATACCACTTCACCAATTCCAACCCACAAAATTGTAAAAATACAAGCGCATCCCCATATTAAATGTGGCTATTGCCACAGCTTACAATTTAAGCCCCAACACTGTTATGCAACAGCATTTCCCAAGGAAGAGCGATAATGTCTCTAGGATATAATGTATCCGTTGCAAACAGAAATTACATTGCCATTACCACACAGCGGGGTCACAGCATAAGACTAACCCTTTGCTCAACACAATCTTGGAAGTAGCTCACTGATATTTTGGAAAATGTTAATGGAAAGCATCCTGGCATATCACTGCCAGAGTTAATAATCCCCAATGTTTTGGCCATGTTGAGGATGGCGATGTTTGCTGATGAATTTTCTCCTGGGCCCTCTGTCTAGGATTAAAGCCCTACTGTCTTCTGAAGCCTGCTTCAGGCACATAGGTACAGAATATCCTAGGCATCATTCTCATAAGCTTTGAGTCCTTGGCTTTCAATTTTTTTTTCTTTTGAGATGGAGTTTCATTCTTGTTGCCCAGACCGGAATGCAATGGCATGATCTTGGCTCACTGCAACCTCCGCCTCCCAGGTTCAAGTGATTCTCCTGCCTCAGCCTCCCGAGTAGCTGGGATTACAGGTGCCCGCCACCATACCTGGCTAATTTTTTGTATTTTTAGTAGATACGGGGTTTCAACATGTTGGCCAGGCTGGTCTTGAACTCCTGACCTCAGGAGATCCACCTGCCTTGACCTCCTGAAGTGCTGGGATTGCAGATATGAGCCACCACGCCCAGCCCTTGGCTTTCTTTATATGTTCTTCCTGCTATTGAATCTGCTTCCTGCATCCTGCATTGCCAAGCAGTGCAAGCTGTAGGACTCAGCAGCTCAAATACGATTGGCAGATCTTAAATGGCTTGCAGTGTCTGCAGAGCTAGGAGCACACCTGTTTATCAGAGGCCATTACTAGTCGTTTTCACCCTGTGTGTCATAGACATCATTTTCACTGCAGGCCACACTCTGGGCATCTGAAGCCACAGTAAAATGTACAATTTGATTATGTTGAGATATTGCTAAAGGACTTTATCTAAAGATCCATTCCAGAGGTCTGCAGATGGCAGTTGAGGAAATTGCTGCTCCTTTGATGACCTGAGGCAGGAGAGTGCCTGGGTGTTCACTGTAGCAATGCCCTCAGCAGGCTGGCCTTCCAGAGTGAAACATAGATCTCCATACAATGAGAGATGAGAATGGTAAGCAGGGCTTCTATAGTCATTTGGTCATTCTAGTCAATCCTAGCCTTAGGGGAAGTAGTTCAGAGACAGACCTGACAGGTCATACTCCACGCAGGGGAAACCACACACCACTCAGGGAAAACCTCCAGTCACCATAATGGAAAGTGATACAGGCTAGTGGTTTAACATTTGGGTTTTGGAAATCAAAGAACCTGTATTTGAATATCTGCGCCACCATGTCCTATCTGTGGGACTTTGAAGAACTTACAGATAAGCTTTCGGAGAGTCTTCCCTCATCTGTAAAATGGGGATCATGATAGAACCTACAGCCAAATCAGGAATTTTATGTTAAAATGTATTTAAAGCATTTGTCATGGGGACTGGATGATAGTTTATGTGCTCAGTAAATGGAAACTATTAAGAAGTATGAGGAATTTGGATTTAGACAGAGCTGGGCTCCAACTCCAGCCAGTCCTCTGCTGTAGCCTTCAAGACATACAACTTTTCTGGATCTCAATTCTTCATCTGCACAAAGAATAGAAGAGTAATTGCTTCACATAGTTGTTGAGGGAGTCAATAAGAAAATGTCTATAAAGTGCCTGGCACTAAGTAGACACTCACTAAATAGACCATAAAAGTCTCACTGAACTCCTTCTGGCTGGTTTCCAGGGCAGTACCTTTGGATTCATACTCAGTTTTACAAAGATTCCTTGGAATTGACCCATTTCTGACAGCCAAATCTCTGCTTTTGGGGACCCTTTCACATCTGTGCTTCAACATCTGGCTAGATTCTCCTATAGGGCTGAGCATCTCTTAATTTTTGCCTTCCTTCCCTTCCTCTCCACCACCTTTTTAAAAAAGTTATCTTTTTCAGTAAACTTTTAATTTTATTACACTTTTCTATTTGCAGAAAATTTGCATAGATAGTACAGGTAGTTCTCTCACCCTTCATGCCCAGTTTCTACTGCTAACATCTTACATTAATATACTTGTCACAACTAATAAACCAATATTAATACATTATTATCAACTAAACTCCACACTTTATTCAGATATCTTAAGCTTTTACCTAAGGTCATTTTTCTGTGACTGGATATTATCCTGGACACAACATTGCATTCAGTCATCATGTCTCCTTACACTCCTCTAGATGGTGGCAGTTTCTCAGACTTTCCTGGGTTTTGATGGCCTTAACATTAAAACCTGAGAAGTCCTGGTCAGGTAGTTTGTAGAAATCCTTCAATTTAGATTGGTTCAATATTTTTCTCATGGTTAGACTAGAGTTATGGTTTTCCTGGCAGGAAGATTTTTATAGAGGCAAAGTGCTATCAGATCCAGAGTACAAGCTATGAACATGACTTACCACTATTGATGTTAATCTTGATCATTTGACTGAGGTAGTGTTTCCTCCACTGCAAAGTAACTTTTCTCCCCTTTTCATACTGTATTCTTTAGAAGGAAGTCTATTCACAGACCACATGTAAGAGTTGGGGTAGAATGTTTCACCTCCTGAAGGGTGAAGTATTTATATATATTATTTGGGCTTCTTTCACATGGGAGATTTATCTATTCTATACTGTTCATGTATTCACTTAATCATTTATTTGTGTCTCATGGATATTTTTGCTTTATATTTTGGGTTAAAATGCAATATCACCTAATTTATTTTCTTGCTCAATTTATTCCTGCTTTGGCCATTAGTAGTTCTTTCAGCTGGTTCCTATGTCCCTTTGACATACCTCCATCATTGTGTGTTTTTGAACACTTTCTTACTTTCTGGGACTATTAAGATGCTCCAGGCTCATCTCTTATATTTCCTGCCCCAGCCTTACAATAAATGACTTCTCCAGGATCCCTGGTTCCTTTTATTAAAGAATAGCATTAGAAACCAAGATTGGGCTGTAGGTATCTCAGCCCAATCGAGGTATGCTCATTGCTACCAGAGTGTCATATATTACATATATATGTGTGTGTGTGTATATATATGTGTGTGTGTGTGTATATATATATACACACACACATATATATACACATATAATACACATATATACACATTTATATAAATATAAATTATATATACATTTATAATTTATATGTATATATAATTTATATATAAATGTGTATATATGTGTATTATATGTGTATATATGTGTGTGTGTATAAATGTATATATAATTTATATATACACATATATACACATATATGTAATATATGACATATAAATGTATATATAATTTGTATTTATATATTTATATATATATATACATTTCTGATATATCCATCTGTTTCTATATTAAGCTGAACATTAAGTTCATAGACCAATGTCTTCTACTGTAATCAAGTACCACATGGATTATCCCTCCTCTTGCTTGTCTATAACCTTACAGTCCATGAGTGAGAAACTTGATTCTCATCATCCACCATCCATATACCTAATTCTTCAGTTCCGGTATACATGTACAATGGTTTCAGAATTGTTAAGCTGCACTCCAATGGGAAACAACATCATCAGCTGCATTATAGTCTTTATGTACAGATCCTTTCATCTTTACAGTCTTCACCTATTTCCAAAGATACTTAGGTCAGAATCTTTTTCCCCTATCTCTTCAATTAGGTTGTATCATACATTTGTAATACAGTTGTATTCTTTTGCCCTAGTCTGCATTCCATCTTGGAACGTCCTGTCCTCTTAAACGAATTTTTAAATTTGTATACATTAAGGTTCACTCTTTGTGCTGTGAAGTTCTATGGGTTTTAGCAAATGCATAATGTCAGGTACCCACCATTATATTATGATACAGAATGGTTTAATCACCCTAAGATAATTCCATGTGCATCACGTATTCAACCTTCCTCCCTTTGCATCCATGACAACCATAGAGTCTGTTTAATGACTCTATAGTTTAGTCTCTTACAAAACATTATATACCTTAAATTATATAGTATGTCTTTAGACTGGCTTCTTTTACTTAACAATATCCATTTAGGTTTCATTCATGTCCTTTTGTGGCTTGATAGCTCATTTCTTCTCAATCATTGAATAATATTCTATTGTGTGGATATACCACAGTTTGTTAATCCTTTCACTTATTAAAAATCATTTAGGTTGCCTCCAGCTTTTGGCAATTATGAATTAAGCTGCAATAAATATTTGTATTCATGTTTTTTATGAATATAAGTTTTCATATTAGTTAGGTAAACATCTAGAAGTACAATTGCCAGACTATACGGCAAGATTATGTTTAACTTTATTAAAAACCTGCTTAATTGCCTTGCAAAATGTTTGTACCATTTTGCATTCCCCCAGTGATAAATGAGAGTTCCTGTTCCTCAACATCCTCACCAACAATTGATATTGTCAGTTGTTTGGATTCTGGCCATTCTAAGAGACATGCAGGGGTACCTCACTGTTGTTTTAATTTATAATTCCCTAGTGACAAATGATGTTAAGCATTTTTCAATTGTTTATTTGCCATCTGTATTATCTTTTTTGGTGAGATGTCTGTTCAGATCTTCTGCCCATGTTTCAATTAGCTTATTTTCTTATTGCTAAATTCTAAGAGTTCTTTGCATGTTTTGGTTACAAGTCCTTTATCAGATATGTCTTTTGTAACTATTTGCTCCCACTCTGTGACTTGTCTTTTCATTCTCCTAACAGTGTTTTTTGCAGGGCAGAAATTTCTAATTTTAATAAAGTCCAACTTATCCACTTTCTCTTTCGTGGATTATGCTTTTAGTGTCACACCTACAAATATATTGTCCAATCCAAAGTCACCTAGATTTTCTACCATGTTTTTATTAGAAGTTTTATTGTTTTGTATTTTAAATTTGTTTGTAATCCATCTTGAGTTAAACTTGGTGCAGATTGTAAGGGCTGTGTCTATCTTCACCATTTGTTGAAAAAAAACTATCATTCTTTATTTAATGACCTTTTCTCCTTTGTCAAAGATACGTTGATTATTTTTGTAGGGGTCTATTTCGGGGCTCTCTATTCTGTCCCATTGATCTATGTGTCTGCTCATTCATCAATACCATGCTGTCATACTGTAGCTATTTAGTAAGTCTTGAAAGTAGGTAATGTGTGTTCTCCATCTTTGTTATTCTTCTTCAATATTGTGCTGGCTATTCTAGGTCTTTTGTCTTTCCATATAAACTTTAGAATTAGTTTCCTAGTATCTACAAAATAACTTTTTGGGATAGCAATTGAAATTGTGTTGAATCTATATGTCAGTTTGGGAAGAATTGACATCTTAACAATATGGAGTCTTCCAATCCATGAATATGGACTGTCTATCCACTTATTTGAATCATCTTTGATTTCTTTCATCAGAGTTATGTAGTTTATTTGCATATAGATCCTGCACATATTGTGTTATATTTACAGCTATGTATTTCCTTTATTTTGGAGGCCTGCCATTACAAAAGATAATTTTTCTATTTCAAATTCTAGTTGTTCACTGGGAATATAGTAGGAAAAATTGTCTTTTGTGTATTACCTTGTATCCTGTGACCTCGCTATAATCACTTATTCATTGCAGGAGATTGTTTATTCTTTTGGATGTTCCATGTAGGCAGTAGTGTCATCTGCAAACAAACTTTAATGTCTTCTTTCTCAATCTGTATACGTTTTATTTATTTTTCTTATCTTACCGCACCAGGCAGGACTTCCAACATCATGTTGAATAGGAGTAGTCAGAGAGAACATCTAAGGGAAAAGAGTCCAATTCCTCTCTATTAAGAATGATGTTAGTTGCAGGATTTTTGTAGATGTTCTTTATCAAGTTGAGGAAGTTAATGATGTCTATTTCTCAGTTGCTGAAAGTTGTTGCTATGAATGGGTGCTGGATTTTGTCAGATGTTTTTGTGCATCAGTTGATATGGTCATATGGTTTTTTCTTCTTCAGCCTGTTGATGTGGTTGACTTCACTGATTTTTGTGTTGAATCAGCCTTGCACACCTGGAATGAATTCTGCTTGGTCATGGAGTATAATTTATTTTATGCATTGTTAGATTGAATTTGCTCATATTTGTTGAGTATTTTTGCATCTGTATTCGTGAGAAATCTTGATTTGCTTTTCTCTTTATTATAATTCTTTACCTCATTTTAGTATTAATTCTTGCCACATAAAATGAGTTAGAAAATGTTCCCTCTGCTTCTATTTTCTTGAAGATATTGTGGAGAATTGGTACCATTTCTCCCTTAAATGTTTGGCAATATTCACCAGTGAAATTATTTGTACTTGGCACTTTCTTTTTTGGAAAGTTAGTAATTATTGAGTCAATTTCCTTTATAAGATGTAGAACTATTCAAATTACCCATCTCTCTCCAT
Organism: Homo sapiens; assembly: GCF_000001405.40. Classification (NCBI taxonomy): domain Eukaryota; kingdom Metazoa; phylum Chordata; class Mammalia; order Primates; family Hominidae; genus Homo; species Homo sapiens. Next base: position 135,545,262 of record NC_000003.12, read on the forward strand.
GTGTGTTTTGGTAATGTGTGTTTCAAGTACACTGTGATCTAATATGTCCCACAATATTTATGTGTCGAAAACTGAATCTCCAATGCAATAGCGTTGGGAGGTAGAGCCTAATGGGAAATGTTTAGGTCCTGAGGGCAGACCCCTCATGAATGGATTAATGCCACTATAAGAAGGGTTTTGGGAATGGATTCTCTCTCTTCTGCTCTTCTGCTATGTGAGGATGCAGCATTTGTGTCTTTTTGGCCCTTCCATCTTCTGTAGTGTGAGGTTGCAGTAAGAAGGCCCTTACCAGATGCCAGTACCTTGATCTTGGACTTCCCAGCCTCCAGAATAATGAGAAATAAATTTCTGTTCTTATAAATTAGCCAGTATTAGGTATTCTGTCCTTATGAATACCCAGTATTAGGTATTCTGTTTTAGCAAAACAAAACAGACTAAGACAAAGAAATTGGTTCCTTTTATCTAAATTTTCAAATTTGTGGGCATAGGGTTGTTCACAGTATTCCTTTATTATATATTCATGGCCATGGTATTAGTAGTAATGACTCCTTTGCCTTCACTTTTGAAGGATAATTTCATGGGCTATAGAGTTCTCTATTGGCAGGGTTTTTCTTTCTCTTTCAACTTTTTGAATATTTCACTGCATTGTCCTTTTCCTTATATGGTTTCTGACAGGAAGTCCACTATAATTTTTATTCTTGTTTCTCCATAAACAAAGTGATTTTTTCCCTTGCGTCCTTCAAGACTTTATCTTTGTCTTCTGTTTTTTGAAGATTGAATATGATAGTCTTTGGGCTTACTGGATCTACGGTTTAGTTTTGTGTCTGTCATTAATTTTGGAAAGTTCATAGCCATTATTACTTCAAATGTTTCTTTTTCTTCCTAGCATTCTAATTTTGCATACGTTACACTTTTGATATTGTCCCACAGTTCTTGAATGTTCTGTTCTGTTTTTGGTTTTGGGGAAGTTTCATTAACCTATTTCAAGTAAACTAATTCTTTCCTTAGCCATTTTGAGTCTATTGATAAGCCTATCAAAGTACCATTTCTGTTACTCTGCTTTTGATTTCTAAGATTTGCTTTTGATTTTCTCTTAGAGTTTCCATTTCATTACTCATCTGTTCCTGTACTTTGTATACTTTTTCCACTAGAGCCCTTTACTTATTAATCATAGTTATCTTAAATTCCCTATCTGATATTCCCAACATCTGTACTGTATTTAAGTCTATGCTAATGATTGCTTTGTCTCTTCAAACTGTGCTTTTCTTGATTTTTGGCATGCCTTGTAATTTTTTGCTGAAAGTTAGACATGATTTATTGGGTAATAGAAACTAAGGTAAATAGGCCTTTAGTGTAAAGATTTATGTTAATCTGGCTAGGTGTTTTACTGTGTTTAATGTTTGTTGTAGTTTTAGGTACCAGGGGCTTCAAATTCCACTTGTGTCCTTGTTTTTTTCTCCCTTCTTGTCTTAGGGGCTTCCCTATGTATTACTCCTCAGAAAGAGTCTGTGTCTTGCTGCCCGTTAAGTTGCAACCCACTGTTATTATACTGGAGCCTTGTTGTGGTGGTGGTAAGGTGTTGGAGTAGGAAGAGCATTCTACCATCTTTCCATTAAGTCTGAGTCTTTTACAGGACCTGTGTCTTGGTGCTGTGGACTTCAGGAAGGCTTCTGATACTCTTCCAGTAGTATATCTTTCCCCCTCCTCTTGCACCTTTCCCTGACTACATTATTGCAAATCTGTTTTCTTGAGGCTCTGTCCCCAGTCGACTTTGTGAGTATTTTCTCCCTTGTGTGATTTAGGAAAGATGGAGAAAAAAATCCTTTTCTTCCGCTGGCATAAAGTTTCAGTATTGTGCTCCAGCAAAACCCCTTCTCCTGAGCAGTGGGCCTTTGCTATGGAGGATGCTCTGGGCTTGTTTCATAATGATCATTCTTCCCCTTCCCTTGCCAGAGCCACAGGGGGGGATCTTTCTAGGATCCTCACTGTGAGAATACGGTGGGGTTGCTAGAGGGAAAGCTTATAAAAGTATGGGATCCCCCTAAGACTATGGCTCTCATGGGTCTTTCCCTCTCACTCTGATACATATTCAGCCTCCAGCAACTCACCCAATTAATGTTCCCACCAGTTTATAGCTCAAGAATGTCTCCGATAAGCAAATATTAGTTGCAGTCTCTTTCTGGATGTTATGTCTCTCCAGATTTGAGGGTATTAGTTTGCCCTGTGGCCACAGTTTTATGACACGTTCAAGAAAAGTTGTTGATTTTCAGCTTGTCTAGCTTTTCCTTGCCCCATAAGACTGGGAGTGATGACTTCAAAGTTCTTTACATATCAGGGTTGAAACTGGAAGTCGCTCCCTTTTCATCACAATATTGCCTTTCCTTACCCTCTCACCTTACCAGAGTCTCCCCACCTGAAAGCACTACCTCACCTATTCCCTCCATCAAATCTTGTCAGACCAAGCCAGCCCACAGGGCCTTCTCCCTGCTCTCAAACCTTATTTTATGATCTACTCACTGGGTATTTACTCATCAGCTGGTTTGATGAACAATGACTTAAGCTATTAATTATTATTAAACTATTATTATAATGCTACTATTTTCTCACATATTTATGTAGCCTGAATTTCCTGTAGGTTCAACATTTGAAAATCTTGGCTTAGGTCACTGTAATACTGTGACCTATAGTCTGCCAAATCAATGACCCCACTCACTGAATGATAGCCTTCTCATCCCTTCTACTTTCCTATCTCTCTTTGGAAGGCCCTGGTGGATGGGGAAATAGGTGACTCACATAGAGTTCAGGCTGCTTCCCCCTCCTCTGTACATCATCCTTCTTAGCCCTTTTGATGCTCTGACCAACAATGCCTGACACAATGTGCTCCCCACCATTCACTTAGACCACTCGCCTTGCAACTGTGCCGCAACCACTACCACCTACAAAACCTTATACTGGCCTCACGACTTCCTGGGCTCATACTTTTCCACTGGAGGAAACTCTTCCTCTTGGGTCCCAAGCACTGGTTTGGGCTAGGGTACCACAGCAAGGGGGATACCTGCTTGGGCCCCAAAGGCCAATTTTTCTTTCCCCCTCCCTCCTCATAGAGAATTTTCCTATTAATTTAATATGTTTGCATAATAGATAAATAAGAAAACTAAAAAGTATGCATCATTTGACCATTTAAAAATATAATTGTCTGTTCAATAATTCAATGCTGATGGACAAATAGCTCTCTTTTCTCTCTTATGCTGTATGAAAGCTAAATGCAAATTTATGATGTCAATTTGCTTTTTTCCAAGAACTCAAGCTGGTCAACTGTGGTGCTGAATTTATGAGGTGCAAATATACATAACCAGGTAAATGTGCATGCTGTTCACTTCTCTGGTGCCTTTTTTATACATTACCTTCATATGCACATTAGAAACTCCCATAGGTTTCCTTGGGAACAATGTGTACCTGACATGTATCAGGTAGTGAATCAACTCTTCTTTTTTCACTAATCTATTTCACCTCTCTTGCCCTGCTGAAATTATTGGTTGCCAAGCACATTATGTATATTTGTCCATCTCCAAACTTTTGGTTTACACATCATTTACATCACTTACAATGTGATTTAATTCTGTGATGAGAATACAACAGCTCTCAGTTTTGCTGCACAGACTGCCCCTCCTCACAGCATTACCCAGGGGTAGGTACATCGGATTACATTAAACTACAGCCTCACCTATACCTGAGCAATCTACCACCTTCCACACTCGGGCTCTCACTTGTGCTGATCACTCTCCTTGCTTAGGGGGCTTGTTGGCCCCACATGGCATCCACTGGGGCCCAAATGAGCATGTACTTGTGTTTGAACCATAACCATGGACAAGATTCAACTTCTGTGCTCCTAGTCGCATGCCAGTTAGAGGGGAGGGCTTGACTGCAAAAGGTTCCTCAAACCCTTGGGCTGGCACATCTAAGCTTTGGCATGTATCCTGCTGGGACCTCTCATGGTTTTTGTTTTTACTGTTGTTTTGTTTCATTTTTCAGTAAATTCTGAGCTTCTTTACCACAGAGACTGGACCTCTTTTCTCTCTAAATTCTCATTACCTAGCACAGGCCTGGCAACTACACAGGGTGTTATGTGAATTGACTTCATTGTATCTACAGCAGCTTCATTAGATTTACATGACATGATAAAATAAAACTTTATTATGTACTCCCCACACCTCCATCCAGGAATTAGGGGGAGGTAAATTTGGGCTCCTGGTTCTTTCTTGTCAAGTTAATGCAGAATTCTTCATGACATAATCCAGACAAAGAAGGGGTGGACACTATTACCATAATAAGGCCAGGGTATTAGTTGGCAAAAAGTAGAACAAAATTTAAGTTAATGTGCAGAATATGAATTTCTTTTATAAACCCAGGAAGGTCAGGGAGAGATTTCAGAAAGAAATGAATCCCTACACTGGCCTGGCAGCATCTATTTTACGTTAGATATGAGTGGTGGGTGAGGCGGTACAGGAAGAAACTAGTCCCGGCTCAGAATTTCAGTCCTTACCTCCCTCCCACCAGGGGAGCAGTCTCACTAAGACTGAGCTCACCCACTCCCACTGTGTCATCTCATTTGGATGACACTGACAAGGGTCAGTAGGGAGGGGGAGGAGCTGGAGAAGTGCAGACAACTGGCAAGGAGGGAGACCTCAAAAGAAGACTAGAAAGAAGGGCAGAGGGAAACAAGGAAGAGAGAGGTCACAAAGCCTGCCCACACCCAGGGTCCCTACCCCACCGCCACCCCCCAGGAGGCCCAGGTGCCATCAAAGTTAGTCAAGATATCATAGACACCTGGGCTGCCTAGAACTTGTCATTGTGAGTCAAAAAATGCTCACTCATCATGATAGTAAACGCGTACTTTTCTGCTGAAAAAAAAATTAAGGCTGTATTTCTGAGGCAAGTAGACTTAATAAGCCAAGAATAAAGAACTATATGAGTTAAGAGTCGAAATATACACATTAAGTGACCTCAAATCAGAAATAAGACAGCTGGCTGAATACTTAGCTTTAATTGAATGGGGCCAAAAAGCCTAGAAAAGACTTTAGTAAAGCTGCCTTTGAAAAAAAGCATCAAACCACAACAAATCAAAGTTCCAGAAAGATTTTTTTAAGGAGCTCCAAGAAGAGATAAAAAGAACTTAAGGATGATCTTAAGCAAACATGAGCTATAATGAGGAACAGTCTAAGCCAGAAAATGAGGGAAGCAAGAGGCAGGCAGGCTGGGAGGAGTGATTACAACTTACAGATGAAACCCAAAACAGTAGGATGGGACATCTGAGAGCTTGGTCAGCTAAGGTGGAGCAGGAAATTCAGGTCCAAATTAGACAAAATTAAATATCTGCTCATGTGTGTGATGTTGTCAACTTGAGGAGGGGCTGCACATTTTGAAGAAATCATGTGGACAGGGCCCTAACCTGCTTGTGTTTAAAGCTGATGACGTGGGGCTTTGATGGGCCTATCTATGTTGGAGAAGTCAGGACCAGGGAAGCTTGGTTCTAGTTTCTTTTCTGCCATGATCTTGGGAGGTGATGTGGCATAGAAAGTTAAGACAAACTGCGGTCAGCAAATTCTGGATTCAAATCCTAAATCCCCTGCTTGTTAGCAATACGACTTGGGCACTGGCCTCAATTTTCAGAGTCTTAGTTTCCTGATTGGAGAAACCGTTAGGGTTCCTGAAGAACTACATGAGAAATGTACATTTTGCTCCCAGCACAGGGATAAGAGTTAGTCAATAAGCATGAATTCTTTCCATCTCTGGGGTTAGCTTCTTCATTTAAAGAATGAGAGAAGACCAGAATATTTCTAAATTCCCTTCCAATTCTAGACTTCCCCAATTATGTAACAGAAGACTATGGGAAAGACTTGTGAAATGGGGAGGAAGATATAGAGCAAGACAGTTAGCCTCTATGACCCTGTTTCCTTCTCTATACAATTGGGATAACATAATAACAATATCAATCTGACAGGATTGTTGTGAGGATTAAATGAACTAATGCATGTGTACATGTTGAGTATAATTAAACTCTCCTGAACATTTGTAAAGATGAAAAGTATGATGATGAAGTGGATGCAGAAGAAACAGTTGTTGGAAAGGCCATATTGCAGCAGGTCACCATGTTGCAAGATCCCATGGGTGTGCAAAGTCCTCATCTCCTTTGGCTTTTTGGTAACATTTGACACTCTTGATGCTCTCTCCTTGAAACAACCCCTTCCCTCTAATTCCACAGCAGACTGCTCCTCTGGTTAACCTTCTGCCACTCTGGATGCTGCTTCTCAATCTCTTGTGCCAATTCCTCTTCTACCAAAGCTCTAAGTGTTGGAGTCCTTCAGATCTTGGCTCTACTCCCTCCTTTCTCCTTGCTCTACTCTCTTGTCACTGAGGATCTCATCTGTTCCCCTGACTTTACACACAATCTACAATCAACCCAGATATTTCCTTACAGTTCCAGACTTACAAATTGAATTGCATGCTTGACATCTATACTCAGAAATTTCTCAAGAATCTCAAAATCCCCATCCCCCAAACTGAATTTGAAACTTTCCATTCTCAAACCCATTTCTTCTCTAGCAGTCCCAATCTAAGTCATCACTTGAGCTATAATTCTTCACTCATCCTTCACCCTCAGCACCCTACCCCACCAACCCACAAACAAGTTCTGATGGCTCTACCTCCAAAACCCACCCATATCCCACCTGTTTATGTCCATCTCTACAGCCAGCCCTGCCTCTGGCTTAAGCTACTGCCATAACCTCCTGGCTGGCTCCTGGCTTCCCCCTCTGACCCTATTAGGCCATTCTGCATACAGTTAGAATTAAACCAAATTTCATTACTCCTTTGTGTTAAATCTTCCAGTTTTTTTCCCATTGTTCTTAGTATACATCCATCATTTTTTTATGGCCCAAAGTTCTGCATTACCTCAATCCATCTACTTATCATAGCTCTTCAGCTAACTTACTATGCTTCAGCCACACTAGCCTCTTTCAGTTCCTTAAACCTTTCTATCTTAAGTCCTTTGCATCGGCTGTCACTCCCTCTTTCTGGAATAGTCTTCCTCTATCTCTTTGCAAAATGGGTTCTTCCCTATTTCACAACCCTATTCAAGGCTCCAATGTAAGGCAACCCTCCTCATCATTCCCTCTCACATTTGCCTGCTCTTTGCCTTTCCAGCACTTACCACAATCTCTAATTATGCAGATGACAATTAAGTCTTCTGTCTACACACTGGATTATAAGCTATACTAAGCTGGGGACAGCTGTTGTATTGATCTCTGTATCCCCAGCTCTTAGCATAGAAAGTATATCATAGTGGTGTTCAAAATTGAATGAATGAATAAATGACAGTAAGACTGAGACTTAAAAGGAAACATAGGACCCAGGGCTAAGGATGAGTCGAGTAGTGCTTTGGACAAAAGATCTTAGCAAGGCAGCTACAGAGCAATGGGAGACAAGCAGGTTAAGGAATTCCAAAGTGACAAGAAGGTATAGGATAGTCAAGACCACAACTGAGTTCCCAGGCAGAGAGACCATACAAGAGAGGGATACAAGGGTGGGAGGGAACCATTAGGAGGGCAAAAGTCAGGCCTGTCTCCATTGGGAATGGGTGGTGCCTGGGTAAAACTCAGACGGTGGAACACTGTGACTCCTATCCTAAGCATAAAATCATGGCTTTGGAAATAACCTGGGTGTAGACTTACAGATTATGAAGCCTTCCCTTCCTGGTTATCGGTCAAGTGATGGGGCAGCAGAGATACAGTAGCCCAGGTCCTGAGCTCACATTCTGTTACACTTTACTTGACTTGCCCCCAAAGACCTGGACCACACCCAGGATGCTCTGGACTTCCCTCTGGGAAGATGAACCTGAAGGCAATTATAGCCATTAGTGGCTCCCCAGATCTCTTCATGCAAGCATATGGATAGTGGATGCCAAGCCCTCATTGCCCTTGCTTTTTTCACTCTTCCTGTTTAAATATATGTCTATGATCCTCACCACTTACCCTATCCACCTACCAGAGCAGCCCACTTGCCATTCTCCATGTATCCTCTATTGCTTCCAGAATTCACACCTTTACATGAGCTATTTCTACTTATTAATGGTATCTTTCTGTCCACATTTTTTATAAAGCTCATGTATTCTCAAAGTGTAATCCTAACTTTTCCCCAAAGCCTTCCTAGATGCCCCCCACTTTGTCTACTTAACCCTCTGTTATAATGTACATTTGCATCTTCCATGGACGAGCATTATGATTGTCAGTCTCCCTACAAAACTGAGCATCACTGAGAGGGCAAGGGTCTTCCCTAGCTTGTCTTTGTATTCCCCACAGAGTCTAACAGCAAGCTCTTCCCACGCCAAGTTCTCTGCTGGGTATTTATTATGAAGGAGTGTACACTAGTGTCCTAACAGTGCTGCAACAAATTGCCACAAACTGAGTGTCTCAGAACAACAAAAATTGATTGTCACAAAGTTCTGGAGACTAGAAGCCAAAAAACAAAGTGTTGGCAGGGCCGTGCCCCTACTGCAGTCGTTAGGGGAGAACGTTCCTTGCCTCTTCCTTCTGGGGGTTAGCCGGCAATCTCTGGCGTTCTTTGGCTTGCAGCTGCAGCACTTCAGTCTCTGCTTCCATCATCACATGACAGTGTCCTGTTGTGTGCCTGTGTCTCTCTGTTTTTTCTTAGAAGGATGCCAATCATGCTGGAATAGGACCCACACCAATTGAGTATGACCTCACCTTAACATGACATCTGCAATGACCCTATTTCCAAATAAGGTCACATTTGAAATACAGTGGGTTAGGACTCCAACATACATTTTGGGGGAACATCTACAACAGGATGTATATGAGAAAGGCATTGTGTCCCCGGGGACTAAATGAGAGATACAGATATCCAAATCTAAAACACATACACAAACACAGCCACAGCCAGGGAGGAGGGAGAGAAGAAATATGGGGCAGATTCCATTAGTGGAGACTTTGGAGAGACAGCTGATGAGGAAAGGAAGGGGGAGGGGTAGACGGAAGACGAAAGAAGAGATGAGAACCTACATGGAAGCTTTCACTCTGTACCTGGCCAGACGTGACATGCATGCAGGCACAACAGGTATGTGACTGTTAGCAGAATGCAAGGAAAACACAGTGAGCCTAGGGCTTCCTAGGGCAAAGTGAAGGTGACCACAGGCCCCATCCCTGACTTCCTTCAAAGCCACCCCCTTCTCCTTCTTTCCTGGCTCTGATGGCTATAGTTTGACTCTCCTAATGGAGAATTTAATGAAACCTTCAGTAAATGGATCCTGGATTCTCTCTCTACCCCAAGTAATTATGAAGCTCAGCAATTTTTTTCTACTAACTTGCTGCCGATTTCTAATTACTCTTGCTCCAAATAGGACAGTTAGCATTAAAATGAAACCATGTTGAGGTTGTGGGTTCACTCACATCTGCTTTACTTATTTCCTTAATTTGACGACATGGCTTTATGGACAGAGAGCAACAGGTAATTCCCACATTTTATAATATGAGGTTTGTGCCCCCAGACAGAGAAAACCTTCACCAGCATCGAGGTGAAACCCCTCGATAGTATGTCCTCAAGACATAACCACCAGATGGAGTTTAATGAGTCTTAGAAAGAATGTAGCAGCTTTCCCTCTGAAAGGGTAGCAGGGAGGGCGTTTTCCTTTACTTCTTTCCAATAAAAGTCACATGGTCCCAGCAACTATGAAATTCTGAACATGAGGGAGATTCCTTTCATCTAAGTGCATATAGTAAACTTGGAATGAAGGGACAGGGGCTGGGGAGAGTGAGGGGAGAGTCCAGGTTAAAAGAATAAGTAGGCAGCAGCAACTAAGCAGAGATGGTTAGAAAATAGCTGGGTTGGTGCACGAAATATTAGCATCTCTGCGTGAGCATGCCTGGAGACATCTTACAGATAAGCTAGGTGAATTTTCCCAATGTTATATTAGCCTGATAGGTATTTTCCTCTTGCTATTGCAAAATTCCATGACCTCATTTGAAGTAGCAAGAGAAACTTTCCAAAGAGATGTGATTAAAGGAACCAGAGACATTTAATCAGAAAGGAATCTTCATTGTAAAGTCCTCTATCCATATATTTAATTTAAAAACATCCTGTGGCAAATCAACTTCATTTCTTCTTGCCTTCATCTAAGTGGAAACTGCTCACCTTCCACTTAGCACCATAGCTCACAGGCACATTTTTCCTCTCTCTGCCTTCTCATGTTCTCATGTGTCCATCAACACCCCAACAGTCAGTTAGGAAAAAGGAAGAGACTCCAGATTCCAATAGCAAAGGGAGAGGAAATTTGGGTTCTATTTTCCTATTCTATAGTCATGAGTTCTATATTTTTCCCCCCTCCATATTCTTTTCATACTCCACTTCTTTTTTTGGAAGTAAAATGAGTACCTGGACTCAGGATTCTAGAGGTGAAGGAAAATAATTATGGACTTGAGACCCAAACACACTTGGGGTCAAATCCTGGCAGCACCATTGATGAGTCCTGTGTCCTTAGTAAAGTTCATTTCTCAACAGTCTTATCTTTCTGCTTTGTAAGGCTGGAACAAGCAACATTCTTCTTCAGGTTACTGTGAGAACCCGAGGGGTATGCTGACATGTAATTGGCGTCCAGTAAACATCAGTTCTCTTCTTCTGGAGGAAACTTGATCATTAATTTGGTAGGCATTTCTTCAGCACCTCAGCTGGAAAAGGGCATTGGATGATATGGTTGCTCTCAGCACAATGCATGTGGCTCCATGTTTGTGCAATGGCATCCTCACTGTCCTTGCACTGGAATCATCTCTGTTTATTTCTTCTCCAGACTCTTCACAGTTCTCAGAGGCAGTGCAGGACCAAGCTGGCATGGCTCGAGGGCTCAGTTCATCCTGTTTTCATACCAACTGGCCTATGACCCATCATTAGTCCTTTTATGGCTTCTGTCTGAAAAATGTCTTGTGTTTTGCCTACGGAAGATGGTTCCCTAATGAATGTCAAATAACAATAAAGCTTAAGTGTCTTCATCAGACACTTGAGCAGGCATCTGTCCTCCCAGCAGTAAAATATGCTGTGGCTTTGGAAACAGCTAAGAAATTTGAAACTAGGTTTCAACTACTTAGAGGAGAGCTGTGAGTAATTTCAGTCACTGACTCAGTTAAAGGAGAAGCCCTCATGAAACTACAACTAAGCTGTGTTGGCTGTGAGCACCCCCACCCCCATGGAAGACGAAAGAAGAATCTACCAAGGAGAACCAAGTGATTGAAAGATGGGCAGGTCCCTGGAGCCCACAACACTAACCAGGTAGGGCTTGGCAGGTTCCTCTGGGAACACAGTCTTCCCTCTGCCTCTGCTGCAGTCTTAGGCCCAGCCTCTGTGGACAGTGGTCCTGAGGACAGCACCTCCCACAGAAGCAGCATGCAGTCAGCAGGCCTGGTCTGCCCCGGCCCCAGAGCATATGCTTAATGGTCAAGAATGCCCCAAAGTCACAAGCAGAGAAAGACATGCTCAGATAGCACTGACCTCCATCATATAAGTTCAGATGTCCAGAAGCCAATGAATCACACCCAAAGGCCCTGAAGAGACTCACAGACAAGACTGTGAAGCTGTTCTCAAGATTTGGTAAGCACAGAAAATGGAAGGCCCTGTGGCATTTGGTACCTGATGGTCCTCAGTTCAAACAATGGTACGACCGCTGGTCAACTGTGTGGTCTGCGGAAAGCCATTGAACTACTCAGAACCCCAGTTTCCTAGTATGGAAAGTTAGGTGAAAGGACAGGGATAGAAGCAGAAGGACACTTAGTATTTTCCTTTTGGAGTTGATGGAAACATAGGAGAAGGTGTGTCTAATGTCTAGTATGTAGCTGGTTCTCAGAAAACAATAGCCAGAAAACAATACCAAAAAGGCTGAGGGATTGAATGGTCACCATTCCCCAGGGGAAAAAAACAAAGCCTGATGATGATCCCCAGGGAGAATTATCAAGGCCAGTGGTTACTAGTGGCTCACCAAAAACAACAAAACTAAGCAAAGTTCAACAAACAATTCCATTTTGGTAGGTCATCCATATTTTCTTATCAAGGAAATAAACCTGATGCACTTTGTTTTCTTCAAGAAGTCTGAAAAAGATTTTTGTAGTAAATATGAAGAAATTAAGGCTGAATAATAAGTTGTATGAAATTATCCCTGAGATGGGTCCATTCTCCCATGAAGGAAGGCCTCCCTGGATCCTGCTGTAAGGATCTTCAACTGCGTTTGGTATTAATTCTTTATCAAATGATTCCTATGAAGCAAGAGTGAGAATAGTTACCACATTCTTGGGTGACATAAAACTAGGAGGGCTATGTGATAACTGGATTATAGAATTAAGATTCAAAAATATCTCTGTAGCCTTAAATTATGAACTCAAGGAAATAAGCAGAAGCTTCATTGTAATATCCTTCACTGCAGTTCAAAATGGTTGCTAGACATGGTGTCCTCCTGCTAAATGCAATGGTGTTCTTGGCTGAGGCCTAAGATAAAATCCGGAAGTTTAACAAAAAAAACTCATCAAAGTCCTTTTTTTCACAAGGAGAAATAATACCATTTGGAATTTAAATATTCAGCCCACCTATAGAAGTTGGATTCCAGATACAGTGGTGTATTTGGCAGGCTCATAGAAGAGAGGGCTTATGGGGGGCAGCAGAAAGAGAAAAAGAGAGAGACAGATTATGAAGAATTGACTCACACGATTATGCAGGCTGAGAAGTTCCACAATCTGCCATCTGCAAGCTGGAGACCCAGGAAAGTACAATTCCAGTCCAGTTCTAAAGGCCTGAGAACAAGGGAGACAATGGTGTAAATCCCAGACCAAGAATGGGAGAAGACTCATGTCTCAGCTCACACTGGCAGGCAGGAAGGGAATTAATCCTCCCTTCCTCTGCTTTTTGTTCTACTCAGGCCCTCAACAGATTGGATGATGCCCATCCACACTGGGGATAGCAATCTACTTTACTGAGTCTACAAATTCGAATTCAAACGCTAACCTCATAAGGAAACACTCACCCAGACACACCCAGAAATCATGTTTAATCTGGGCACCCTGCGACCCAGTCGACACATAAAATTAACCATCACAAGTAGTCAGCAGGGGTTGTTGTAAGACTTGATAGCTTCAGATGCATTAGGCAGCTCCTATACCTTCTTCTGGGTATTTTAAAGGGTGCTTAAAACCTTATCTGGCCGTCCAAATTTGTACGTGAAAGCAGATTCCACTGTCTGTTTAGAACCAGGCAACCACCACAGCAAAACTAAAGCTAACACTGGAGCTCAACTGAGCCAGAGACAGGATCAGCTGGAGCCTTGGCCTCACATTAGAGCTGTCTTCTGTGTGGAAAAGGCCTTACATTTACTTCCCCTACATGATCCATTTACTTCATTTCTGCTGGCAGGAAGAAATAAAGAACACAGTGTGCATCTCTCATCATGGTCTCTTTCGAGCGTATTTTTCCTAATCAGATCCACTTTTCATGCTTCATCTTCTCCCTTTTGAGGCCATATTGACAAAATAGCTAAGGTGCATCAATTCTATTTTACTGTGTTCCCCACTTTCTGCTTCTTTATATCCTGTAATTTATTATACAGTTGCTGCTAATTCTTAAATGAACTGGACCTTTTTCTTGGCCAAACATTTGACATGCAATTAATGGAAATGGACGTAGTTGAAGCTAGTAGCTTCTCGCTTCTAATGTCAGGGCAGCAGAAATACAGTGACCTACCCATCCCCTTGAGAACCTTCCTATTTGTAGGAAAGGTTTATTCTGCCTCCCAGGGCTTGTTCCATGTGAGAACATGAAGAATTAGGGAATTGTGCAGGGAACTTTTATGACATCATGATACAGGCTTCAGAACAGAGAGAGATTTAAAACATTTCCTTTTTGTGGTTTTGACCCCAAACCAGAACAGCAAGGAGGATTTTTATAGGTTACCAGGGGAGCATTTGAGAATAATTTTATTTTTTTACAGAAATAAAATGATTTTCAAGAAATTCTACCAGTGTTTATGAGTCAAGCCCGTGCTTGTCCCCAAAAGCATTGCTTTAAACCCTGTCATATGTTTTTGCTTTTCTGTCTTGTAGAATATTTATCTTCAGAGAATCTTCAAGTGATGATAAATATTAGAACTTTAGAAGTCAGAAATGAGGCTCTGGCACAATAAAATAATTTCTTAAAGCACAGTCCCATGTTCTCTCCACTCTTAGGTCTTTAGTAATTTATTTCAGATTATAAGCAATCCTCTGCATTATTCAGCATAAATTCATAATTTACTTTTAAAATAAAAGTTTATTTTCATATGGGGTTCTAAGGAGTTGGCATACTATGAGTTTTTAGGATTGTGTTTTAGAGCTAAAAGCATTTGAAGAACCATATTTACTTATCTTTTGCCAATGACAGCGAGGCACATTTTATTAGCACTCAAAGTGTGTCCATTTACATTTGTTACACATCTTGGAAGACTTAGGTGTTACCAAAAGCAACTATTGACCCAAGGCCCAGGCTCACCCTCCCAGACCATGGAATTTATCTATTTATTCCCAGTGCTGAGAGCAAACTGGCCCTCCAGAACTATTCTCTGCCCATGGAAGTTCTAGGAGATCCAAAAGAAAGACCGTGAGGCTACCGCAGGGATCCAGCCTCTTGTCTTTGGTCCCTGCTCATCCTCATCGCTTCCAGATGTGCTGACTGCCCAGCCCTGGCCACTCCCCTTAGACCAGGGACACAGTGCTCCCAGACTCACAGACCTGCTGGCATCATGCTAGCAGCTCGTCTCCTGATGATGGTACTGGCATTTCATATCAAAGCCATGCTTGCCAGTGACTGTCGCTCATTAGGCCTTCAGTATCTGCCAGCCTTTCCCTTGACCCTGGACCCCTGCCATTCACTAATACCAGGCACTGATGCCAGGCATGGTGACCATGAAGCCCAATTCATCCAATGTAGTTTTGTTTTAATGAACTTTCTTATTTAAAACTGTTTTCATCCTCATTCCTCTATATACACCCCATCCTACTCCAATTAAAAATACTCAAGGAGAACTATCAGTAGCTTTTGACATTCCCTTGGCTTCCTTTTTTATCATCAACTTTCATTCTATAGAATTGAATATTTATTTTTATTTTATTTTGTAATTGAAATATAACTTAAAAACTAAGTGAAGTACACAGATTTTAAGTGTCAACTCAATCAATTTTAATGGATTTATACACCTCTTTAACTACTACCCAGATCACCCTATATTTCCAGCACTTCAGACGGCTTCCTCATGCCTCCTCCCATCAGACTCCCCAGAGGTAACCATTGTTCAGACCTCTGTCACCACAGATTAATTTTGCCTGCTTTTAGGTATTATATAAAGGAATCATAAAATTTATTATCCTTGTGTCTGTCTTCTTTATCTCATCCTTATGTCTGTCAGATTTATCCACATTACGTCAAACACCAATAATTTGTTCTTTTATAATTCTGTGTAGTATTCCATTGAGTGAATATAGCATAATTTATCTATTTATCCTACTATTGATAGACATTTGGATTGTTTCCAGTACTACTACAAAGAATGCTGCCATAAACATTCTCATACCTATCTTTCAGTGGGCGTAAGAGTCATTTTTCTTGTGTATACCTCCAGGAGTATAACTGCTAGGTCACAGAGTAAATGTGTTTAGCTTGAACAGTACGTCCAAACAGTGTCTTAAAGTGGTAGTGCCCATTTACACTCCCAGCTGCAGTGTTTGAGAGCTCCAATTGCTCCACACCCTTGTCTGCACTTGAGCTGTCAGTCTTCCTAATTCTATCCACTCAGGAAGTTGTGTGGCAGTATCTAGTTATAGCGTTAGCTTGAATTTCCCTGATAGGTAATAACGTTGAGGAATTGCTGTGGTCTGAATGTCTGTGTCTGCCCCAAGTTCATATGCTGAAATCCTAACCCCCAAGGTGATGGTATTAGAAGGTGGGGTTTTGGGGAGGTGATTAGGCCATGGAGACACAGTCTTATGAATAGTATTAGTGACCTTATGAAAGAGGCCTAAGAAATGCCCTTCACCATTTACACCATGTGAAGACACAGTGAAAAAATTACCATATCTGAGGAAGCTGGCCCTTACCAGCTACCAAATCCACCAGCACCTTAATCTTGGACTTCTCAGCCTCCAGAACTGCAACAAATGTTACTGTTGTTTATAAGTCACCTAGTTGTGGTAATTTTGTTATAACAGCCAAAGAGACGGCCAGGCGCAGTGGCTCACGCCTGTAATCCCAGCACTTTGGGAGGCCATGGTGGTTGGATTGTCTGAGTTCAGGAGTTCGAGACTAGCCTGGGCAACACGGTGAAACCCCCGTCTCTACTGAAATACAAAAAATTAGCCGAGCATGGCAGCATGTGCCTGTTAATCCCAGCTACTTGGGAGGCTGAGGCAGGAGAATTGCTTGAACCCAGCGGGCAGAGGTTGCAGTGAGCCGAGATCACACCACTGCACTCCAGCCTGGGTGACAGAGCAAGACTCCATCTCCAAAACAAACAAACAAACCAACAAAAAACAAAACAAAAAAAACAGCCAAAGAGACTTAAGACAGGAAGTTTTCACATGTTTATGGGCCATTCATAAAACTTCTTTTGTGATGGACCAATTCAAGTCCTTTGGTCATTTTCAAGTGGAGTTGTTTGTCCTTTACATATTACTTTTAAGAGTTCTTTATACATTCTGGGTTTCAGTCCTTGGTTAGATATTTGTATTGCAAATATCTTCTCCAAGTATGTGGATTTCCTTTTCACTCTCTTACTGGTAGCTTTTGGTGAATACGCACTGTTAATTTTAATAAAGTTTAATTTATAATTTTTTTTTATTCTATGGCTGGTGCTTTTCATGTCCTGTTTAAGAAATGTAAGATCATAAAGGTGTTCATGTATGTTTACTCTGGGAGCTTTACAATTTTACCTTTCGTGGTTAGCTCTGTTATCTAACTCAAATTAATTTATGTATGGTGTGAGGTAGATTTCAAAGTCCATTGTTTTCCATCTGGATATTTAACTAATACAGCACTATTTGCTGAAAAAGATCATCCTCTTCCCCTATTGAGCTGCAATGACACTTTTGCTATAAATTAGGTCTCCCTATTCTGTTCCTTTGGTCTGTTTATCTATCCTTACACCAATATAACACTATCTTAATTACTGAGCATGGATATTAATAGAGCCATTCGGACCCTTAAACATGTTCCAGTGACCTGTCTTTTCTCTGAAATCTGCATGAAACCTACTTTCTGACTTTCTAGGCATCTCTTGCTTTGGAAACAACCGTGCTCACTGCTGCTGCTGCTCTCTCTCTTTTCTCTCTACCTGATACAGATGATTAATTTCCCATGTTCTAACAATGAGAAACCTAATACAGGGAGGAAGAGTGGGTTTTGCAGGGTTAGGCATATCTGAGGGAGATTTACAATTACCCAGAGCTCAGGAAAGAGATTGAGTTTAGAGATATGGTCCATACATGGTCGTAGACGTCAAGGACATAGTTGAGACCAGTAGGGAGAATGGAGAGAAGAGATGAAGAAATGGAGTGTTGGGACCACCAATTTTTAACATCCAAAGAGTGAAATTGTTGCTTATAAGGGAGAATGAAAAGATGGCACCATAGAAGGAGGAAGATAAAGAGAGGTTGATATCACAGAAGCCAGGAACAAAAGAGTGATCAATGTCATCCATCACAACTCAGAGGTAAAGTAAGATGAGGAATGAAAGAGTCCATGGAGTTTGACATTCTACAGGTAACTGAAAAAAATGGTTTCATGTCAGGACAGGGACAAAAGACAGGTGGCAATTGGTCCATGAGTAAATGGGAAATAAGGATGTTCAGATCCCTCTTTTTATTTTATTTTCTTTTTCTGGAGACAAGGCTTTGCTCTGTTGCCCAGGCTGGAGTGCAGTGGCATAATCTCAGCTCACTGCAACCTCTACCTCCCAGGTTCAAGTGATCTTCCCACTTCAGCCTCCCCAGTAGCTGGGACTACAGGTGCATGCCAGGATGCTGGGCTAATTTTTATTTTTTATTTTTATTTTTTGGTAGAGATGGAGTTTCACCATGTTGTCCAGGCTGGCCTTGAACTCCTAAGCTCAAGCAATTCACCCACTTCAGCCTCCCAAAGTGCTGGGATTACAGATATGAGCCACCACACCTGGCCCAGATTCCTCTTTCTAGAAACGTGAATAAGAACAGAAGATGGGCAAAAGCAGAAAATAAGATGAAAAGTGTATTTCTTGTTATGCTTGTTTTTTTTACATTGTTGCTCTTGTTGTTTATTCTATAGCTTAGGTTCCAACCCTTATTTTGGAACAATAAAAATAAGTGTTCTTTCGTTTCTTTTTCCTTTCGCTTTCTCCCCTCCCTCTTCAACCATCTGTACCTTGGCAACTCATTCCCTCTACCATCAACCCTCTCAGCTGTGGATCAGGTTCATTTCTTGGGAGTGACAATTCAAAAAGAAGTTATTTTATGCCTTTATGCCTTCCCTGTTTTGCCCCTTCCTACCTTGGCCCTGGCCTCCATCCTGTCTCTCCCCACTTACCCAGCCTCGCTGACCTGAGGTGCTGTCATCTCAGGTGAACACAGTACAGAAGTATGGAGGGAGATTTTTCCAACCTACGAGAATCTTCCCTTCTCTTCAGTTTTCTCCTCTGTACTCAGTGTAGAAGACCCTTGGGAGTTGGGGTGGGCATTGAGTTCTAAAGGGCAGTGCAGATGCTGGGAGCTACTTCTGGTGACTGCACAGGGAGACAAGAACCCAAGCACTGAGCCCAGTCTCACTGGAGAGATGAGGGTCAAACTCCAAATCTGGAGGACTAAGAGCCTGAGAAAAATAAGCCTTTGATCATTGAGCCCAGAGTTCAAAACAGAAAAAACAATTTAATCTAGGTTAGAATTGTTCAGGAGCAGGGTAGGAAGACCCCAAGGGATGGCTGGAATACCAGAGTGAGTTCATAGGCTGCTTTCCAGCCCTAGAGGAGACCAAGGTGAGGAAGTCAAGCTGTGCTCAAGGCTAGAGAAGGCAGTCATTGGTGCTTTTATCACATGGCCCCTCATTGAACCAGAATCCATATTGACCTCAGCAACACTGAAAAATTTTATTGATATTTTACTGAATACTGAAATCTTTCACTTTAATTAGATTAATTTATCCAAGATCACTACATTTTTAATGTGTTTTTATTATGCCTTAGGGTCATTTCCCCTGTAAGAACTATTCTAATTTTATAATTAAAAAGGGAATTACTCTGAATTTAAAATATGGATTTTTCAAATTTAACTTTTCTGGATCAAAGTTATACTATAAAAAGGCAACCATTTAGAGATTTAGAGTGTGGACTATATGTGTAACATAGTAATGTTTTTCCTTTCACCTGAATTAAATATAACTAACTTTAACTGACCAGTGCTGGGAAATGTCTCAGCCTGTGGATTCCTGGTGAGGATTCCAATGTCTCTCATGGCAAACGTGAGCAGGTTGCCTCAGATCTGGCTGCAGAACACATGCAGGTGAAGTGGCTGCCTTTCCTGGCAGTCAGGAGGTGAAAGCTGTCGCTGGATTCTGCTACCTCGGCCCCTTGCTGACAAACAACACACTAATAGGCAAAGAACTAGACAACTCTGTCTAGGAACCCAGCACGTCTCCTGGCAGAGTGGCAGGAAGGTTCAGTTTCCAAATAACAAAGTTTTGTCAGAGCCAGAAGCCCAAAATCCCCCTGCCTAAATGGATGCTCATGGTTTCCTAGCTCCTCTCATCAAGTCAGCCATCCCCTCCATGAGCAGCCTGTATGCCACGTGTGAGCTGGTCCTGGACTTGGCAGTTCTAGAATAAACCCCTGTTGCGATCCAGTTCTGCTGCCAAAGGCTGGGTCTTGTATGGAGTTTCCACTAAGTGCTGGGTGCTGTGCTAGCCATGGTGGAAGACACTGGATTCTCACTTTAGAGTCAAAGAAACTGAACTGGTACTCCAAAAGTTGAAGTGACTTTGCCCCAAACAAACCACACCACCAGAGAAGCAGAATCAGATTCAAACCCAGATTTGTCCAGCTTCAAATTCCACACACTTTGCACTCCACCAAGCAGCTTCCTTTCCAGAAGCTACAGGGCTTCTGTGTGAGTGGAGACTCTGCATGTTGTCAGGAGCAGAGGTCCTCTGCAGGCCCTTGTCCTTGTATCTTGGGTCCACATTTGTAACACATGAGCTAAGGCTTCTTGCATCCAGCACAATGGAAAGAAAAAAAAAAAAAAGGGATCTGGAACAATTGCCTCTTCCTGTGAATCAGAGCTCAGTCTTCATCTCTAGCACCACCCAGCCCCCTGGCTCTGCACCGTGCCCACCCCTGGCCAGTAAGTCCGAAAGAACATCGTTAAAAACTCTGCCTTGCCACTCATACAAATTGTTTTTACATGAACGTGTGTGGTCATTTGCCTTCCTCACTCATCTTGAATGTGTTCAAAGAGCCACAAACATCTCGATGCTTATGAAAATGAGATGATCCAGATGCCTCTGCAGATCTTACAAATGGCCAGTGCTATGCAGCATAAATGGAAAGAAAATCTCCTTTCCCCTCTTGGGACTGAATGTTTGCAAATGGAGCCAGGAAAAATGGCCAAATGCACACTAATTCCTGCTAAAGATGGCTTCATCTCTGTGGTTAAAATTTTTATCTTTAAAAATATTTGACATTTAACATTTAATTTTTTCATTGATGATCAAAGACTGATGTTTGGTGTTTAACATATTGTAATTAATTTGGGCAAAAAAAACAAGGGGGTGTAGTGAACTATAGAAGAGATGAAGGGTAGAAGATGATCAGTTTTGTGTTCCTTTGGGGTCAGTGAAGAGAAGCAGCTTGTTCTTGTACACTTAAGGCAGGAGCTGGGAGAAATGAAGCGAGAAGGAGAATTGGAAGGCAGATGGACACAAAGAGCTTCATGGAAGAGATGAACTGCAGCTTATCTCCAAGATTAGAAACAATTGCTTTGGTGGAGATGGAGGAAGGCAGCAGTTGGAAATGCCTTGACCAAGAACACAGGGTCAGGAACGGGGAGGGCACATGGGGAACTGACTCATACGTCATTTCAACAGGAGTTGGAGGCTGAAAAACAGTCATGGTGGGAAAGAAGGCAGGAACCCTGGAGGTCCTTGAATACCAGGCCGAGGAAACCTGGACTTTCATCTTTGAAGCAACAGGAAGCATCAGAATTATTATTATTACTATTTTTTTCTTTTGAGATGGAGTCTTGCTCTGTCACCCAGGCTGGAGTGCAGTGGCGTAATCTCAGCTCACTGCAACCTCCACTTCCAAGGTTCAAGCAATTCTCCTGCCTCAGCCTCCCGAGTAGCTGGGATTACAGGCATGCACCACCACACTCGGCTAACTTTTGTATTTTTAGTAGAGACTGGGTTTCACCATGTGGGCCAGGCTGGTCTTGAACTCCTGACCTCATCATCTGCCAACCTCGGCCTCCCAAAGTGCTGGGATTACAGGCATGAGCCATCACATCTGGCCGCATCAGAATTATTTAAGCAAAGTGTGACACAATGAAAGTAGAGAAAAATAGAAGACTATCTGCACGGTAAAAAGAAGGATAAATTGGAAGACAAATTATTCATGTATTCAGCTATCATATTTCGACCCCATCTTCCTTCGTAGAAAAGTTAAGGCTTCCAATCTGCTGCTCTGGTCCAGGGGTTAGCAGATGAACATAAGCCCTCCATCCCTTCTGTAACCAGATGTTTTCTGTGGTTCGAGGAATGACAGAGCCAATGAAAGCCTGGAGCTGGCCAGGGCCTCGAATCCTTCCTGCCCATGGTTGATTCATCTCCACTCTCCTCTGGCCAACCTACAAGACCTGCTGAAGCTGCTTCCTATCCAGCCCACACTCTGCCCTCCCATTTCTGCTCCTGGCTGCCTGCCGCTGCCTCTGATTCCTGAATACAGTCACATCGCTTCAGGTCTTGCTGCTGCGTCCTTGAGTCTCCTGCAGGTCTGGTTTTGGCGTGCCTGCTCACAATCTGCCATAGTATAAACCAGCATCCCAGCAGCAGCCATTTCTACCACAGGCCCAACAGCGCAGCAGGGGGCAGGGCCTCTCCAGGGCCAGCTGTGGGGATTTGGAGCTGCTTGGGAAGGACCTGCAGAGTGCCATGTGAGGGAGAGCACGTGTCCCAAATGGGAAAGACAAGCGAGTTGTTGGTCTTGAGAATCTTCCTGCCTCTTAAGGTACAGCCTCTCACCCTTCAGATGATGTTACCTGGACTAGGTGCAAATCTCAGGCCACATGCTTACATGGGCAAGAAATTTAGTCTCATAATCTCCTTTATTTTTGTAAAACAGAACTTCATTACTAATTTATCCATGGGGGATAGAAACAATCTTAGTTAATATGGGTCTATTCCAACCTTACACCAGCAAGGTTGTGAAGTTTTCTTACACAGTGCTAGGGTAATAGAAAGAGTTGGAGAGAAATATTCCTGTATTCCTGCTGGCATCTGCTAAGGTGTCCTCATGCCCATCTGGTCTTTGGTCATTTGTCCAATCAGTTTGCTTCAGGTCAGCCCCGATTCCTGACCATAAGGCCTCTTCAGGTCCATCTATCTCTCAGCTACTGTCACACATCTCTCCATACTAGACCATGTGAGGCTGAGACACTCATAAAGCTAGGCCCCCAGTGCCATAATATACCTGGAGCCATTTCCTCCCTGGGATTCAGTTGCCTCAGCAGGGTTCTTCCCAGGTGTCGGTAAAACTCCCTCTGCCCTGGATTCCCAAACATATTTTTCCCTCTTTGGGCCGCAGCTTTCTCAGGAGCTGTGCCCATTGATCCCTTTGGAAGCAGACACTGAAATGAAGTTAGGAGTGTAAGAGGTTTATTGATGGGGAGGGAGGACACATGTAAAGATAAAGAGAAAGGAAGGAGGATTGGGCAGGAAAGCGTCAGTCTGCTAGGAAGAGCTAAGAAAGTCTCCACCAACACAGTAAGGAGCACCAGAGCAAAGACCACTCACTGCATTGGGCACAATGGCCAAGCCCTAGTATCCCAGCCTTGTGGTATCATCCTTGGCTGGAGCTTCCTAGAAAAAGTGTAGGCTTGGCCCCAATGCTGCAGTGAATCCTGGAGGCACTGCATCTACAGGCTGTGAACCAGCTGCACTCCTCCCAGCCGAAAGACAGGTTCTTGCCGGAAAGGAGAACCCAGCAGCACACCTTCATGGCTTCACAGGAGCCTCCCACACCTGCACACTCTTCACATTCTCTCCAGCCCCCAATCCAGCCCGGGATGAGGAATCTTAGTCTGCCCTTGGTGGTGGAGGGCGCTTGCTATAAATCACTTCTTACCTCCTAGAGCTCCTTCTAGGCCCCCCAAGGACTATGTCTTTGAAACCCAGAAACCAAAAGTGGATCTTGTTTTCTCTACATTATGAAACCTCTCCCATTAAGAAATAAACTCAGAATAGCCTAGGTTAACTGGAGAAAGGCCATGGGAAAGGGGACACAGTAAGGCTAGAGAACAGCCATTCATTTTTGAGATATTATGCCACCATGTGTCTCCACTTAGTGAATCGTTGTGTCTTTACAACAGAAATTCACTTCTCATTCTTCCAAATGCCTCCCTCTCCTTCAACAAGATAGGAACTCTTTCTCCATTTCAGCACCTGGTTAGGCAAACCATGTTCTGGCGATGGAGGTAACACAGCCTCTAGGATCTCCAAGGACTACCAGGCAAGCTGAAACACAGATTGGACTCTCTCCAACCGCCATGTCGGGGGCTTTTCCGGCAGCCTTTCTATTCCCCCAGCACTAGCTCCTTCCTCAAGTGACTGATAAAGAACAAATCAGAAAGGTTTATCTCACACTTACACATGGAAAGCACTGTTCTAAACACTGTAATAACTCACTTAAGCGCCACAGAAACCCTATGAGACAGGGGCTGATATTATTCCCATTATACAGAGGAAGAGAATGAAGCACAGTGAGGTCAAGTAACTTCCTTGAGGCCAGACAGCCACTAACGGGCAGGACCCAGATTCAAACCCAGCTAGTCTTCCCAATCCCAAGGCTGGAGTGCCAGACTTCTACAGTGAGCACATTGCTATCAGGAGCTTAACTTAAAAGGGAGCAGTAACTTGGGGTAAAAGGAGCTGATCCAGACACACAGATCCCAGACAGGCAGAAGACTGTAGCACAGAGCCACAGCTCTCTGGAACCTGGGAGAAACAATTCCTTCAACTGACAAGCGGAGAAATGGGGACCTAGAGAGACCAAGTAATGAAGCTGGTGCTGAGTAAAGCCTAGATGCAAACCCATCTTTTCTGAACTTAATGCTAACAACCTGTCATCACCAGGGGAAAAAAATTGCTCATGGCTTGTGCCCCAGAGTGGAGGGCTAGCCTCGTCCTTGGTAGTATTTGTCATAGTCATATTTGTGATACTTGAAGTAGCAGAGAGAGACATTTAATGGGTCACAGAGAACAGTAAAGAAGTAGCATCACCATGAATGAGGCAGTCTCACATCTTTCCAGGAAAAAGCTAAGTTCCTACTCAGTGTTTATGATGAGAAGTAATCTATAGAATCTATTTTATATGTAGAACATCCTATAGCTGAAAATGTTACCTTTCAAAGAAAGTGATTTATTCCTTCCACAAATATTTATTTAATACCTACTATATGCAAGGTACTAGAAACACTTCCGGGGATGAAAAAGACAGGATGTCATTCAAGCGGCTTGCTGTCTAACACAGGGAATCATCACAATAAAGTAGAAACAGATGTTATCTCTGCTCTCACCTAATGATCATAGTAACAAACATTTGCAAGTTTACAGAGCA
Organism: Homo sapiens; assembly: GCF_000001405.40. NCBI lineage: Eukaryota > Metazoa > Chordata > Mammalia > Primates > Hominidae > Homo > Homo sapiens. The sequence continues at coordinate 135,570,181 of NC_000003.12, forward strand.
CTTAGACATTTATACCTGGAACACCATTCCATTCCTCACCTCCCTCTCCAGCAGAAAACTCCTGTTCACCCTGCAAAACACTGCTCAAATGTCAAAGCCTTTGTGTAGCTTTCTTTGCCTGCCTACTTTGTCCCCCCAAGCAGATTCCTTTTTTCCTTCTTTCCTCCTATCTTTACTCCTGTCCTCCTTTCCTCCATTCTTCTTTCCTTCCCTACTTTCCTAATAACAGTGAATTTTTTTAGCAGTTTCCACGAGCTAAGCATTAGTGTTAACACTTTACGGGTATTAATGTATTTTAGTCCTCACCACCACTCTGTGGGAAGAATAGGGACACTCCACCATATTGTGGTACACGTGTCCGAGAAATTGAATGGTACACAATATTTTCCAACTAGACAGCACTGTCACCAAAGTCTGCATGTGAGGATGGAGAGCTGTCTGCTGGACATATGTGCTCTCACAGGACTGAGAGGGCCCTAACAGTCACACGTGGGCCAATTCGACCTGCCATGGACCCACCCAGCCCTAAACCCCATGCCAGGCAGTGGCCCTTGCCTGGACTCTCCACTCCTCCCCACCTGAATTCCTGCCTACTCTTGGGGACCCCTCTGCCAAATGAACCACTTAGCAGTCTTCCTCTGGCACCTCCCTAGGCCCCTCAGATGACCAAGCTAGGACCGGCTCTGAATGGAGACTCACCCTCTGCCATCTTCCCTGCAGGTCCAAGCTGTCTGCAGCTTTGTTCATCCATAGACTGAGTCCCCACCACTCTCCTCCACTGCTCAGCACAGCTGAGCTCAGCCCAGCTGCAGAGAGTAGAGGCACAGGCCCAAGTGGAAAAGGCCCAGGGTGAGGGCTCAGAGAGACTTCAGAGGCTGCCCAGCCAAGCACACCTGGATTTGAAACCAACCACCTGGGCTCAAACCCCAGTTCCAACCCCTACTGGTGTGTGGCCTGAGCAAGTGACTGAACAACTCTAAGCCTCATCCTCCTCTCCAGAACATGGGTTTGCAATAATAGCTCTTACCTCACAAGGCTCTTGAGGAAAAATAAGATACTATAACTGCTTTGTAAACCAGGAAGTGCCATTGTATACATATTTGAGATACTCACATAGCTATTATTATGACATATAATAGTATATATTGAGGTGTTAGAGCTTAAAGGTTAAAATATAAATTCTAGAGCCAAGATGTCCAGGATTCAAATCCTAGCTTTGCCACTTATTAGCTATGTGACCTTGGGCAGGTTAATTAACCTTTCTGAGCTTCAATTTAGTTTCCTCTTCTGTAGTGTTTCAAGAGGGCTAACTAGGTTTATCCATTTAAAGCAATTAAACAGTGCCAAGTACAGAGTCAGCATTCATACATGCCAGTTATGACTAGTGTAGGATTCAAAAGATTAATGTGTTATGATTATATTAACTAATATTTGAGAATTTACAGAGCATTTACACATTTGTTTTCTGAAAGCACAAAGCAAGCAATCACTTCTCACCCAGGGAGATTAATGGAGGAGTTGACACTTAGGCTGGGCCTTGAAAGAGGATTAAGATTTGGACTGGCGGGATGGAAGGTAGAGCCAAGGGTGAGTGGGGAGCGAAGGCAAGGAGGAATCCTGCCCACAGGATGTGTCCCAGGAACCTCCAGCTGCTGGGTTGGGTTTCACGAAAGGTTCTTCATCTTTATTGTAGAACAGAATCACCTGGGAGCTTTGAAAAAATGTGGCTACCCAGGCTCCATTCTGAGAGATTCTAAATCAATTGGTTTTAGATGGAACGTGGGCATTAATGATTTTTAAGTTTCTCAGTGTGGCCAGGTTCGAAGACCTCCATGCTAGAGCAGCAGGTCTCAAACTTCAGCTGCATCAGAATTGCCTGGAAGGCTTATTAAAACACAGATCTTTGGGCCCCATCTCCAGAGTTTCTGACTCAGTAGTTATGGGGTAGGGACCAAGAATATACCTGTCCAACAAGTTTTCAGGTGTTTTAGTCTTTTTTCACACTCCTATAAAGAACTACCTGAGACTGGGTAATTTGTGAAGAAAAGAGTTTTAATTTACTCACAGTTTTACAGGCTTAACAGGAAGCATGGCTGGGAGGCCTCAGGAAACTTGCAATCGTGGCAGAAGGCAAAGGGGAAGCAGGCACCTTCTTCACAATGAAAGCAGGAGAGAGAGAGGGAGAGAGCAAAAGGGGAAGCATTACACTTTTAAATAATCAGATCTCATGAGAGTTCCATTACGAGACAGCACTAAGCGGATGGTGCTAAACCATTAGAAACCACCCCTATGATCCAATTATCTCCCACCAGGCCCCTCCTTCAACACAAGGTAATGTGTTGAAATGAACCAAAGGAAAAGAAGATTAAGGGGAGCAAAGCATAAAATGCTACAAGGCATTACAATGATAACCGGAAAAAAATTTTAAATGAAAAACAATGTAGTGAAAGTAAACTGTCAGGGAGAAAGGGCCTGTTCCAGTGTCAGAGCCTGCCTGTGTTGACTAAGGGGACAGCGTTTGACCCTGCATTGAGAGCCTTATGTGGGGTTCTTGGTTTCTCACTCAGCCTGTGAGCCAACAGCAGGGCCAATGCAAGCCCTGTCCTCGCTCTCCAGCAGCCTGTCTGCCATCCTGTAAGGGACTCAGAGTGTTTTGAGAGCAAGGCCCTCGGGCCTGGCATTAATGGTTTTTGTCATCACCAAGCTCAGATGCTGGCAGCTGTTCATCTCACCAACGCCTGTGCACTAAGGAACACATTTTCCACAAAATCCCAGATAGGGTACAGAATAGCCGAAAACAGACTCTTGTGGTTTAAAGCTTGCCTGTGATCACAGGTCTCACACAAGCTGCTGTGAAAGGAAACGAAGAAACACACAAGAGAGCGTTGGAGGGACCGTGTTCTCCCCGACATCTGCAGCTCACTCGGGCCCAAATCACTCAGGCAGGAGCTGCAGGACAATGAGCAGTGGGTGTTGGAGCATGGAAAATGGGCTTTGATGAGGGCCAGGGCACCATACAAATAACATCAGAAGTCTCATGAACAACCACAGGCCACTAAGATTAGTTGAAACTGCAAGGACAGCCAAGAAAGACCCATAGAGTTCTCCATCCCTTCCACCCTGAAACACAAACGGAGACTTTGCCTACTCTCTGAACAAGGTCAGACCACTTCTTCCACTTGATGAGTGGGACATTATTCCATCATAAGCTTTGTTCTCCTCAAGGGGCTCTATTTGCCACCCCTGACTTCTTAATGAGGGAAGTAATTCCAGAAGGGTAAGGGGCTGAGGAGTTTTATGCAACACTTGTATGTCCTACAAGGTGTTATTATGCAAGCCACCACTTCAAATTACCCCTGAGAGGTTGAGAAGATAAAGCACCACCAGAAAGAACTAAATGACAGGCCCAGAAGCTGCTCTAGGTACTTTGGTAGTAGGTACCTGCCTGTATAGCCTACCCAGCTGCAGGGAGTTCAAGGGAAGACTCTGAGCTGCTCGAGGAAAGGGGAGGCCAGGCCAGAGAAGTCAGCATCTCCCCTTTGTGCATCTCTAGCATCCTTTCCCCTTCTTGTGGTAACAACACTCTATCACACCTCTACCCAGGTGGTTTGGAGTGAAGCTGCCCTTCACTCCAGCTGGCAGTTGACCCAGGAATATCCAGACTGTTTCATACCTCTTGCTACAGTGATTGGTGCTGAGTTGGGCATAGGACCCATCCCCTACCAGTGGGCATCAGACACCGACTTTTGCAGGAATTGGGGGGGAATCTCTTTTTCTGGTGGGATTATGAGTAGGGAGAGAGCCCAAGCTGCTGGTGGCTCTTGCCACCACATGCAGGGAGCTCATCCAAGAGGAAAAACAGAGTGAAAAATGTAGGGACATACATTCCTAATTTGGAGGAAAACCAGCAAATCTACCCATGTTTAAAATAAACTCCACCTGTAAACTTTTTAGTTACATGAGCCAGGAATTTCCCTTTGGTTAATGAAAGTTGATAGCATTTCTGGCACTTGTACAAAAAAAAAATTTTGACCTTTACACCGAGAAGAAGTATAAGCTCAGGCTTAAAAGCTCAAGCATTCCTCAACTCAAACTGAAGCATCCCTGAGTCATTGTGAGAGTAAAATGCAATGGCCTTTGTATATGCCCAGTGCAGTCTCTGCCACACTGAAGAAATTCTGGACACCATCCCTGTCCTCTGACACCACCACAGTCCCACAGGGCAGACAGACAAAAAAATGAGGCATCATGTGATAGGAGCACTAATAGAGATGTGGACAGGGTACCAGGGGAGCATGGAGGAGATGAGGGAGCACCTCGTGGCCGAGTGCAGAGAATGTCTGCTTAATTAAATTGAATTGAATGGAATGGCATTTTGCCTGTCTATGCCCATGAAATCATGATGTGTTTAAAGCCCCCATCAGCTGGCAAGGTAGGAGAGGTGTGAGCAGAGACCACCATTTATTGAATATCCACTATGCAGCATGTTCTGTGTGCTAGATTTTTGCATCCAATCCTCACAGCAATCTAATGAAGTAACTGTGAGCATTGTTATTTTATTCATGAGGAAATCAGAGCTCAGAAGGGTTCATATTCCCCAAACAGAAAAATCCAGGGGAAGGTCTAGCTTCAGGAATGGTTTGATTCAGGGACTCATGCAATGTTGTGCAACCCTGGTTTCTTTACATCATTCACTCTTGCCTTCCACAGTGTCTTCACCCTTCAACTTGGGGGTTCATAAAATGGCCCCTACAGCTTCAGGCTTCCTTCATCCTTTCTGCCTCAAATAAGTAGCAAGAGCATACCCCTACCCCATGGTCCCAAAAGATGCGCTCTTGTGCCTTATTGTCTCTGAATGAATCACATGCTCATCCCTAAACCAATTGTTGTGACCAGAGAATATGATGCTTTCAGTGCCCAGGATGAGTCAAAACTTGATTTTTGGAGCTGAGAGTTGGTTCAACTCCCTCAAGTGCGTATGGATAGAGTGGAGTTGACAGTAGCTCCTCAGAAGGAAATTGGGTAAATGGATACTGGATGATACATACAGTGAAGTTCAAGACAAGTCTTTCTGCTGCCACATACTTTACTTTAGGAATATAATTCATCCAAATAGGTAGCCCTGGAAATGGTTGAAAACTCACAATTGTAAGTATTAAAATAGCAAGTTACACTGGCTTTGGGTTCTCTGGCAGTCCTGAAAATAATATGGATGTAGTGGTACATAAAAATAGGGCTATAACTACATCTCTATTTAATTCCAGTCTCCTAACCTCCTTTTTAGCATCTCTGTCTATCAACCTTAAAATTTACACACACAGTGGAGCCTAGGGCAGCAGTCCTCAAACTAGCTGTACATCAGAGTCACTACTGGGGCTTATATAAACACACAAACACCAGACCCTATCTTCTGAAGATCCACAATCAATACATCTATTCCAAGAACTCCTGGCCTACAGTTTGCTAAACCTGGCAGGAGCATCAAGGTTTACACGGTATTTGCTAAATCTGCAAATGACTGATTAGCTCCCATTTACTCTAGACAAAGGCTGAGAAGCAAAGGATATTGAAAGGATATTGACATAGGTTACAAAGGAAGCCACCGCATTTGGTCAGAGCAGTCACTATTAGGTAGCGTTAGGGGCTGCTGTCTCAGGCTTCACTCCTCTTCCCATCCTGAAATTCCCTCTGTATGAGAGCGAATTTCTTCTACAAACATGATCTTTGATCTTAGCATCTATACAAAAAGCTTCTGCTCACCAACCCCAACCATTTAGTTTGAAAACAAATAAAACTAGATTGTGGGTAGTTCAGATGCTCCCAGCATACCTGACCCTGCCTTGTTTACCTGGGGAAACCAGTCCAAAAACAAAATTGCTGTTGAAGGAATGTCACCAACAGTAACAAGATCACCAAATGTGTGACTATTGTGCATATTTTAGAAAATACTTTTTCCTAAATAATTGTATTTATTTTATAACAATTTCATGGAGTAAAGATAATGGGGAAATTATCCCCTCATTATGTTTTTCAGACTTTAAAATCAGAAAATAATTTTTCTCTCCTCCTGATCTGGCATGTATCTCTTCATTAGATGGTGAATATCAGATCTCCTGGGTATTTTCATTTATGCCTTAGCTTAATTTCCAGGTACCCAAGACTAGTTGAACACTTAGCTTTTTGTAGCCAAACTGGCTAGGGTTTGGGTATTATTTCTCCCCATCCTCAGTGTAATATCTGATCTTTTGTCTCAATAGTCTTATTTCATATGTACCCTTTGTTACAACCTATGAAAGTCTTCTTTGGAAATAAATAATGTAAACATTATTGATAAATAGAGGTATGTGGTGTTTATTTTTCATTTATTCATCAGCCAGAGAAGACTTCTGCTTTAACTTGGTTCCAGACCCTCCCCAGTGCCTTGGCTAACTGTTTACACCATGTGAGCCTTCAGCCCTGTAGGGCGCCCAGCAAGGCTTTCATTGACTTCCTTTCCCCCTTTTTCTCCAACTCCGATTTTCCTTTCTCCCTTTTCCAACTTGTGAGGTAAACTTTGCTGCAGAGGAAAACCCTGACCAAACACCTAATTTTCCTCTGCGTCCTAAAAGAGCCTCAGATCAAACAGAACAATTAACTCAGCAAACAATACCATTAGTCAAGCTCCCTCTGTACCCACCAGCCTGAAACCGAACAAATGCCGAACAAACACCTCTTGGAGCATATGGTGGCAGGGAATTGCAGGGAGAGATTTTATGGGCCTCTCAGCGGGCCTGCTCCAGCTCTTTGGGAACCAGACTATTTAGCATATGTCACTGTTCCCAGCTGCCTTGGGGCCTTGGCTGGGGACCACAGCCTTGTGTACTTGTGTACGCAAGTGACAGCATTCAAAATCAGGTACTGATGAGACCGGCTTCCACAGCACTGCAAACCCAGAAGGTGCCCTGGTCAGGACTCAGGCTCCTCGGGCCTGTTCAACAGAACCCAAAAGAGGAATACACGCACAAGGGTAAGCTTCCCCCAGTTATCCGAGAGCCTGATGCCTCACTCACTTTCAGCTCAGTCTGGGAAACTTCTTGGGTACTTACACAGAAATGGAAATTCATTGAAAATCTCAATGTACCATAAGAAAAGTCGTCTTTACAGAAATCAGAGACTAAAATGACCTATTAAGGTATCTTGTCCACCCCCTATCAGCACGAGATTGGTCCCTGAAGAGCTTCAATAGTTCATTTTTAAATAACTCCAACAATGCATTTTTCATCACAGAACTCCCCAGGAGAGACTGTTCTAATAGATTTCATTCTTAGAAAGTATACCCAAGATCCATCCTAATTTCTCCATTTCATAAGCTGCTCCTTGTACCATCCAAAATGATTCCAATAGCTCTTGCTGCATTCTCTCTGTGAGGCACTTGGCTGTAGCAGCCTTGTCATCATGTAGTTTGTAATTCTTTCTTAATTTGGAGAGGGACTGATGGATAGATTTGAAATTTGCTAAGTGCCTATATGGTTAAAATATACACAGTCTCATAAAGCTGTGCTCTGTGGTGAAACAGTCAGAAATTAAAGGGTTAAACTGAAGCAAGCATGATGTAAATTAAAGCAATTAGAGGTGCAAAGCATGGGATCTGACCAGCCTGGGTTCAAATCCTGGCTCCACCACCTGCTTAATGGTGTGTCCTTGATATGTTATAGCTCTCTGGGCTTCTGTTTCCTTATGTATAAAATGGGGAAAAAATTGCCTATCTCGGAGCATTGTTGAAGAGATTAGGTAAAAGATCAAGGATCTGGCATAGAGTAACAATCATTAAGTAGTATCATCATTATTTTTTATTCTAAAAGTGGCTTAGATGCTAAAAGGATATACTAAGAGCAAGATGTTAGGGTAACTCATTCACACCCAGAGTAGAAAGCCACAGACATTCCTTTTTCCTGAACTGGCTGCATACATTTGCAGCACTAGGCTGGACCTCTCAGGAGGAATTAGTTAGGGAGATAAGATGTTCTCATATTAAGAGTTAAACAACACAGCCAGGTGTGGTGGCTCACACTTGTAAATCCCAATACTTTGGGAGGCTGAGGCAAGAGGATTGCTTGAGGCCAGGAGTTCAAGACCAGCTTAGGCAACATAGCAAGACCCTGCCTCTACAAAAAATATTTTAAATTAAGCCAGCATGGTGGCATATGCCTGTAGTCCCAGCTACTCAGGAGGCTGAGGCAGGAGGATCACTTCAGCCCATGAGTTTGAGGCTGTAGTGAGCTATGATTGCACGGCCACACTCCATCCTGGGTGACAGAGTAAAACCCTGTCTCAAAAAAATAAAAATAAAAAGAGTTAACATGACAATGAGATGGTAAGGTAGAGTCAGCTAAATGCCAGATAAGTGAGAAAAGGAAGGATGCAGATCGTGAACTGAGCCCAGAGAGACTTCATCTGGACTTGTCAGGGAAAAGCCAATGGTCTCTAAGCCAGAGGTCTACTCAGAGCCCTTAGTGCTCACTTCTAGGGATAGTCTCTAGTGCAGTATTGGGGTATTTATCTATAGGAAAAGATCAAAGTGGTATTAGATTGTTTATTTAAAAAAATGATCAGCCCAACTAACCCTGTGTATTCATTTAGGGTTCTTCTGTTTATAAGTGATATATATATAAAAAAAAAAAAACAAAAAAAACAATAACCTCTAAACCAGCTTAAGCAAAAAGGTGAATTTATAGAATTGATACTGGGTAGCTCCCAGACTGACCAAGCCTGAAAGAGCTCAGAGGTGAGAGTAATGTTCAGGAACACTGGAACTGGGGAGATGGACTTCTTCAGGACTTGCTCTGTCTCTCAGAGCTGGAAAGCTGGAGAAAAATACATGAGATGTTTTAAGAAAGCTTGAATGTACGCCAGCATCAAAGAAAGCTGACATGCAGCTGATTTGACCACAAAATCACAGATAGACTCAGAAATCAGAAGCATCAGCTACTTCCGAAGGTGGGGACACAACAGAAAACACTGGGCTAAATATCTTTATAAGAAGCATTTTGACACTCCCACATGCCCAACTTCATCATAACACAAAGCTGGAAGTTTATTCTTGCTGAGGCCTGGAAAAGTTATGGGGAGGGCTGCCATGGTAAAAACAGGGAAATTAAATACCAATTGACATACTGAATCAGGAGCCTCCTTCTCATACTTGGCTCCCAGAAATCAGGCAACCCAGATTATGCCTCCTGGGCAATAGGGTGGCATTTGCCTCACTGACAAAATAACCAGCCCAGCAGACATACAGACCCTGATACAGTGACATCTACCATCAATACATACAGCCCAGGCAAACACTGCTTCTGACCAGTGGCCCATTCTTAAATACCAACTGAAAAACAAAGATCATCAGACATTTGAGAAGGCTTCTGTTGTCCAAAAAACAATGTGAACTAAACAGAAAGAACGTAGAAGGGGAAATTAGGCCGGGCGCAGTGGCTCACGCTTGTAATCCCGGCACTTTGGGAGGCCAAGGAGGGCGGATCACGAGGTCAGGAGATTGAGACCACGGTGAAACCCTGTCTCTACTAAAAATACAAAAAAATTAGCCGGGCGTGATGGCAGGCACCTGTAGTCCCAGCTACTTGGAGAGGCTGAGGCAGGAGAATGGCGTGAACCCGGGAGGCGGAGCTTGTAGTGAGCCAAGATCGCGCCACTGCACTCCAGCCTGGGCAATAAAGCGAGACTCCGTCTCAAAAAAAAAAAAAAAAAAAGAAGGGGAACTTAAATAATTGAGACTCTCAAAGTGTAAAAAGAGAAGATACTGCAGGCCCTAATTAAAAAAAAATACACAGAACAAAAAATTAGCTCATGGAAATTATAAATATGATTGCAAAAATGAAAAAATTCAGTAGAGTGGAATATACAGCAAGGACATCACTAAGGAAGTAAAAGCTAAAATAAAAAATAGTCACAGAGGAGAAAGAGGAGATTCTAAAAACTTACATAGGCCGGGCATGGTGACGCACACCTGTAATCCCAGCACTTTGGGAGGCCAAGGCGGGCGGATCATGAGGTCAGGAGTTCAAGACCAGCCTGGCCAACATAGTGAAACCCCGTCTCTACTAAAAATACAAAAAAAAATTAGCCAGGCATGGTGGCAGACGCCTGTAATCCCAGCTACTCAGGAGGCTGAGGCAGGAGAATCGCTCGAACCCAGGAGGTGGAGGTTGCAATGAGCCAACATCGCACCATTGCACTCTAGCCCAGGTGACAGTGCGAGACTCCATCTCACAAACAAACAAACAAAAAACTTTCACAAAGGAAAAAAAAGTCAGGTATTTAAATGGCAATCAATTGCTCAAGGCTAGAGTGTAATAGGACAACGTATTCAGAATCCTCCAGGGAAGTGATTTCCAACCAAGAAATCTATACCCAGCCCAAATATTAATTATGTACATCTATACAATTTTTGTTAAGACAATTTTTGTTCCATTCCCGGAAACATCTGGATTTGTATCTAAGTTTAAAATTTCTTAGCTGTGTGACCTTAGGCAAATACTGTCCCCTCTCTGGGCCTCAGGTTGCTCATCTATGTCACAGGGCTGTGAAAATTTAATGAGACATTGTTAAAATGGCAAGGGGTGCAAGACTTGCAGCATCTCAGGTAGTTCCTTTCCCCCACCCCATTTACCTCTGTCATTATCATCCTCATTTTCTCTGTCATCCATTATCTCTAACATCTCTGCTATTACTCACCAGCATTCACAACAAGAATTTGGAAAGAGACTAGAATTCTGAGACTAGAAACTCACCTAATAGCAAAAATGGGAGGATTGGCTGAGCATAGGAAGGTCCTGAGGCAGTAGTGGAGAATTTGTTCAAGGAGATTGCTTTCTTCCCTTGGAAACCTTTACCTGAAATGTACAAGGCTTACAGGACAGGGGTTTTATTTGAAACCTGAGGCCAAGAAATAACTGAGGAAGAGATTGCTTTATTTTCAGGATTTTTGTAAGCCAGTTGTTAAACATAGCCATTATTTAAAACTTAAATTATAAAACTTACAATGAAATAAATTACATTGAAAACAAAAGTAATTGATACTAAAAGCTCATTTTATCCTAATTACTTGAATATAATTTACAATTATCTATGTTCTTGGGCTAATTTATTATATCTGTTATTATCTGTATGTACATTAAGTGATATCATGTTAGGAGCTGACAATCAGCCCTGATAAGAGATTTACATCACAAAAATCAACAAATGCTACAAATCAGGACTTTTTTTTCTCAGAAAGACAGTTTTTAAACATTCACCAGCACACCACTGGCTGAGGACTCAGAGTACCAGATTCCAGATGTGTCTGGTTTTCCAAAGGTTCAATAAAAACATACGTTTTGGCAACCTCCTCAGAAAACTCTTTCATCCCCTTAAATATGACGGTGTCTACTAACCAAGAAACATTGGAATGAACAAACTGTAGGGAAGGAAAAGCTTTTTCTCTACTCTATTATGTTCCATAAATGGAGTCTGTGAATTAAACTGACAAAAGACAGACTAACACAAGAAAAGCATACAAATTTTATTTAGTGTTAATATTTTATGTGCATGGAGGCTTCACAGAAAAGAAGTGAAAAAACAAAAGAAGTGGCTAGACTTGGGGGCTTATATCCCATTTTAACAAAGGATGATAAATTATGGAGAAGTGACTAGTCAAAGGAGAGGGAGTTTGGGCTTCCAGGAGCAGTAAATTGTGGGAAGGTAAATATATGGAGGAAACTAATGGTAGATAAGAATTATTCAGTAAGGTTTGTTTATGCAGAGTCATCTAGGTGTGGGCCCTCTGTCTCCAGTGATAAGAGTTGCTTTTCTCATACTAGTACAGGAGAGGGGGGCAAATTTATGCCACCTTCACAAAGGGAAATTTATGTTCTGCTTTTAGGAAGATAAGGGGAGGGTAGAGATCTCTTCCTGTGTCTGCTTTTTCTCAGTTGCCTTCAGCTCAAAATAATCCTTATGCCAAAGTGGCATGTTTTGGGGTGACATGTCCTGATCCCCTTTAGAATGAATGAATAAATATCCAGAAAGCTGCTCTTAATACTCAGAGCTTTCTTTAACACATGAAACAGACTTCTAAAACCATATAATTCAAAATGTGGTCCATGAACCAGCAGCATTGGCATCACCTGGGAATTTGTTAGAAAAGCAACATTTTAGGCCCTTTTGTAAGACTGCTAACTAGGAATCTGCATTTTGACAAAAGGTTTGAGAAGCCTTACTGTAAATGTCAGCCCTGGCCAGATAGCCAAAATGCTTTCCCTTCCTGCCTAAAACTCTACCAATAAGAAATCCATTCCAATTAACAGTCTTTAAAAAGTCAAACACCTCTGGGTGGTTTAATGACCCAGCCCTAAGGAGAATTTGTTAGAAGAGATTGCTTTCTTCCCTTTGAACCTTTACCTGAGATAGACAGTGCTTACCAGACCAAGGTTTATTTGGAAAAGACAGAGGAAAGCTAAAGGGAAGATAATTCAGTCACTCCCAGAATCACTGCCATAACCAAAAGCAGCTTCTTCCTTCCCTCTTTTCCCCCCTACAGTCTCCACTTAGCAGCTAGACCAGCTTTTTAACATGCAGATCAGACTGTGGAATCTCTTCCCATTGCATTAAGAATAAAACCCATACTGCTTACCTGGACTTAAATACCCAGGATAATCTGCCCCCTTTCTCCCCGAGCCTCACAAAATCCCACTCCTGTGTTCTGTCAAGCCTCAGTTGTGCTGGCCTGTCTCCTGTCTGGGCGCCAGTGGCTTTCTCTGCCTTTAGGCTCTGTACTTGCACTTCCCTCTCCCTGAACTCTCTGAACCTGGCTGTCCCTGGCCAGCTCTTCCCTGACTGGCTCCTTATCACTCACTCGGTCTATGTTTAAATGTCTCCTTTCAGTGAGGCCACTGCTGACCACCCAGCCTCTGCTGTCACTGTCACATCACCTGCTTGATTTTCTTTATAGCACTCATCACCATTGGAATTTGTCAGACTCATTTATTTGATTTTTAATTTCCTGTATAACTCAAAACACATAAACTCATCCACAGTCACAAACTGAGTATAAGCTCCATGAGAACAGGGACTTTGTTGACACCCAGGGACTTTGTTGACAGGGACTTTGTTGCCTGGCACAAAGTGCTCAATAAACACTGTGGAGCAGATGGATGTGTGAACTATGCGATTGTAGGACAAAGTGCTCCATTGCCCACCACCACCAAGGCCAGCCCTGCACCCTGAACAGGAAAACACACCATTTTGCTCTACCTTTTTCTGCTTCTTACACTCTGTGGCTGGTCTCCTACTCCCAAAACACCCCTAATATTGGTATTATGGGTATTCTACTGTGAAGAAGTTTGAAGAGGGTTCCACAAGGCAAGCTGGTTTGAGAGCTTAGAAATCTCATTGATGGCAGGTCCTAGAGTGGTTCTGACTCAGGATGCCAGACATGTCTCCAGAGACTCATGGAGATGCCAGAAGCCAATTTTTTAAACCATTAGATGCTCATGAATACCTGATTATGACAGGGTCTTTTGTGGCAGGTCACATTACTGAAAGTTTGCTTGCTAAGTGGGAAGTCCAAGAAAGAAGGCTTTAAGTGTGATGCCCACCCCTACACACACACACACACACACACACGTGCATAACTACTAAAAAGATGGGATGACTGTGCAGGAAGACAGAGCACCAGCCCCCATGGCACTGCTCAGTGCTGAATGGTCCCCCTGGGTGGGCCTATGTGACCCTCTTCATCTGGGATTGCACTGTTGAGCAGGTGTATCCTAACTGCTGGGTCATTTCTAGACACAGGTTCAATATGTTCAATCCAGCCACCATGACAGGGTCCTTTTTTGCCTCCTTTGTTTCCTGTCCAGGCATCAGGCATCTCTCTGAGGACAGCCTATGTGCATCCATTTCTAGGACTTTGGGGATCTCTTGCTGTAGCTCCCAAGTACCAGCTACTTGGAGCATGGTGGGATCACTAGGCTTTTACAGTCTGCCCTGGGAACCCATCTTCCACTTAACACATTGTTTATATAGGAACAGGTTTTCTGGGTTCATAAGAATCACTGACATAAATTAGAAGGCACTATATTCTCTACATATCTCAGAGGTGAAAATCCCATGGGGCTTTATCATCCTTTATGTCTTCTATCTTCATATTTTAACGTTGTCATAAACACTGTAGACAATTCTCTTCTTCCTTCCTTCCTTCTAAGGAAGCCTTCCTTGTTTCTCCATTTCAGGCTTTTGTCTTATGAAGCACATACTTTTAGGGTGTCTGCTTAGCCCCTGTCTCTTCCCACTTTCTTTAGGATTGTCTCTCATCTATTGAAACGTCCAGTAGAGTAACAGGAGAAGGCGAAGGCTGCAGAAAGAGGAGATGCACAAAACAAAACGAGAACGTATCATCCTGTACCCTGTGGGCTTCCAGCTCCTGGCTCTTCATCCTTACAGCTTGCCTTCCTTGAGGGCCACACATCACCACACATCCTTTAGTAACAGCTCCTGTTTGAAAGGGCTTTCCTGCGGGAGGAGCCAAGATGGCCGAATAGGAACAGCTCCAGTCTACAGCTCCCAGCGTGAGCGACGCAGAAGATGGGTGATTTCTGCATTTCCATCTGAGGTACCGGGTTCATCTCACTAGGGAGTGCCAGACAGTGGGCGCAGGTCAGTGGGTACAAGCACCGTGCACGAGCCGAAGCAGGGCAAGTCATTGCCTCACTTGGGAAGCGCAAGGGGTCAGGGAGTTCCCTTTCCGAGTCAAAGAAAGGGGTGACGGACGCACCTGGAAAATCGGGTCACTCCCACCCGAATATTGCGCTTTTCGGACCGGTTTAAAAAACGGCGCACGAGATTATATCCTGCACCTGGCTCGGAGGGTCCTACCCACGGAGTCTCGCTGATTGCTAGCACAGCAGTCTGAGATCAAACTGCAAGGCGGCAGCGAGGCTGGGGGAGGGGCGCCCACCATTGCCCAGGCTTGATTAGGTAAACAAAGCAGCCTCGAGCTCGAACTGGGTGGAGCCCACCACAGCTCAAGGAGGCCTGCCTGCCTCTGTAGGCTCCACCTCTGGGGGCAGGGCACAGACAAACAAAAAGACAGCAGTAACCTCTGCAGACTTAAATGTCCCTGTCTTACAGCTTTGAAGAGAGCAGTGGTTCTCCCAGCACGCAGCTGGAGATCTGAGAAAGGGCAGACTGCCTCCTCAAGTAGGTCCCTGACCCCTGACCCCCGAGCAGCCTAACTGGGAGGCACCCCCCAGCAGGGGCACACTGACACCTCATATGGCAGGGTATTCCAACAGACCTGCAGCTGAGGGTCCTGTCTGTTAGAAGGAAAACTAACAAACAGAAAGGACATCCACACCAAAAATCCATCTGTACATCACCATCATCAAAGACCAAAAGTAGATAAAACCACAAACATGGGGAAAAAACAGAACAGAAAAACTGGAAACTCTAAAACGCAGAGCGCCTCTCCTCCTCCAGGGGAATGCAGTTCCTCACCAGCAACGGAACAAAGCTGGATGGAGAATGACTTTGACGAGCTGAGAGAAGAAGGCTTCAGACGATCAAATTACTCTGAGCTATGGGAGGACATTCAAACCAAAGGCAAAGAAGTTGAAAACTTTGAAAAAAATTTAGAAAAATGTATAACTAGAATAACCAATACAGAGAAGTGCTTAAAGGAGCTGATGGAGCTGAAAACCAAGGCTCGAGAACTACGTGAAGAATGCAGAAGCCTCAGGAGCCGATGCAATCAACTGGAAGAAAGGGTGTCAGCAATGGAAGATGAAATGAATGAAATGAAGCGAGAAGGGAAGTTTAGAGAAAAAAGAATAAAAAGAAATGAGCAAAGCCTCCAAGAAATATGGGACTATGTGAAAAGACCAAATCTACGTCTGATTGGTGTACCGGAAAGTGATGGGGAGAATGGAACCAAGTTGGAAAACACTCTGCAGGATATTATCCAGGAGAGCTTCCCCAGTCTAGCAAGGCAGGCCAACGTTCAGTTTCAGGAAACACAGAGAACGCCACAAAGATACTCCTCGAGAGAGCAACTCCAAGACACATAATTGTCAGATTCACCAAAGTTGAAATGAAGGAAAAAATGTTAAGGGCAGCCAGAGAGAAAGGTCGGGTTACCCTCAAAGGGAAGCCCATCAGACTAACAGTGGATCTCTCGGCAGAAACCCTACAAGCCAGAAGAGAGTAGGGGCCAATATTCAACATTCTTAAAGAAAAGAATTTTCAACCCAGAATTTCATATCCAGCCAAACTAAGCTTCATAAGTGAAGGAGAAATAAAATACTTCACAGACAAGCAAATGCTGAGAGATTTTGTCACCACCAGGCCTGCCCTAAAAGAGCTCCTGAAGGAAGCGCTAAACATGGAAAGGAACAACCGGTACCAGCCACTGCAAAATCATGCCAAAATGTAAAGACCATTGAGACTAGGAAGAAACTGCATCAACTAATGAGCAAAATAACCAGCTAACATCATAATGACAGGATCAAATTCACACATAACAATATTAACTTTAAATGTAAATGGACTAAATGCTCCAATTAAAAGACACAGACTGGCAAATTGGATAAACAGTCAAGACCCATCAGTGTGCTGTATTCAGGAAACCCATCTCACATGCAGAGACACACATAGGCTCAAAATAAAAGGATGGAGGAAGATCTACCAAGCAAATGGAAAACAAAAAAAGGCAGGGGTTGCAATCCTAGTCTCTGATAAAACAGACTTTAAACCAACAAAGATCAAAAGAGACAAAGAAGGCCATTACGTAATGGTAAAGGGATCAATTCAACAAGAAGAGCTAACTATGTTAAATATATATGCACCCAATACAGGAGCACCCAGATTCATAAAGCAAGTCCTGAGTGACCTACAAAGAGACTTAGACTCCCACACATTAATAATGGGAGACTTTAACACCCCACTGTCAACATTAGACAGATCAACGAGACAGAAAGTCCACAAGGATACCCAGGAATTGAACTCAGCTCTGCACCAAGCAGACCTAATAGACATCTACAGAACTCTCCACCCCAAATCAACAGAATATACATTTTTTTCAGCACCACACCACACCTATTCCAAAATTGACCACATACTTGGAAGTAAAGCTCTCCTCAGCAAAGGTAAAAGAACAGAGATTATAACAAACTATCTCTCAGACCACAGTGCAATCAAACTAGAACTCAGGATTAAGAATCTCACTCAAAACCGCTCAACTACATGGAAACTGAACAACCTGCTCCTGAATGACTACTGGATACATAACGAAATAAAGGCAGAAATAAAGATGTTCTTTGAAACCAACGAGAACAAAGACACAACATACCAGAATCTCTGGGATGCATTCAAAGCAGTGTGTAGAGGGAAATGTATAGCACTAAATGCCCACAAGAGAAAGCAGGAAAGATCCAAAATTGACACCCTAACATCACAATTAAAAGAACTAGAAAAGCAAGAGCAAACACATTCAAAAGCTAGCAGAAGGCAAGAAATAACTAAAATCAGAGCAGAACTGAAGGAAATAGAGACACAAAAAATCCTTCAAAAAATCAATGAATCCAGGAGCTGGTTTTTTGAAAGGATCAACAAAATTGATAGACCGCTAGCAAGACTAATAAAGAAAAAAAGAGAGAAGAATCAAATAGACACAATAAAAAATGATAAAGGGGATATCACCACCGATCCCACAGAAATAAAAACTACCATCCATCAGAGAATACTACAAACACCTCTACGCAAATAAACTAGAAAATCTAGAAGAAATGGATAAATTCCTCGACACATACACTCTCCCAAGACTAAACCAGGAAGAAGTTGAATCTCTGAATAGACCAATAACAGGAGCTGAAATTGTGGCAATAATCAATAGTTTACCAACCAAAAAGAGTCCAGGACCAGATGGATCCACAGCCGAATTCTATCAGAGGTACAAGGAGGAACTGGTACCATTCCTTCTGAAACTATTCCAATCAATAGAAAAAGAGGGAATCCTCCCTAACTCATTTTATGAGGCCAGCATCATTCTGATACCAAAGCCAGGCAGAGACACAACAAAAAAAGAGAATTTTAGACCAATATCCTTGATGAACATTGATGCAAAAATCCTCAATAAAATACTGGCAAAACGAATCCAGCAGCACATCAAAAAGCTTATCCACCATGATCAAGTGGGTTTCATTCCTGGGATGCAAGGCTGGTTCAATATACGCAAATCAATAAATGTAATCCAGCATATAAACAGAGCCAAAGACAAAAACCACATGATTATCTCAATAGATGCAGAAAAAGCCTTTGACAAAATTCAACAACCCTTCATGCTAAAAACTCTCAATAAATTAGGTATTGATGGGACGTATTTCAAAATAATAAGAGCTATCTATGACAAACCCACAGCCAATATCATACTGAATGGGCAAAAACTGGAAGCATTCCCTTTGAAAACTGGCACAAGACAGGGATGCCCTCTCTCACCACTCCTATTCAACATAGTGTTGGAAGTTCTGGCCAGGGCAATTAGGCAGGAGAAGGAAATAAAGGGTATTCAATTAGGAAAAGAGGAAGTCAAATTGTCCCTGTTTGCAGATGACATGACTGTATATCTAGAAAACCCCATTGTCTCAGCCCAAAATCTCCTTAAGCTGATAAGCAACTTCAGCAAAGTCTCAGGATACAAAATCAATGTACAAAAATCACAAGCATTCTTATACACCAATAACAGACAAACAGAGAGCCAAATCATGAGTGAACTCTCATTCACAATTGCTTCAAAGAGAATAAAATACCTAGGAATCCAACTTACAAGGGATGTGAAGGACCTCTTCAAGGAGAACTACAAACCACTGCTCAAGGAAATAAAAGAGGATACAAACAACAAATGGAAGAACATTCCATGCTCATGGGTAGGAGGAATCAATATCATGAAAATGGCCATACTGCCCAAGGTAATTTATAGATTCAATGCCATCCTCATAAAGCTACCGATGACTTTCTTCACAGAATTGGAAAAAACTACTTTAAAGTTCATATGGAACCAAAAAAGAGCCTGCATCGCCAAGTCAATCCTAAGCCAAAAGAACAAAGCTGGAGGCATCACACTACCTGACTTCAAACTATACTACAAGGCTACAGTAACCAAAACAGCATGGTACTGGTACCAAAACAGAGATATAGATCAATGGAACAGAACAGAGCCCTCAGAAATAACACCGCATATCTACAACTATCTGATCTTTGACAAACCTGAGAAAAACAAGCAATGGGGAAAGGATTCCCTATTTAATAAATGGTGCTGGGAAAACTGGCTAGCCATATGTAGAAAGCTGAAACTGGATCCCTTCCTTACACCTTATACAAAAATCAATTCAAGATGGATTAAAGATGTAAATGTTAGACCTAAAACCATAAAAACCCTAGAAGAAAACCTAGGCAATACCATTCAGGACATAGGCATGGGCAAGGACTTCATGTCTAAAACACCAAAAGCAATGGCAACAAAAGCCAAAATTGACAAATGGGATCTAATTAAACTAAAGAGCTTCTGCACAGCAAAAGAAACTACCATCAGAGTGAACAGGCAACCTACAAAATGGGAGAAAATTTTCGCAACCTACTCATCTGACAAAGGGCTAATATCCAGAATCTACAGTGAACTCAAACAAATTTACAAGAAAAAAACAAACAACCCCATCAAAAAGTGGGCGAAGGACATGAACAGACACTTCTCAAAAGAAGACATTTATGCAGCCAAAAAACACATGAAAAAATGCTCATCATCACTGGCCATCAGAGAAATGCAAATCAAAACCACAATGAGATACCATCTCACACCAGTTAGAATGGCAATCATTAAAAAGTCAGGAAACAACAGGTGCTGGAGAGGATGTGGAGAAATAGGAACAGTTTTACACTGTTGGTGGGACTGTAAACTAGTTCAACCATTGTGGAAGTCAGTGTGGCGATTCCTCAGGGATCTAGAACTGGAAATACCATTTGACCCAGCCATCCCATTACTGGGTATATACCCAAAGGACTATAAATCATGCTGCTATAAAGACACATGCACACGTATGTTTATTGTGGCATTATTCACAATAGCAAAGACTTGGAACCAACCCAAATGTCCAACAATGATAGACTGGATTAAGAAAATGTGGCATATATACACCATGGAATACTATGCAGCCATAAAAAATGATGAGTTCATGTCCTTTGTAGGGACATGGATGAAATTGGAAGTCATCATTCTCAGTAAACTATCGCAAGAACAAAAAACCAAACACCACATATTCTCACTCATAGGTGGGAGTTGAACAATGAGATCACATGGACACAGGAAGGGGAATATCACACTCTGGGGACTGTGGTGGGGTGGGGGTAGGGGGGAGGGATAGCATTGGGAGATACACCTAATGCTAGATGACGAGTTAGTGGGTGCAGCGCACCAGCATGGCACATGTTTACATATGTAACTAACCTGCACAATGTGCACATGTACCCTAAAACTTAAAGTATAATTAAAAAAAAAAAAAAGAAACTGGGTCCACCTAACATGGCAATTCCCACCGTTGTCCTCTTGCCCTTGCCCCCACATGTGCCTGGCAGTATGGCTGCCCCTACATATCCCCACGTGTGTGGAACATCATGGCGCCCTGCATTTGCATATTAAAAAGAGAGGATGGGAGGCCCAGTTTTTTCGCGGGCTACGTGAATGACATGCCTGGTCAAACCAATGCCCCGAGCTTTATGCAAATCAGACACCGCCTCCTCCAGCCTTCCAATATAGCTGGTTGATACTATCTGAAAGCGGGGTTCTGTCTCTTGGCTTTGGAGCCACCCTCCCTCTGTCTCTGTAGAGGGGAGCTTTTTCTTTCTTTCCTCCCCCTTCTCTCTTGCCTATTAAACTCCCTGCTCCTTAAAACTAAAAAAAAAAAAAAAAAAAAAAAAAAGAAAGGGCTTTCCTCACTGGTAAACAGAATCAATCTCGGAGACTACTTCTTCGTCCTCTGTCCCTCTCTGCTTCAACTGGCTTTTCATTCCTTCCTTATTTTCCTCTTTTGGGCCCTTCCTCAGTCTTTTTGCAGCCATCATAAGGCCCCTGGGATGAGCAGTCAGCCCCTGACCATCTTTACCTCAGGGGTCCTAGCTGCCCGTGGGCTTGAAGCAAGGGTCTCAGAGAGAGGGGTCAGGAAGAAGAGAGTGCCAAGGGGCTCCCCGAGTCTTCTGCTGCTGGGGATGTGCACAGCTGATTATGTCGGAGAAATCGTGTGCCCTCTACCCACCCTCCAATCAAGGACATTTGGATCTATTGGAAAGGGGCTAAGAAGAGGTGGGCATGGGGTCTTAGACACAATTTTGAGGGAGGTCTTTGCCCAGTTGGTAATGATGGCAGATCTGTAGAACCTAATGTACGCCACTTGGGGGAAGGGGCCGGAGCCAAACCCCTCCTCCTCAGGCCTGACTCCTCCTCAACCCTGCTCCCCTCCCAACTCAGCTGCCCCTTTCAGCAACTCTGGCCTCCAGCCTCTCCTCCCTACTGGTCACCCTCCTTCTCCTCCCCAATCCCAACCCCATTTAAACACAACAGAAGCAAATTGTTTATGAATAGCCCTAATTTACAATGCATCCATAATGACTGGGAAGACACCGATAATTTATTTAATGAGCAAAGACACATGATTCACAAACAATGATTCCAGTCAGAAATTGGCTTCATTAATTTTCTGTAAGCCCTCTATTATGATTCAGCACCCAGGGAGTGCCTCAGACCCACAAGTCTCCCCAGCACTTCTATTACTCCAGCCTGAACCCAGCTCAGGTGTAGGTCCAGCACCCTCACCCTGCTCATGGGCCTTTCCACCTAGCCATGCTTAGCAGTTGCCCCCACACAGCCTGCTCTCCAGAAACCTTGCCAACCTGCCATGCAACTGATCTAGCTGTGTCTGCTAATGGGAGATCATGCCAGGCCAGACATTCCTGAGGGCCTTGACCCACAGATCCCCAACCCACCCACAAGTACAGGCCACAATGCGGTCTGTGTCAGCCACCAGAGCTCCACTAGCAGGTCACAGACCAGGAAACTGCCAACATGAGCCTGGCATTAAGACATTTTGGGTGTTTTCTGCATATGGCTAGCCAATTTTCCCAGAACCATTTATTAAATAGGGAATCCTTTCCCTATTGCTTGTTTTTGTCAGGTTTGTTGAAGATCAGATGGTTGTAGATATATCGTATTATTTCTGAGGACTCTGTTCCATTGGACTATATGTCTGTTTTGGTACCAGTACTGGACCTTTTCCTTACACCTTACACAAAAATTAACTCAAGATGGATTAAAGACTTACTTAAATATAAAACCCAAAACCATAAAAACCCTAGAAGAAAATCTAGGCAATACCATTCAGGAAATAGGCATGGGCAAAGATTTCATGATGAAAATGCTAAAAGCAATTGCAACAAAAGCCAAAATTGACAAATGGGATCTAATAGAATGAAAGAGCTTCTACAAAGTGAAAGAAACTATCATCAGAGTGAGCAGGCAACCAATAGAATGGGAGAAAATGTTTGCAATCTACCCATCTGCCAAAGATCTAATATCCAGAATCTACAAGGAACTTAAACAAATTTACAAGAAAAAAAAAATAACTCCATCAAAAAGTGGGCAAAGGACATGAACAGACACTTCTCAAAAGAAGACATTTATGCAGTCAACAAACATATGAAAAAAAGCTCAACATCACTGATCATCAGAGAAACGCAAATCAAAACCACAATGAGATACCATCTCATGCCAGTCAGAATGGCGATTGCTAAAAAGTCAAGAAACAATAGATGCTGGAGAGGCTATGGAGAAATAGGAATGCTTTTATACTATTGGTGGAAGTGTAAATTAGTTCAACCATTGTGGAAGACAGTGTGGCAATTCCTCAAGGATCTAGAACCAGAAATACCATTTGACCCAGCAATCCCATTACTGAGTATATACACAAAGGAATATAAATCATTCTACTATAAAGACATGCACACATGTGTTTATTGCAGCACTATTTACAATAGCAAAGACATGGAACCAACCCAAATGCCCATCAATGATAGACTAGATAAAGAAAATGCGGTACCTATACACCATGGAATACTATGCAGCCATAAAAAGGAATGAGATCCATGTCCTTTGCAGGGACATGGATAGAGCTGGAAGCCATCATCTTCAGCAAACTAACACAGGAACAGAAAACCAAACACTACATGTTCTCACTCATAAGTGGGAGTTGAACAATGAGAACACATGGACACAGGGAGGGAAGCAACACACACCCGGCCCAGTCGGGAGGCTGGGGGCAAGAGGAGGAAGAGCATTAGGACAAATAGCTAATGCGTGTGGGGCTTCAAACCTAGATGACAGGTTGACAGGTGCAGCAAACCACCATGGCACACATATACCTATGTAACAAACCTACACGTTCTGCACTTGTATCCTGGAACTTAAAATAAAAATTAAAAATTTTTTTTAAAAAGGCATTACAGGTGTTGATATTTTCAACTGCTAAACACCTAACCTTGAAGAACAGACATGCAACCTATCCATGTACCCCAGGGTCTTCACCTTGGGATGGGGAGGAGGAGACGGAGATCATGAAAACTCTGCCTGAGCTTCAGGGTCCTAATTCCCCCTTCTCATAGAATACTCAGCGTGACCTCATCTTTCTTAATCACCTAAACATATGTGAACTACAGTTTGCTGCCCACATGAATTTTAATATTTTTAATTTTTAATTTCATTATTTTATTCAACTTATACAAGCATATGGTTTAAAGAAATAAACAGTTCTACAAAGGTCATATTCATACAATAAAGAGAAGTCTCCCACTACATCCCCCCATTTTCATTTAGTATTCATCTCCATATCTTGAAAAAATAGGCTTAGATTACTACTTCGTTGTTGTTGTTGTTTTTCGATCTCAGTCATTCACTCTTGTCTTCCCTCTATAAAATACAAAGGCTTAGTTCTCCACCTCACCTCTTTCTCTACACACACATATTTCTTGCCTGGGGATCAGCAAACCAGGGCCACCTGTTTTTGTAAATAAGATATAACTGAAATACAGTCATGCCCATTTGTTTATGCTTGTCTCTGGCTGTTTTAGTGCCAGGATAGCAGAGTTGAGTAGTTGTGACAGAGACCATGTTGCCCACAAAGCTTAAAATATTTATTATTTGGCTCTTTACAAAAATGTTTGTCAAATTCTGGCAGTCCCTGCAGCCTATGAATAAGCTGAGTTATAGATCAATATTCAGTGATTCCATTACCATAACTATCTAAATGCCATTCTCAGCTGAGTTGAGTAATGTACTATGTGTACTTCTCCTTTCCTGTACCTTTTGTTTACACTCACATTTGTAAATGCCTTTTATGTTATTTGTTTGCTTCTAGATATTTGTACTAAATACTAACTTTAACAAATTCTCTCCCAGTTGTGCAAATCTGTTTAAATGCATTAAGGTATCAATTTTATCTACTTGAAGATAATTTCTTTATGAGCTTACTGACCTGCACCAATATGAACTGGTAGTGCTCCGTCCTAATGCACAGCCATCATCCTGGGATCTGCTTTCCTCATCATGCAGGAGGGTCCTTTTGCTTCTATTCTATACTCAGTCCCCTATTTCCAGAATCTATGTCATTCACTTTCTTGATTTACTCTAATTTTGAAGGAGCACATATTCCACTATCATCCCTATCCACCCCCAACCACCAAAAACAAAAAAAAAAACAAAAAAAAAAAAAAACAGGGGAGGTACATTTTTTTGAGACTTTAAATGTCTGAAAGTGTCTTTATTGCATCCTCACATTAATTTATTGTTAGATTGGATGTCTTAGTTAGCTCAGGCTGCTATAACAAAACACCATAGATGGGGTGGCTTAAATAATAGACACTGATTTCTCAGTTCTAAAGGCTAGAAGTCTGAGATGAAGGTACCAGCATGGTCAGATTCTGGTGAAGGCCCTCTTCCTGGCTGACAGGTGGCTGTTTCTTGCTGTATCCTCACATGCAGAGAGAGAGAGAGTGAGAGCTCTCTAGTCTCTTCCTCTTCCTATAAGGACACTAATTCCATCATGGTGGCTCCACCCTCACTACCTCATCTAAGCTCAATTACCTTCCAAAGGCCCCACCACGTAATACCATCACATTAGGGGTTATGGTTTCAACATGTGAATTTGGGGAAGGGACACAACCATTCAGTTCATAACACGGGGTATAGAATTAACTGATGAAAAATATTTTTGCTTGGAAATCTGAGGACATTTCCCACTGTTTTCTATCCGTGTTGGTGTTGAAAAGATACCATTCTGATTCCTGATCATCACTGGGTTTCATATGTTTTTATCTTGATAATGTAAATGATCTATTTTCCCCAGTGTTTTAAAATTTCACGATGTGCCTTGACCTCAGTAAATTTCTATTGTGTAGGTGGGGCACAAGTGGGCCCTTTTAGTCTAGAAGCTCACTTCCTTCTATTTTGGGACATTTTTGAATTATTTCTTTGATGATTTCCCTCCTGCCAATTCTCTATTGTTTTCTGGAACTCCAGTTATTTGAAAGTTATGTCTTATGAATTATCCTCTAATTTTGTTTATCTTCTTTCTCATTTTCCATCTTGTGGTTTTGACTGGTGTTCTGGAAATGGTTTCAACTTCATCTTCTAATCCTTCTATTAATTTTTTAGTATTGCTGTCATTGTACCGTCATTGTATTCTCTGAATGTCACTTTTCCTTAGCCTCCTATTCTTTTCTGATCTCTGTGAGAATATTAATAATTATTTTCCCAGGTTTTATTTTCTCTACTATTCTGCTTCCTCCCAGTAGTGGTAAATTTATGAGATTCGGCCCCAGTCTGTCACATTAGATACTTCCTCAATTGACTGATATTTCCTAGCTGTCCATTCATGTTTAAAAATGGAACACTGAGAAACCAAATAAAATATTTTTGGGGGCCTACTCAGCCATGGGTTATAGGATGGTATGGCTGGACCATTTCTCTGAGTATTTCTAATGTTGCTATCTTTCATCTTTCCTCTTAGAAGGAGTAGAATCTGCAGAGAAGGCAGGCATAAATCTGGCTACCAGTAGGATGGTAAACTTGGATCTCAATATCTGATATGTAAATGCCACTTAATCACCCTGCTTTCACAATTGTACCCCCACTTTCAACTGTGCCTGGTGTTACATCGGTTCAAAGACTCTCTGCTTTTAATATTTCCAGAAAACAAATCTGTAAACCTTTTGTCTACTGACTGGCAGTGTGCAGTGGAGAAGATGAGGGGTGAGGGAGCTGTGCAGCTTCTAATTTCATCATAAAGTAGACTTTCACTTAGTTCTATTTTAACTCTGCCTTCAGCCCCACTTCCAGGGGCACCTGGTAACACTAGTTATAAAGACTGTTGAGAGTTCTGCAACAGAAGCTGGGTTGCTTCTTGACTTTTCCTGTCACTGACAGTATTTTGCTTTATTTTGGCGGCTAAGTCATTTATCACTCATACAGTCTTCCCCAATGCCGTATTATTGTAGATGTCATATCCTTGCCTGTTCTTCTTGTCCTTATAAGGGTATTTTTCTCCTTTTGTGGATCCCTCACTGTCTCTTACATGATGTTTCAGAGTACATGAAAACTAAGTAGTCAATCTGCCACCTTTCAAACAAGTCTCTCAATATAAAACCAGTGAACATCACCCCTTTCTCTATACATTAACCTTCCCTACCAGACCTTATTCCACACAATGCTTATGGCAGTTACTCAGTAAATAGTAGGCTGGCCCCAAATCAGCACTATATGAACATGCGTGGAATGGCTGATACATCTCCTCACAATGTCATCACTTAAAGCCTCACCCATATTCACCCTTCTTTGTCTTTCTTTCTCCAGTCCAGGTGCCATGCACACTGAACCTGTGATCTCCAAATAGAGCCCTGCTCTCTCCCACATCTGAGTCTCTACATATGCTCTTCCCTGTAACTAGAATGCGACCTTTCTTCTTTGTTAACTCTCAGTTTGAGATTAAGGTCTGTTCTATAAATCACTAACCCTTACCACAAAATTTTGGGATATTTGGCCTTTGTGCACTCAGATAACTATGTATTTACCTTTTTATAGCACTTGATGTGGATATATACATATATATGTTTACTTACTTTTTCTGCCACTAGAATATCAGTTTGTCTAGAACAGAGTTTGCATTATTAACCTCAGGCATCCTCAAGCCGTAACTCAGTGCCTATAATTGGATACACTTTTGGAAGTAAAGAAAGGAAGGAAAGCATGTGTGAAAAGTAGGAAGAGAGAAAGAGAGAGAGAGGAGGAAGACAGGAAGAGAGGGAGGGATTAATCCTGGCATTCAGTTCCATTTTACCTGTGTCTTCATTCAAACCCTTTTTCAGCTCACATTTGACTATTTTCCATTAACTTGTATGGTAGATTTTATTATTGCTCTCAGGCACATGCTGCCCATCCTTATAGGAAGATTTTAGTCCCTACCCCATTGGCAGCCAATTTAGCCATATGACAAGTGTTGCCCATTGAAATGTGAGTGGAAGTTATGTACCACTTTAGAGCAGAAGCTTTAAAACTATTGTGTGGTTCATCCATATTTCCTTATTTTTACCACAAGACCAACAATGTCCCAGATAGGGATTGATTATTCTTTCTGGAGCCTGAAAAGAAGACGATGTGGAGCAGAGCTACAGTTGATCTGCAGTGAAACTGACTTCCATGCAGATAGGGAAATAAACCTTTGTTATTGTAAGCCACAGATTGGGAGTTGTTTGATATTGCACAATAACTTAGCCTAAGCTGAATTATAGGTACAGCTGGTGACAGTGCCATGGATATTCAATACAAGAAGTGTCATAAAATTGGAGAACCTAACAGTTAAAGAAGGTCATCCTATTAGCCTCGCATCCAACAGAGCAATCCTTTGCCCAGTTCCCTGGGCCTTTTAAACTCTGCTCAAATTCTTTTGATATCAGGGAAGGAAGTCATCAGATTGTTCAGTTCATTTCATTACTGGAATTCAACTTGTTAAAATATTCCAGTTGGTTTTCCCCGACTGGTTCTAGTTCTGCTACCTGGAGCCACCCAGAAAAATTCACTCTGTATTCCATAGCATAGAACTTCTTCAGTTTTTAGAAGTTTAGTCATGTCCAAACTAAGCGTTTCCAGTCCTTACTTTGTTAAATTACTTAGAAGATGAGATTGAAGTTCTTCTGACTCTTTAGGATGAATAAAAATGTTCTTTCTAGTTCAAATGTCCTCTGATTACTTGTATATTCCACAAATGGAAAGAGTACTTTAAAAATAAATTTTCCTCAGTTTTACAATTTTAAAATTCACAGAAACATGCAATCAATTAGCTTGATTTTTAGTAAAATAAATTACAAATATTTTGCCAATGTGCTTTCAAAAAAGCCTTTTTTAAATGCACATGATTTGGTTAACATGTCTTAAACTAAGGCGCATTTTAAATGCTTCCAAACAGTCAAGAGGAATATAGCCCTATGTAGATGTCACTACATTCTTAGGAAACCCATAATGGTTTTATTCAAATGAGCTTTTCACTGATTTATGCATTGTGTTGCTTTTGAATACCCAAAGAGGCAATTGTTAGAAAAAATAGACCGATCAACTCCAGAAGGTGGAAGAAAGTCATGGTCAAGTAACAGGGAAAAAGAAATTTAGCTTTGAATAAACAGTTTCCTTTCTCTCATTGATCCTTTCTATTTAATTACAAAAGTAAATCATGAATGTATACTTATTATAAAAAATTCAAACACTGTTGAACTCTACAAAGTGCACTGTCCAATAAAACTTTCTGTGATGATGGAAATGTTCTATATCTGCACAGTTCAATACAGTAGCCATTAGCCACCTGTGGCTATTGAGCGCATTTGAAATGGAACTACTGAAGCAGAGGAGCTGATTTTCATTTTTATTTAATTTTAATTAGCTTAAATTGAAATACCCATAAGTGGCTAGTGGCTACCATATTTTACAGAATGGATACAGAATAAAAAGTAAAGCCACATTTATCTTCAATGTCAATAAGAAGCCACCAGCTCTTTGGGAGGCCGAGGTAGGCGAATCACCTGAGGCAAGGAGTTTGAGACCAGCCTGGCCATCATATAGTGAAACCCCATCTCTACTAAAAACACAAAAATTAGCCAGGCATAGTGGTGAATGCCTGTAGTCCCAGCTACTCAGGAAGCTGAGGCAGAAGAATCGCTTGAACCCAGGAGGCGGAGGTTGCAGTGAGCTGATATTGTGCCACTGCACTCCAGCCTGGGTGACAGAATGAGACTCTGTCTCAAAAAAAAAAAAAAAAAAAAAAAAAAAAAAGAAGAAGAAGAAGAAGAAGAAGCCACTGCTAATAGTTTGGTATATTTCTTGGTCAGTTTTCGGGGTGGTATGCTATCTGTCATGTCTAAGCAATACAGTGGCTTACTGCATGTGCTCTTGAGGGCTGTAGCCTGGATTTCAATCTTGTGTCTATTACATACTAGATGTGTGGCCTTGAGCAAGTTCATTAACCTCCCTGTCCTCAGTTTCCTCATCTACAATATGAGGCTAATAACAGTAGCTACTTCTTAGGCATCTTATGAGAAGTAAATTATTCAATACATTCAAAGACCTTAGAACAGTTTCCTGTACATAATAAGCACTCAATCATATTGAATATTAGTTTTAATATTATTGTATACATATTATTCTTTGGCATATCTTGCACTTTCCGCTTCAGAAAGCTTTCCATGTCAGAACACATATATCTACCTTATTTTTTAAATGTGAGCTTTGCTTTTAATTATAGAAGTAACATATGCACATGATTTTAAAAACCAGAATAGTAAAAATCTCCTGACTTTGATTTTCAGAAATAATAGAGTAGGTAATTCAGATCAACTCTCCTCTAAGATACCAGAAGAATCATATCAAATATTTTTTAACTGTTTAGAAGAACTTAAAAGTTAACAAAACAGTGGAGAATTAGCAAGCTAGTATTTGGGGGAGAACAGAGGTACAGGGAGAAGAGCCCAGTCTCTGGCGCTGATGTTTCCCTGACAGACTAACAGGGGATCCAAACATTGGGATTATCAGTTATCAGTGAAATAACTGTGCTTATGCTCAAGGAAATAAGAGGCAAGATTCAGAATTTCAGAAGAGAACTAGAAACTATAGAAAATAATCAAGTGGAAATCCTAACAGTGAAAAATACAACAAAATAACAAGGATAAATTACTCACTAGATGAATTCAAATGCAGATTGGAAACATCTGAAGAGCAAATTAGTGGCTTAGAAGTAAAGTTAGGAGAAAATATTCAGCATAGAGCATGGGGAGACAAAAGGACAGGAGGAAAAAAATGCAGAAGCAAGGGTATGCATCAGTCAGGGTTCTCCAAAGAAACAACCAATAGCATATACAGAGCTATATATAAGAGGAGATTCGTCTCACATGGTTATGTAGGCTAAGTCCCACAATGTGCCACCTGCAGTCTGGAGAACCAGGTAAGCTACAGGTGTAATTCATTCCCAGTCCAGAGGCCTAAGAGCCGGGGGTTAGGGTGGGGGTGGGGGATGGTGTAGGTCTTAGAGTCTGAACAAAAAGCTCTGATGTCCAAAGGCAGGAGAAGATATATGGTTTTTGGTTTTTGTATTGTTTTGTTTCCCTTTTTCTGACTTCTTATTTCATCCTGGCCCTCAACACATGGGATGATGCTGGCCCACACTGGAGAAGGTAGATCATCTTTACTAAATCTATCAATTCACATATTAATCTCTTCTACACCAGAAGTAATGTTTTACCAGCTATCTGGCCATTCCTTAACATAGTCAAGTTGACACATAAGATTAACCATCACAGGGCAAAAGATATTCAGGATTCTGTGAAGTCTAACTTGTGTTTAAATGAATTCTTAGAAGGAGGCAAGATGGACCATAAAAAGACAGTAGTATTTGAAGAGATAATGGTTGAGAACTTTCCGAAACATATGCAAGACATCAACCAATAAGTCAAGAAGCCCAATGAACCACAAACAGGAGGAGCCAAAAAAAACAAAAAAACAAAAAACAAAAAAAAACAAAAAAAAAACAAAAAAACACCCTGGACATATAAAACTACTGCTATGCAAAGACAACAAGAAAATCAGCTGAAGAAAAATGTTAGCTAAACCTTCTAAGGAATATCAATAAAACTGAAAGTTAATTTCTCAACAGAAACAATAGAAGCCAAAATTCAGTTGAATGGCCTCTTAAAAGTGCTGTAAGAGAAATAAAAACACTGCAAACCTAGAATTTCAGTGAAAATATTTTTTAAAAACAAAGGTTAAAAAAAAAAGGCTTGCAGAAAAAAATCTGACAGAATTCATCACCAGTGGACTCTCACCAATGGCAACACTAAGGGCTCTCCAGAGGCAGAAGAAAAATTATCTCTGTGGAAGGATAACACTATAGGGCAGAATGAAGATCAATAAAAATAGGGATAAGTCTATATAAATATTGAGTTATGAAACTGGAATAATAAAGTCTCAAGAGGTTTAAAGTATCTTTAAATTAAAATACACATATAAGTCAGAGAGAGTAAATGAAAATTAATGTGTGCTAAGGTCCTTGCATTATTTTGGAAGGGGAAAGTTCCAATTAATATGAAACTTTTATAAATTAATAATGCAAGTTGAAATATCTAGGGAGATCATTCTATTTCTAAATCATAGAGTTTTTATGATAAATGGATTTGAAGTCTTTCAAATGGTTTTTCCAAATCTTTTAAGACTATCATCTAATTCCCCCCTGCTTAAATTATTAATGTGGTAAATTCATTAATGAAATTTTCAACATTAAACCAATCGTGAGTCCCTACAATATAACAGTTTTGACATCACCTACTATATTTTTATGTATATTGCCCTGATTAAATCTGCCAATATTTTGGGGGTTTTGTAATATATTTGCACCTAGGTTTATAAGTTAATTGACTCACAATTTACTGTTCTTTTACTGTCTCTGCCAAATTTTGGAGCCATGGTTATTTTAATACTATAAGTTGAATTGGGAAGTGTTCCATTGTTTTCAGTTGTCTAAATGACTTTGGACAAGATTAATCTTATCCTTTACTTTAACATTTTTAAAAATTATCTGTAAAACTACCTGAATCGATTTGTTTTATTTTCTTTGTTTTGTTGTGGAAGGATTATTTTGTTTTCATTATACCAGTTTTGTTCATTTATATTTTGTGCATGTGTGTGCTTTATCATTTGGGGGTCCCTTTTCAAAGAACTAACTTTTGGCCATGATGATCTTACTTATTATATATTTGTTTTCTATTTCTTTACCTTTAGCTCTTACTTTTTATTATCTCATTACTTCTCTTTTTCTTGTATTTACTCTTTTGTTCTTTTTCGAAGTCCTTAGCTTTGACACCTAGCTCATTAAACTTCAGCCTGTTCTAATAAAAGTTGTTAAAAATACTTATAAAGGCTAGGTGTGGTGGCTCATGCCTGTAATCCCAACACTTTGGGCAGCCGAGGCGGGCAGATGTCTTGAGGCCAGGAGTTCAAGACCAGCCTGGCCAAAATGGTAAAACCCTGTCTCTACTAAAAACAAAACAAAACAAAAAAAAATAAGCCAGGCATGGTGGTGCATGCCTGTAATCCCAGCTACTGGGGAGGCTGAGGCAGGAGAATCGCTCAAACCCGGGAGGCAGAGGTTGCAGTGAGCAGAGATCACGCCACTGCACTCCAGCATGGGTGACAGAGTGAGCCTCTGTCTCAAAAAAAAAAGAATATTTAAAAGAAGACTGATACAATTTTTTCTTAAGTATTGTGTGAGCTCTGTCACAAGTTTTGATATATAGTATTTTCATTATTATTTAATTCTGAGTATTATTTTTTCTCCTTATGATATTTTTTCTGGTCGATTCAGAGATGCCTTACATTTTCCAAAAGAACTAGATTTTTATCCCAAGTTTCTTTTTCTTTCTGTAAATGTCCTTAAATTATAGACATACCATGTGGTGTGTATGATATAGATTCTTTGGTATTTTGGAGTTGTTTTGTAACCTAAAGCATGGTCAATATTTGTAGATGCTCCATGTGTGCTTAACAAAAATATGCTTTCTTTAATTAATTGGTAAATGTTTCTAAATGCATCTGTATTGAATCAACCCCATTAATTGTGTTGTTTAGAAAACAATTTACAAAATCAATGGCATTTCTGTACACCAACAATAAACAGTTAGAAACTGAAATTTTTTAATGATACCAACCATTTGCAAAGGCATTAAAAAAAATTGAGTACCTGACAAAGCGTGTTAAGACTTCTGTGAAGAAAATTATAAAGCTTTATTGAAAAGCAGTAAATAAGATTTAAATAACTGAAGAGAGACACTTTGCTTATAGTTTGGAAGACTCAATATTATAAAGAAGTCGGTTTTCCCCATTATGTTTGTGTGTGTGTGCAAATTGACAAGTGACTCGAAGTACAAATAACCAAGAATATTTAAGACAGGCTTAAAGAAGAATGAAATATCAATATTTATTATAAAACTGTGATAATTACAACAGTATGGAATTGATGCAGAGAGAGACAAATAGATGAATAAGGCATTTTTGTCCTATAGAAATAGGGAAAAAAGAAAACAAGATAAATAAGGCAGTATGGAAACCCAGAAATAGACCCAATTATGCGTGTGTACTTTATGACAGAGGTGATGCTGCAAATCAGAGGGGAAAGTTTTCTCAATAAATAGAGCTGGAGCAGTAGGTTATCCTTATTTTAAAAAGAAAATAAATTTAACACCTACTTCTCACTATATACAAAACTTATTTCCAGGTAAATTATAATTCTAACTATAAAAGTTGAAACTAAAACTTTACTTTTTAAAAATAAGTTTGGGGGTACCAGTGCAGATTTCTTATGTGCATATATTGCATAGTGGTGAAGCCTGTGATAAAAGTGTGCCCGGTGGGCAGTTCCAAGATGGCCGAATAGGAACAGCTCTAGTCTACAGCTCCCAACGTGAGTGACACAGAAGATGGGTGATTTCTGCATTTCCAACTGAGGTACTGGGTATATCTCACTGGGGCTCGTTGGACAGTGGGGGCAGGACAGCAGGTGCAGCCCACTGAGTGTGAGCTGAAGGAGGGCGAGGCATCACCTCATCCAGGAAGCACAAGAGGTCAGGGAATTCCCTTTCCTAGCCAACGGAAATGGTGACAGATGGCACCTGGAAAATTGGGTCACTCCAACCCTAATACTGCACTTTTCCAAAGGTCTTAGCAAACAGCACACCAGGAGATTATATCCCACACCTGGCTCGGAGGGTCCCACGCCCACAGAGCCTCGCTCATTGCTAGCACAACAGTCTGAGATCGAACTGCAAGGCAGCAGCGAGGCTGGGGGAGGGACGCCCGCCATTGCTGAGGCTTGAGTAGGTAAACAAAGAGGCCAGGAAGCTCGAACTGGGTGGAGCCCACTGCAGCTCAAGGAGGTCTGCCTGCCTATGTAGACTCCACCTCTGGGGGCAGGGCATAGCTGAACAAAAGGTAGCAGAAACCTCTGTAGACTTAAATGTCCCTGTCTGACAGCTTTGAAGAGAGTAGTGGTTCTCCCAGCACGCAGCTGGAGATCTGAGAACGGACAGATTGCCTCCTCAAGTGGGTCCCTGACCTCCGACTAGCCTAACTGGGAGGCACCCCCCAGTAGGGGCAGACTGACACCTCGCACAGCCAGGTACCCCTCTGAGACAAAGCTTCCAGAGGAACGATCAGGCAGCAACATTTGCTGTTCAGCAATATTCGCTGTTCTACAGCCTCTGCTGCTGATACCCAGGCAAAGGTCTGGAGTGGACCTCCAGCAAACTCCAACAGACCTGTAGCTGAGGGTCCTGACTGTTAGAAGGAAAACTAACAAACAGAAAGGACATCCACACCAAAACCCCATCTGTATGTCACCATCATCAAAGACCAAAGGTAGATAAAACCACAAAGATGGGGAAAAAACAGAGCAGAAAAGCTGAAAATTCTAAAAATCAGAGTAACTCTCCCCTTCCAAAGGAACGCAGCTCCTCACCAGCAAAGGAACAAAGCTGGACAGAGAATGACTTTGACAAGTTGAGAGAAGAAGATTTCAGACAATCAAACTTCTCCGAGCTAAAGGAGGAAGTTCGAACCCAATGCAAAGAAGTTAAAAACCTAGAAAAAAGATTAGACAAATGGCTAACTAGAATAACCAGCGTAGAGAAGTCCTTAAATGACCTCATTGAGCTGAAAACCATGACACAAGAACTACGTGATGGATGGGCAAGTTCATTAGCCAATTTCATCAACTGGAAGAAAGGGTATCAGTGATTGAAGATCAAATGAATGAAATGAAGCAAGAACAGAAGTTTAGAGAAAAAAGAGTAAAAAGAAATGAACAAAGCCTCCAAGAAATATGGGACTATGTGAAAAGACCAAATCTACGTCTGATTGGTGTACCTGAAAATGATGGGGAGAATGGAACCAAGCTGGAAAACACTCTGCATGATATTATCCAGGAGAACTTCCCCAACCTAGCAAGGCAGGCCAACATTCAAATTCAGGAAATACAGAGAATTCCACAAAGATACTCCTCGAGAAGAGCAACTCCAAGACACATAATTGTCAGATTCACCAAAGTTGAAATGAGACAAAAAATGTTAAGGTCAGCCAGAGAGAAAGGTCGGGTTACCCACAAAGGGAAACCCATCAGACTAACAGCGGATTGATCTGCAGAAACTCTACAAGCCAGAAGAGAGTGGGGGCCTATATTCAACGTTCTTAAAGAAAAGAATTTTCAACCCAGAATTGCATATCCAGCCAAACTAAGCTTCATAAGTGAAGGAGAAATAAAATACTTCACAGACAAGCAAATGCTGAGAGATTTTGTCACCACCAGGCCTGCCCTACAAGAGCTCTTGAAGGAAGCACTAAACATGGAAGGAACAACCGGTACCAGCCACTGCAAAAACATGCCAAATTGTAAAGACCATCGATGCTATAAAGAAACTGCATCAACTAACAAGCAAAATCACCACCTAACATCATAATGACAGGATCAAATTCACACATAACAATATGAACCTTAAATGTAAATGGGCTAAATGCTCCAATTAAAAGACACAGACTGGCAAATTGGATAAAGAG
Source organism: Homo sapiens (assembly GCF_000001405.40). Taxonomy (NCBI): domain Eukaryota; kingdom Metazoa; phylum Chordata; class Mammalia; order Primates; family Hominidae; genus Homo; species Homo sapiens. The sequence continues at coordinate 135,606,434 of NC_000003.12, forward strand.
TCAAGACCCATCAGTGTGCTGTATTCAGGAGACCCATCTCACGTGCAGAGACACACATAGCCTCAAAATAAAGGAATGGAGGAAGCTCTACCAAGCAAATGGAAAACAAAAAAAGGCAGGGGTTGCAATCCTAGTCTCTGATGAAACAGACTTTAAACCAACAAAGATCAAAAGAGACAAAGAAGGCCATTACATAATGCTAAAGGGATCAATTCAACAAGAAGAGCTAACTATGTTAAATATATATGCACCCAATACAGGAGCACCCAGACTCATAAAGCAAGTCCTTAGAGACCACATAGTTGGAAGTAAAGCACTCCTCAGCAAATGTAAAAGAACAGAAATTATAACAAACTGTTTATCAGACCACAGTGCAATCAAACTAGAACTCAGGATTAAGAAACTCACTCAAAACCGCTCAACTACATGGAAACTGAACAACCTGCTCCTGAATAACTACTGGGTACATAACGAAATGAAGGCAGAAATAAACATGTTCTTTGAAACCAATGAGAACAAAGACAAAACATACCAGAATCTCTGGGACACATTTAAAGCAGTGTGTAGAGAGAAATTTATAGCACTAAATGCCCACAAGAGAAAGCAGGAAAGATCTAAAATTGACACCCTAACATCACAATTAAAAGAACTAGAGAAGCAAGAGCAAACACATTCAAAAGTTAGCAGAAGGCAAGAAATAACTAAGATCAGAGAAGAACTGAAGGAGTTGGAGACACAAAAAACCCTTCAAAAAATCAAGGAATCCAGGAGCTGGTTTTTTGAAAAGATCAGCAAAATTGATAGACCACTAGCAAGACTAATAAAGAATAAAAGAGAGAAGAATCAAATAGATGCAATAAAAAATGATAAAGGGGATATCACCACCGATCCCAGAGAAATACAAACTACCATCAGAGAATACCATAAACACCTCTATGCAAATAAACTAGAAAATCTAGAAGAAACGGATAAATTCCTGGACACATACACCCTCCCAAGACTAAACCAGGAAGAAGTTGAATCCCTGAATAGACCAATAACAGGCTCTGAAATTGAGGCAATAATTAATAGCCTACCAACCAAAAAAAGTCCAGGATCAGATGAATTCACAGCCGAATTCTACCAGAGGTACAAGGAGGAGCTGGTACCATTCCTTCTGAAACTATTCCAATCAATAGAAAAAGAGGGAATCCTCCCTAACTCATTTTATGAGGCCAGCATCATCCTGATACCAAAGCCTGGCAGAGACACACAAAAAAAAGAGAATTTTAGACCAATATCCCTGATGAACATCGATGCAAAAATCGTCAGTAAAATACTGGCAAACCGAATCCAGGTGCACATCAAAAAGCTTATCCACCATGATCAAGTGGGCTTCATTCCTGGGATGCAAGGCTGGTTCAACATATGCAAATCAATAAATGCAATCCAGCATATAAACAAAACCAAAGACAAAAACCACATGATTATCTCAACAGATGCAGAAAAGGCCTTTGACAAAATTCAACAGCTCTTCATGCTAAAAACTCTCAATAAGTTAGGTATTGATGGGATGTATCTCAAAATAATAAGAGCTATTTATGACAATCCCACAGCCAATATCATATTGAATGGGCAAAAACTGGAAGCATTCCCTTTGAAAACTGGCACAAGACAGGGATGCCCTCTCTCACCACTCCTATTTAACATAGTGTTGGAAGTTCTGCCAGGGCAATCGGGCAGGAGAAAGAAATAAAGGGTATTCAATTAGGAAAAGAGGAAGCCAAATTGTCCCTGTTTGCAGATGACACGATTGAATGTTTAGAAAACCCCATAGTCTCAGCCCAAAATCTCTTTAAGCTGATAAGCAACTTCAGCAAAGTCTCAGGATACAAAATCCATGTGCAAAAATCACGACCATTCTTATACACCAATAACAGACAGAGAGCCAAATCATGAGTGAACTCTCATTCACAATTGCTTCAAAGAGAATAAAATACCTAGGAATCCAACTTACAAGAGATGTGAAGGACCTCTTCAAGGAGAACTACAAACCACTGCTCAAGGAAATAAAAGAGGATACAAACAACAAATGGAAGAACATTCCATGCTCATGGGTAGGAAGAATCAATATCGTGAAAATGGCCATACTGCCCAAGGTAATTTATAGATTCAATGCCATCCTCATAAAGCTACCTATGACTTTCTTCACAGAATTGGAAAAAACTACTTTAAAGTTCATATGGAACCAAAAAAGAGCCTGCATCGCCAAGTCAATCCTAAGCCAAAAGAACAAAGCTGGAGGCATCACACTACCTGACTTCAAACTATACTACAAGGCTACAGTAACCAAAACAGCATGGTACTGGTACCAAAACAGAGATATAGATCAATGGAATAGAACAGAGCCCTCAGAAATAACACCGCATATCCACAACTATCTGATCTTTGACAAACCTGAGAAAAACAAGCAATGGGGAAAGGATACCTTATTTAATAAATGGTGCTGGGAAAACTGGCTAGCCATATGTAGAAAGCTGAAACTGGATCCCTTCCTTACACCTTATACAAAAATTAATTCAAGATGGATTAAAGACTTACATGTTAGACCTGAAACCATCAAAACCCTAGAAGAAAACCTAAGCAATACCATTCAGGACATAGGCATGGGCAAGGACTTCATGTCTAAAACACCAAAAGCAATGGCAACAAAAGACAAAATTGACAAATGGGATCTAATTAAACTAAAGAGCTTCTGCACAGCAAAAGAAACTACCATCAGAATGAACAGGCAACCTACAGAATGGGAGAAAATTTTTGCAATCTACTCATCTGACAAAGGGTTAATATCCAAAATCTACAAAGAAGTCAAACAAATTTACAAGAAAAAAACAAACAACCCCATCAAAAAGTGGGCTAAGGATATGAACAGACACTTCTCAAAAGAAGACATTTATGCAGCCAAAAGACACAGGAAAAAATGCTCATCATCACTGGCCATCAGAGAAATGCAAATCAAAACCACAATGAGATACCATCTCACACCAGTTAGAATGGTGATCATTTAAAAGTCAGGAAACAACAGGTGCTGGAGGAGATGTGGAGAAATAGGAACACTTTTACACTGTTGGTGGGACTGTAAACTAGTTCAACCATTGTGGAAGACAGTGTGGCAATTCCTCAAGGATCTACAACTAGAAATACCATTTGACCCAGCCATGTCATTACTGGGTATATACCCAAAGGAATATAAATCATGCTGCTATAAAGACACATGCACACGTATGTTTATTGTGGCACTACTCACAATAGCAAAGACTTGGAACCAACCAAAATGTCCATCAATGATAGACTGGATTAAGAAAAAGTGGCACATATATACCATGGAATACTATGCAGCCATTAAAAAGGATGAGTTCATGTCCTTTGTAGGGACATGGATGAAGCTGGAAACCATCATTCTCAGCAAACTATCACAAGAATAAAAAACCAAACACCACATGTTCTCACTCATAGGTGGGAATTGAACAACGAGAACACTTGGACACAGGAAGGGGAACATCACATACCGGGACCTGTTGTTGGGTGGGAGAAGGGGGACGGGAAAGCATTAGGAGATATACCTAATGTAAATGATGAGTTAATGGGTGCAGCATACCAACATGGCACATGTATACATATGTAACAAACCTGCATGTTGTGCACATGTACCCTACAACTTAAAGTATAATTTAAAAAAAAAAGACAAAAAAAAGTGTACCCAACAACAAAATGGTGAGCATTGTACCCAATAGGCAATTTCTCAACCTTCACCCCTTCCCACCCTTCTACCTTTTGAAGTCTCCAACATCTATTATTCCACTCTGTATGTTCATGTGTACCCATTGTTTAGCTCCTGCTTATAAGTAAAGAAATGTGATATTTCACTTTCTGTTTCTGAGTTATATCACTTAGGATAATGCCCTCCAGTCTCATCCATGTTGCTGCATAAAATATTATTTCATTATTTTTTATAGCTGAATGGCATTCTATGGTGTGTGTGTGTGTATGTGTGTGTGTGTGTGTGTGTGTGTGTATCATATTGTCTTTATCCAATCATTTGTTGATAGGCAGTTATATTGGTTCCGTATTGAAATGGTTTGGCTGTGTCCCCATCCAAACCTCATCTTGAATTGTAGTTCTCATAATCCCCAGATGTCGTGGGAGGCACCCAGTGGGAGGTAACTGAATCATTGGCAGTGCTTACTCCCATGTTGTTCTCGTGATAGTGAGTGATTTCTCATGAAATCTGATGGTTTCATAAGGGGCTTTTCTCCCTTTATTCAGCACTTCTTCTTCCTGCTGTCATGTGAAGAAGGGCGTGTTTGCTTCCCCTTCCACCACGACCTAGGTTTCCTGAGCTTCCCCAGCCCTGTGGACCTGTGAGTCAATTAAACCTCTTTCCTTTATAAATTACCCAGTCTCAGGCAGTTCTTTACAACAGCATGAGAACAGACTAATACACACATCTTTGCTGTTATGAATAGTACTGCAATAAACATACGATTGCAGGTATCTTTTTGAAATAATGATTTGTTTCCCCTTGAGTATATACCCAGTAGTGGGACTGCTGGATTGAATAGTATTTCTATCTTTAGTTCTTTGAGAAATCTCCATGCCATTTTCCATAGAGGTTGTACTAATTTACATTCATACCAACAGTGTATAAGTGTTCCTTTTTCTCTGTATCCTTGCCAACATCTGTTGTTTTTTGACTTTTTAATAGTAGTCACTCTGACTGGCATAAGATGGCATCTCGTTTAGTTTGAATTTGCATTTCTCTGATGATTAGTGATGTTGAACATTTTTTTCATATGTTTGTTGGCTGCTTGTAAGTCTTCTTTTGAAAAATGTCTGTTCATGTCCTTACCCACTGTTTAATGAGATTATTTGTTTTGTTCCTGTTGAGTTGTTTGAGTTCCTTGCTGATATGGTTTGGCTGTGTCCTCACCCAAATCTCATCTTGAATTGTAGCTCCCATAATTCCCACATGTCATGGGAGGCACACAGTGGGAGGTAACTGAATCATGGGGGCAGGTCTTTCCCATGCTGTTCTCATGATAGTGAATAAGTCTCATGAGATCTGATGATTTTATAAAGGGGAGTTCCCCTGCACATGCTCTGTTGCCTGCCACCATGTGAAACTTAAAAATAAGTTTGGGGGTACCAGTGCAGATTTCTTATGTGCATATATTGCATAGTGGTGAAGCCTGTGATAAAAGTGTACCCAACAACAAAATGGTGAGCATTGTACCCAATAGGCAATTTCTGAACCTTCACCCCTTCCCACCCTTCTACCTTTTGGAGTCTCCAGCGTCTATTATTCCACTCTGTGACTTTCCTCCTCATTTGCCTTCTGCCATGATTGTGAGGAATCCCCAGCCATGTGGAATGGTGAGTCAATAAAACCTCTTTCCTTTATAAATTACCCAGTCTCAGGTATGTCTTTATTAGCAGTGTGAGAACAAACTAATACAGTAAATTGGTACTGGTAGAGTAGGGTGCTGCTCTAAAGATACCCAAAAATGTGGTAGCGGCTTTGGAACTGGGTAACAAGCAGAGGTGGAACAGTTTGGAGGGCTTAGAAGACAGGAAGATCTGGGAAAGTTTGGAACTTCCTAGAGACTTGTTGAATGGCTTTGACCAAAATGCTGATGGTGATATAGACAATAAGGTCCAGGCTGAGGCGGTCTCAGATGGAGATGCGGAACTTGTTGGGACCCAGAATAAAGGTCACTCCTGCTATGCAAAGTGACTGGAGGTGTTTCACCCCTGCCCTAGAGATCTGTGGAACTTTGAATTTGAGAGAGATGATTTAGGGTATCTGGCAGAAGAAATTTCTAAGTGGCAAAGTGTTCAAGAGGAAGCAGAGCATAAAAGTTTGGAAAATGTGCAGTCTGATAATGCAATAGAAAAGAAAAAAACATTTTCTGGGGAGAAATTCAAGCCTGCTGCAGAAATTTGCATAAGTAACAAGGAGCCAAATGTTAATCACCAAGACAATGGGGAAAATGTCTCCAGGACATGTCAGAGACCCTTGTGGCAGTCCTCCTATCATAGGTCTGGAGGCATAGGAGGAAAAAATGCTTTCATGGTCCAGGTCCAGGACCTCCCTGCTGTGTGCAGCCTAGGGACTTGGGGCCCTGTACTCTAGCCACTCCAGTGTGGTTAAAAGAGGCCAAGATACAGCTCCAGCCATGGCTTCAGAGGATGCAAGCCCCAAGCCTTGGCAGTTTCCACGTGATATTGAGCCTGTGGGTGCACAGAAGTCAAGAATCAAGATTTGGGAACCTCTGCCTAGATTTCAGAGGATGTATGGAAATGTCTGGGTGCCCAGACAGAAGTTTGCTGCAGGGTCAGGGCCCTCATGAAAAACCTCTGCTAGGGCAGTGTGGAAGGGAAATATGGGGTTGGAGGCTGCACACAGAGCCCCCACTGGGACACTGCCTATTGGAGCTGTGAGAAGAGGGCCACCATCGCCAGACCCCAGAATGGTAGATCCACCAACAGCTTGCACTGTGCACCTGGAAAAGCCACAGACACAACACCAGCCCAAGAAAGCAGCCAGGAGAGGAGCTGTATCCTGCAAAGCCACAGGGGCAGAGCTTCCCAAGGCCATGGGAGCCCACCTCTTGCATCAGCATGATCTGGATGTGAGATGTGGAATCAAAGGAGATCATTTCAGAGCTTTAAAATTTGACTGCCTTGTTGGATTTTGGACTTGCATGGGGCCTGTAGCCCCTTCATTTTGGTCAATTTCTCCCATTTGGAATGGCTGTATTTACCCAATGCCTGTACCCTCATCGTATCTAAGAAGTAACTAACTAGCTTTTGATTTTTCAGGCTGATAGGTGGAAGGGACTTGCCTTGTCTCAGATAAGACTTTGAACTGTGGACTGTTGAGTTAAGGCTGAAATGAGTTAAGACTTTGGGGGACTATTAAGAAGTCATGATTGGTTTTGAAATGTGAGGATGAGATTTGGGAGGGGCCATGGGTGGAATGATATGGTGTGGCTGTGTCTGCACCCAAATCTCATCTTCAGTTGTAACTTGCATAATTCCTACATGTCACGGGAGGCACCCAGTGGGAGGTAATTGAATCATGGGGCAGCAGGTCTTTCCATGCTTTTCTTGTGATAGGGAATAAGTCTCATGAGATCTGATAGTTTTATAAAGGGGAGTTCCCCTGCACACACTCTCTTGCCTGCCACCATGTAAGACATGACTTTGCTCCTCATTTGCCTTCTGTCATGATTGTGAGGCCTCCCCAGCCATGTGGAACTGAGAGTCAATTAAACCTCTTTCCATTATAAATTACCCAGTCTTGGGTATGTCTTTATTAGCAGCATGAGAACAGACTAATACACTTGTAGAGTTAGGATATTAGACCTTTGTTAGATAATAGAACAATATAGGAAAATGTCATTATGACATGAGGTTAATAATAGATTCATCAAGACACCAAAAGAAAACAAAATTTAAAGTAACATAAATTATAATACATTAAAATAAATTCTGTTAATCAAAAAATAGCATTGAGAAAGAGAAAAAGATAAGTCACAAATGGAAGCAGATACTTATAATATATACATAACCAAAAAAGGATTTGTATATTTAACACATAAAGTACTCTTACAAATAAATAAGGAAAAGGCAAACACCCAGTGGAAAATGAACAAAAGATGTATAAGGCACTTCACTAAGAATAAATTCTGTAAAGCCAAAAAACACATGGAAAGTTATACAACCTCATTAGTAACCAGAGAAATAAAACTTTAACCTATGAGGATATACAAATATCCATTCAACAGATTGAAAATAATTTAAAGTCTAACAGCACTAAATGCTAGGAGGATGTGGAGCAAAGGGAATTTTCATATACTGTTGGAAGACATAAAAATTGGTTTAGTCATCTTTGACTAGGTTTATGAGAAAACTAGGTCTTTCTATAAAGCTAAACATGTGCATACTTCATGACCCAGCATCTCTACCCCTAGGTCTATACTCTTGCATATGTGCACCAAAAGAACATGTGCAATAACATTTATGAAAGTGTATGTACAACCCAAATGTCCACCAAAGTGAGAATGGATGAATAATATATAATACAGATTAATAATGTCTTATCCAAAACACTCAAAATGAGCTTTTTTAAATTTTAGAAAGACAATAGAATGTGTGTACACATATGTATACATATACATAAGTATAAACACATACATATATGCATGTAAGCATACTTCAGAAATATTAGTTCAGTTCCAGACCACCACAATAAAGCACATATAACAATAAAATGAGTCACATAAATTTTTAGGGTTCCCATTGCATATAAAAGTTATGTTCATACGATACTGTAGTCTAATAAGTGTACGATAACATTATGTCTAAAAATGTACATACCTTAATGGAAAATATTTTATTGCTAAATTATGCTAATAATTGTCTGAGCCTTCAGCGAGTTGTAATCTTTTTGCTGGTTAAGGTCTTGTCTGTGTTGATGGTTGCTGACTGACCAGGATGGTGGTTGCTGAAGGTTAGGGTGGCTGTGGCAATTTGTTAAAATAAGACAACACTGAAATTTGCTGCAACAATTGACTCTTCCTTTCATGAAGGATTTTCTGTAGCATAAGATGCTTTTTGATAGCATTTTCCTCAGAATTTCTTTCAAAAGTGAAGTCAATTCTTTCAAACAATGTCACTCCTTTATCAATTAAGTTTATGTTATAGTCTAAATTCTTTATTGTCAATTCAACAACATTCATAGCATCTTCACCAGGAGTAGAATCCATCTCACAAAACCATTTTCTTTGCTCATCCACAAGAAGCCACTTCTTATCTGTTCAAGTTTTTTGTCGTTGTTGTTTGTTTGTTTGTTTGTTTGTTTGTTTTTGAGATGAAGCCTTGCTCTGTCTCCCAGGCTGGAGTGCAGTGGCGCAATGTCGGCTCACTGCAAGCTCCGCCTCCCGGGTTCACGCCATTCTCCTGCCTCAGCCTCCCAAGTAGCTGGGATTGCAGGTGCCCGCCACCATGCCCGGCTAATTTTTTTGTATTTTTAGTAGAGACAGGGTTTCACCGTGTTAGCCAGGATGGTCTCGATCTCCTGACCTTGTTATCCACCTGCCTCGGCCTCCCAAAGTGCTGGGATTACAGGCGTGAGCCACCGCACCCAGCCCTGTTCAAGTTTTATCATGAGATTGCAGCAATTCAGCCACATCATCAGGCTCCACTTCTAATTCTAGTTTTCTTTCTATTTCCACCACATCTGCAGTTACTTCCTCCAATAAAGTCTTTAACCCTTTAAAGTCATCTTGAGGGTTGAAATCAACTTCTTCCAAACTCCTGTTAATGTTGATATTTTGACCTCCTCCCATGAATCACAAATGTTCTTAATGGCATCTAAAATGGTGATTCTTTTCCAGAAGGCTCTCAATTTGCTTTGGCCAGATCCATAAGAGGAAGCTCTATTTATGGCAGTTTATATTTATTTGTAGCCTTACAAAATGTATTTCTTAAAAGCCCTGGGATTCTCAGAATGATAGATGATCACTGGCTTTAACTTAAAGTTATCAGCTACATTAGCCCATAACAAGAGTGTCAGCCTGTCCTTTCAAGCTTTGAAGTCAGGCATTGGCTTCTCTCTAGCTATGAACCTCTGAGATGGCATTCTCTTCCAGTCAAAGGCCATTTTGTCTATAGTAAAAACCTGTTGTTCAGTGTAGTCACATTCATGATCATCTTAGTTAGATCTTCTGGGTAACTGCTGCGGCTTCTACATGAGCATTTGCTGCTCCACCTCACACTTTCATATTATGGAGATGGCTTCGTTCCTTAAACCTCATGAACTGACCTCTGCTAGCTTACAATTTTTCTTCTGCAGCTTCCTCCCAACCCTCAGCCTTCACAGAACTAAAGAGAGTCAGGCCCTTGCTCTAGATTAGGCTTTGGCTTAAGGGAATGTTTGGCTGGCTGGTTTGATCTTCTATACAAACTACTAAAACTTTCTCCAGACCAGGAATGAGGCTGTTTCGCTTTCTCATTATTCACGTGTTCTCTCAAGGAGCACTCTTAATTTCCTTCAATAACTTTTACTTTGCATTCACAACATGGCTAACTGTTTGATACAAGAGGCCTAGCTTTCAGCCTATTTCAGCATTCAACATGCTTTCCTCACTAAGCTTAATCATTTCTAGCTCTTGATTGAAAGTGAGAGAAATTCAACTCTTCCTTTCACTTGAACACTTAGAGGCCATTGTAGGGTTATTAATTGGATGAATTTTAATATGTCATATCTCAAGGAATAAGGAGTATGAAGGAGAGGGAGAGAGAGAAAGGAATAGCCGGTTGATGGAGCAATCAGAACACACATATTTATAGACTAAATTTTCTGTCTTATGTGGGCATGGTTCATGGTGCCCCAAAACAATTACAACAGTAATTGTATTTTTACAATTACTATTACAATACAATAGTAACATCAAAGATCAGTGATCACAGACAACCATAACAGATATAATAATTTAAAAGTTAGTAATATTGTGAGAAATTTTAATATTTAATTATCTGTGACACAAAGACATGTGTCACAAAGATATGAAGTGAGTACATGGTGTTGGAAAACTTGCTAGACACAGGGTTGCCACAAGCCTTCAATTTTTATAAAATGTAATATCTATGAGGCACAATAAGTGAAGTAAAATAAAACGAGTATAATATGCCTGTATATATACATACTAGATAGATAATGTATATGCATATACATATTCAAAATACAAATATACATTTATATAACACAAACACATACTCAGAATTTACACTTATAAAATTTCCACAGTATAAACATACATTTTCACACTAACTTGGATCAATAAATACCTTAATAGTTCAAGTCAGGTTCTTTACTTTTAGAATTTTAGAGATGGAATAGTGTCAGTCACATGATGAAATACTATAGAGCAAAGAAAATGAATAAACTATAGCCATGTGATCAACATCAATGATTCAGAAACATAAGTGAAAGAAGCAAATCAAAAATAGCAAAATGAGCAGTATTTTAATTCAGATATGTGTAATTGTAGCAACACTGTAAAGCAAATAAAGCAAGGCAATGATTAAAATGGATATTTCTGGAGAGAAGAAGAGGTGATCAGGGAGTATTGGTTACTCTCTTCAATTTAATTGTAAATATATTTTTAAATTATATATACAAACATATATGCTTTTATACTATGATACATTTGATAATAAAAAGTTAAAGACAAAAAGCTATCGATTTTTACATATTGATTTTATAATGAGCCACCTTACTATTCTTTTATTGTTCCTAATAATTTTTCTGTCAATTCTCTTGGTTTGTATGTGATAGCATGAACTGCATATACTGATAGTTTTGTTTTCTCCTTTCTAATATTGATGCTTATTTCTTTTTCTTATCATTGCATTGGTTGTTGCTTCTAGATCAATGCTAAAATAACAGCGATAATCTTTCTTTTCTGGCACCCTTAATGAATTGCCTTCTGTAGTATCTTACTATTAAATATATAAAGAATTTCTGCATGATAGAACTCTCTCAAGATGAAACAGGTCACCACTTGGAAAGACAGGCAGCAAGTCTATGTGAACTAGTATTTTTGTTTATTGTTTGCTTATTGATGCACATTATGTGGGGACCACTGACATTATTCCATAGTCCCCATGGGGCCAAGTAGAAGGGGCTACAATGGAGCAAGCACTGTTTGTATTCTGGAAGGCAGACACTGTTGTTCATGAGCTCACTCAAAGGCCAGGCCGAGTGGCATTCTCCTCAGAGCCAGGAGGACTGAGGTCAGGCTCACCTTCAATTACAATATTGGCTGGCTCACAAACAGGCTGGAGGGAGTCCTCCGTCTTAAACTAGACACCTGCATGCCTGTGACAGATCTGTCCCCACAGGCCATTCTCTGAACAGAACACAGCTGAATCCAGAACAAACACCTCTCTCAAAGGGCCTGTGTTTCATTTAATAGAGTTCAAATCGAGTGTCTAGAAACCTCGATTCTTTTTTATTTCCAACTGCAGGGACTCCCAGGCTCCCTTTCTGCCCACATCTCAGGACTTTCTCACCTTAGAAGTCTGCTGCTACAGGGGCTCATCAATTGTTCTAAAACAGTGCCCAAGATGAGTGTTGAAGCCTGGCTGAAAATGTCAGGGCCTGTGTGTATGACACACCTGCAGAACTTCCAGGTGGGTGGCGGGTTGATAATTGCTTCCAGAACCTGTATGGGCAACAACATTGAATCTTTTTAAAAATACAGATTCAGAAGTCCCTCCCCAGGGTAGTAGAATTAGAATATCAGATGATAAGCCCTGGGAATCAGTTTTTAGTTAGCTATTACTACATAACAAACCACCTCAAAACTCAGTGGCTTAAAGCAGTAAACATTTGTTATTTTTCATGAATCTATTTGTCAACTGAGTAGCACTTCTGGTCTCACTGCTTCTACCATCCACCCCATTCTATTGGCCAAAGGAAGCCATGAGGCTAGCCCAGATTCATGGGGGAAAGGGAATAGACACTATGTCTTCACAGGAGGAGCTACAAAGTCCCTTTGTCAGAGGCATGGGTATTTGGAGGGGTGAAGAATTAGAGATAATTTTGCACTCAGTCTGCCCCATATCTGCCCTGGGAGCCTAATGCAGGCAGCCTGGCATCATTCTACAGACCATCAATGTATCCCAGGAATAATGGCACCCTCTCAAGATGTCCACAGAGCAGACTGCTCCAGGCCGCCATCATGTCCCTTACTGTGGGCCTTAGTGAATTTCGCCACATCCCAGAGTCTGTGCCTTGTTGCTAGAACCAGAACCTTAAATCTTGTCAGCACTGCAAATGCAATCTTGGGCCTGGCTGACATCAACCAACTCAGAAAGGTCTTGGTTCTTACCATCCAAAGGCCCAGCAACTCATTTACATAGAACATGGAACCAACTCTCCAGACTTTGGGTCAGCATTCTTTCCCTATAAGCAAAGAAACAGGAGAAGACAAATCAGAACCAGAAGGTTGCTCTATGTATCAATTGGACTTGAAAAAGTCCAATAACTTTTTCAGTTACCTCTAATGGAAACACAGCTCAAACTGACTGAAGCAAAGACAGAAAGCATTGGTTCACACAATACATTTGTGTAGGTCTGGCTTTAGGCCTATCTTGACCCAGGAGCTCAAATGTGCCTTCAGTAGTTGGTCCTCTCCACCTTTTGGCTCTGGTGCTGTCTGCACTTCATTCTCAAGCTGCATTGGGATATCCAGCAAAGCCAGGCTTATATCTTCACAGGTTCAAGACCAACAGAAAAAGAGGATATGCTTGTCTCTCAGTATTCCAGAAAAATCTCATTTTTTCTTATTGACCCTGACTGGGTCACATGGCTATCACTAAACCAATCACTGTGATCATTCATATTCTAATGAGGACATATTGACTATAAATAAGATCAATAAAAACTTTACTGTGTTAGCAGTGATAGGTGTTACAGGAAGAAATACAGCAGAGAAGAATAGGGAATGTCATGGAGGGGACTCGATTTTATGTGGAGTGGCCAGAGGAGACATCACTGAGAAGTGAAGGTGGTCTACAATGCCCCTCAACTTTAGCTTTGTCTGATGTTTCCTCATTGTCAGATCTGAGTTACGCATTTTGAGCAGAAATACCACAGAAGGATGGTGTGTCCTGCTCAGTGTGTCTTATTAGGAGGCACATGATGTCAATTAGTCCCTGTGGTATAATAAGAAATCCATTTGGTCTTTGCCCTGGTTTCCTGACACAGACCTCCTAAAACCCTTGGAATTTCCTGAGTGATAGGAGCATCTCTTATTATTCATAGGAAGCCCCTGTTTTAATCATACCTGAATTTATGCTAACAAGGTTACTTAGGGTGGGGCCTCCTAGCTGCCTGGTCACCAGAATGACCAAATGATTAAAGGGTTGAACTGTACAGCCCATCCCAACTTTCAGGAAGGGGAGTAGGGGAGCTGAAGATTAAGCTCTGTAAAGACTCTTGAAGGAGATATGAGGAGCTTCCAGGTTGGTGAATGCATCCAAATGCTAACCCCAACTCCATGGGACAGAAGCTCCTGCATTTGAGACCCTTCCAGACCTTGCCCTATACACCTCTTCATCTAGCTATTCATGTCTACCCCTTATAATAGCTTTTATACTAAACCAGTAAGTGTAAGTGAAGTGGTTTCCTGAGTTCTGTGAACCATTCTAGCAAACTGTGGTTGTAGAAGAGAGGTTGTAGAAACCCCCAGAATTTAGAGTCAGTGAGAAGTATCAATAGTCCAGGACTTTTGACTGGCATCTGAAGTGGGGTTCTCTTGTGAGCCTGAGCCCTTAATTTGTGGGATTTGCCCTAACTTCAGGTAATTAGTGTCAGAATTGAATTAAATTGTAGGGCACCCAGCTGGTGTCCAATAATTGGTTGGTATTGGGAAAAAAACCCACACATTTGGTGTCAGAAATGTTCTGTGGATAGAAACAGATCATAAGAGTCCTATTCCAAGATGTTAACTGTGATCACTTGGTTCAGGTAGTGTCTACCAGGTTTCTCCACTGTAATATTTCTATTTTTCCCTTTATAATCCTCTAAGTATCTTGTGGAGAGACACTTAAAAATTATGTTAATATCCTGTTTCTTATCAAACTTTCACCCACTGGTTTTAACTTTTTAAAGTTCCTAGAGGATTCAAATTGTACAGCCCTGTACAGGCTGAGAACAATCACTGGAGCTTCCCTAGCCCTGAGTCACTCTTTTAAAAGTAGGGGAGAGAAATACTACACAGGCTCCACATGGAATTCACCTGATGGTGTGGGCCACAGAGGAAAACAGACTGTTAAAACATGGCCTACTGTGCCTAAGCACTGTTGGGGGTGCGGGGGAGCAAGACTTCGCTGCCCTCTGGCTGCAGCAGGGGAAGCAGGACAGAGTAGCCAGGAGGTAGATCCCACATAGGGTGACCAACTGTGCCAGTTCACCCAGGACCAATGAGGTGCCTGAGATGCCAGACTTCCAGTGCTAAAACCAAGAAAGTCCCAGGCAAACCAGGGTGAAGTGGTCACCCTACCAAGTCATTTTAGCTTAGATATACTTAGTGCTCAGCAACCAAGGTCTATGCCCAGATGTAACCCTGAAAGCCAGGTTGAAGATAATTGACTTAAAAAACTGATCTTTAACAAATTGATAGGCCTAGAAAGTACACAGCAAGGTTGCTAGGGGCAGCAGGAATCTGTGTTGTAGACAACTGGGATACAAGCCACGTGGAACTGAAAGAAATCCATGAACTCAGTTGACCCTTGACTGACATTAAACAGAAAATGGAGATGAGGTGCCCTCCCTCCTCTAAGCTCCCACACATTCCCCACCATCAGAGCTCTGACAGCCATCAGAGGACACAGGCACCAAAATGGTGGTACCTACCCCTCCACCCTCCTCTGCACATATATACACAATATACAATTATATAAAGCGTGAGGAATTCTAATAAAATTCTCATTTCCTCCACTTTTCTCACATAGTTGGTAGCCCCACATGCAGGTGCTCTAAAGGTGCATCTGGCCTGCCTTAGGCTCACTCAGCCCTGCTCCTCACACTACAACGGTTGCTGACCTGTGTGGTTTCTGCTCAACATTAGAACTTACCAAAGGACAGACATTCTGCCTAAGTCACCTCCATATTCCCACCCAGTACTGGGCACATGGCATGAAACAGATAACATTTTCAAATTTGGTGATTTAAAGAGAATTTAATAAAAGGCTATTTATAAAGATGTGAGCAGGGTTAAGGAGAGTGGTTCTCAACCTTGCTGCACATTAAATGTAATGTCCTCAGGAGTCTTAAAAATGACTACTGCCTGGGTCCCATCCCCAGGAACCTTACCCAATTAATTTAGACCTGTGCTGTCTGATAAGGTAGCCAGTAGCCCCGTGTGGTCACTGAGCACTTGCAATGTGGCTAGTCCAAATCAAGATATGATGTAAGTATAAAGTATTCGCCAGATTTTGAAGGCTTGGTACAAAGAGAAATAAGGAATACAAAACATCTCCATCATATTTTAAAATAATTTCTTGTTGAAATGATAATGTTTAGATTATGCTGAGTTAGAAAAAATAATTTCAAAAAGTAATTTGACCTATTTCTTCTTACTTTTAATAATGTGGCTACTAGAATCTTTAAGATTACTATGTGGCTCAAATTATATTCTGATGGACAGCAGTGGTCCAGAGTATAGCCTGGGCATGAGATTGAAATTTTTTAAAAGTTCCCCAGGTGATTCTAATGTGCAACCAAGGTTAAGAAGCACTAGTTCAGAGAAATCACAGAGGATAATGCAGTAGCCTGTGACTGACAGCAGCAGGTAGCTGTTAGGCCTTCCAAGCCTGAAAGGGCAATAGGAGGGAGTGGTTACAGGAACATAATTCCTCCAGAGGGTAGCTCTATGAAGGGAGCTGCCTGACAGGAGCTATGGTCTTTAGTAGAAGGATGAAGTAGGCTCAAAGTCAGTAGGGGAGAATCTGAGGAAGTAAACACCCTTATCTCTTTGTCCTCCTGCCTTTGATCCCCTGCTAGAAAAAACAAGGTTGGAAAGATGTGGGGAGAATGGATTTGAAGAAGCAAATGGAATATTCCCAGTACAGGCACTTAAAGAATGTTCTGGAAATAAAGGAAGAGCCCACAAATAAAACATGTAAGTGCTTACAGGAGTAGCACTGAACATAGGTAGGCTGTAACTCTGAACCTCTCTTGTCCCGAGTCCAGGAATAACGTCCAGTGAGAAATGCAATCAGCAGCATTTGAGTTGCCCAGAATAATTTTCAAAGCTAAGAAACTCCTAGGCATTCTCTTTACTCACAAACAGTAATTTTAAAGTCCTTGAGTATTTTCGTTCCTGTAGAAAAGATATCGACTAATAACACCAATAACCCACAATAAATTTCTATTTATTGAGTGCTTATCATGTGCCAGGCACTGTGCAAAATGCTTCACTTAAATTATAACACAGTGTGGCTCTATACTTTTTCCCAATTCCACAGTAGAAAATATATATTATCCATCAAGATGTAAAAATGTAAAATTGTCTCAATTCCTCCTGAGTCCCCAAAGGTGAAAAAGAAAACATTTGATGCCAATTATCCTCACATTCCAGAGGATAGCAATCAATGCTCTTGCAGGTTGTGCTAAGCTATAGTTAAACCAGGTCTGCCTGCATTCTGGCTGAAGGGACAGTGGCTACCTGAGGCATGTCCTTCTCACACTGATCACAGGAGTGCAGGAGAGCAAGCCAAAGCACTCAGGCACTTACAAAGCTCTGCTTGCCTCATAACTACTCTCATTCCATTGGCCAAGTTCAAGAATCAATGAGGTGGTAAAGTACACTCTGTCGATTGTACTGAAAAAGCGCATGGCAGAGGGAGGGAGTAAAGAATGAGATCAATAATCCAATCCAAATAATAATAATAACAATCTAGTAATCCAAGGAGAGGAAAAAACAGTTGACCTCCCCTCCCTGCTCCAGGCTTCCCAGTCCAAAGCAGCCTGAGTGTGCTCAGAGAGGGGAGATGTTTTAACCCTGACAAGGGTGTGGAGTTAGACGATTAGGACACTGGATAGAATATTCTCATTATTTGAAGTGGGACATTTTTGACACTAGAACTGGTCAGAGGGAAATTTGTCATCTGAGAATTACCTAAAAATTATGGAATTTGCCCCAAATTCCACCTAAGGATCAGGCAAGAACAAATCTACACATCATGCTGAAATGAGCTGTGGATAAAAGGATGGGTTGCCTGCTGGTGGAATCCCCATTGAGTCCAGATCATGCAGCAAACCAACCACATATGCTTTTTACCAACCTCCCACTTGACAATTTTAATTTGACATTATTCAGATAGCACTCCAACATCTGTGTCTTTAGAATGTTTATTTAGTTTAATATGCTGTAAACACAGTTTGAGAAAAACTATTTCCAAGAGCAGCATTTAAAGACTGTCTTTACCCACCTTCAAAATATTTTCAGGAAAAATGAAAATCAGAATGTTTTCAACCATACCCAAAAGAAATCTGTTGTGTTCTAGTTAACATTCACAGAAGGGGAAAGAAAAAGTCTGTCACAAATACAAAGCAAAAAAAAACACTGTTCTGAAGCCAGCAACCATGAGGTTTATCCCTCAGACACTTGGAAAAACCTCCCCCTCCTCGGGAAAGCTTTCTTGAGGTAAGAGGAACTGCGATGGTGATTAAAGGTATCAAAAGGACTCATTTTTCCCTTCTGAGACTTGTCTAATAAGACATAAACTAGATAAAATCAAGTGTATTGAACCAGTTCTCTCGGCAGGCCTATGACATAAAATGACTCTCCCTCACTCTCCTACCTACCCTGTGAGGAAAAGCACCTGTGCCAGAGGCCACATGGAGGAAGTCACTTTCTGTTGTGCTACAAATGTAGTCATACTGCTAGGAGTCAAAGTGTTCACTCCAGTGAGTTCTAGGAAGTTCTAGGAAGTCTAGCCCATTTCTCAATCAGATTTCACCTTCCTCTGATGGTCCTATAGTCCTGACCTGTTAAGATCAATTTCCTTTCTCTGCCCATCCAAAACCACCGATAAATAAAGACAGGTTTATTTGCTAAGGGATGTGGCCTTCCTGTCTGATCTTCCTCACTGAAAAATGACAAGCTGATGCCAAAGCACTGGATTTACACTTTATTCCCTCTATTTGAAAATGACAACTCACATTCCCCAACCTCATGTGAAATTCTTCTCTTCCATTTCTCAGATAAGAAAAGTCAAGTTCTCTCATTACCAGATTGAGCTTCTCAAAGACTAATACTTTGTCTTGTTCACCTCTGTATCTTCAGTCCCTGGCACACTGCCTGGCACTGTATGCATTCAGTGTTTGAGAACATGGAAATAAGTAAAGGATCCTGGGTCAAAGAGGAGGTGCCTGCATTTTTAGCTGATTAAGGGGCAACCAAGAAGGAAGGGCATGACCAGCCCTGCTAACAAAGAAGGGCATGGTGTGATTTCTGCATAGGATTTCCCCCTCTTTTCCCCTCCACCCAACCTTTTTGGTGCCCAAGGGCCAGTTGAAACAAGTAAAAGGAGTAAAGAGTTCTATTGGAGGACAACCCTGAGCCATTACGGTCCCTGCTTCCCCATTTATAGTCAGGGCTGACTTCAAGGGCATGCGACCTGTAATATCTCACAGGACCTAGCACTTAGAGGAGCCCTACACTTGGTTTAATGCTTTGTGTTGCCTCCTGGAAACTCTTAACAATTTTTCAATAAAGGGCCCTGCCCTGTGTTTTTGTTTGGGGGGCCTTGTAAAATGATGTAACTGGTTCTGTTTACAGTACAGTACAGGGAAGTAGGGAAGGTTGGCAAAGTAGTGCTAAGGTTTCTCTCAACAAGGACATTCCAGGTGTCTGTTGCTTTCACTGGAATCCTTAGAACACATACAAAGCAGCCTCTGGGGGCCCCCTCAACTGATCACCACCTCCCTCCAGTATTTGTGAGCCTGAACCCTAGAGTGCTTTTCAGTATCTGACTCCTATACTCATAGGTTTAAATGGAGAACAAAGAAGTTGACCTATCTTACTTTCAACTTTGCTGCTCATATTTATTTATTATAATTATTTTCTCTGCTAGATAAGAATATTTTATTAGAATTTTCAGTCATAATATTTCCCCAAAGAAATGCATATATAATACACACAAAAGCCTTTACTTTTGTGTTAGACATTGCAAACAATCCCACTTCTCCTGTATCTATTTTGATTTTGTTTTCCTCAGAATTGTCTGTCATAAACAATTCTAAAATAGAACTTGTTCATCCTCAGTAATTCCTTGTTCTTTAGCTGTTGCTTCAGATAATCATATTTCCAGGGCAGCTTCTTATGTGGTTACACTTGCTATGATGTAATCAATCAAATGAAGACTCACAGAAAAATTCATTAACTCAGCAGAGAAAAGCCTCCTTCCAGGTGCTTAGCTGAGTTATTAATATTGGAAGTAAGTACTGAATTGATGATCTGTAGAAAAACTTCTAACTAGACATTGTTTTTAAAATTTGATTTCCCCATCCCTAATGAAAGAACTGCTTATTCTATATTTCACTGTATAAAACTATGTTGAAGCTGTACTTTCATTCTAATATCTGTTTTAATGAAAGCCTGATATATCTTTATTAGCTGTGGGGTGTTTGAGCCCTACTTTTCCAATACACCAGTCTGAAATCAGAAACTACATGTTTAACATTTGTTCAAAAATTATTGTTCCCTTTACTTGTGCTTTCATTTGGCTTAATGTCCAAAAGAAATTATTGATATCCACAATAGGCAATAATATTGACTTCGGTTAGTTTTCCTCAACTATTTTTGGGCTGGTATTGTGAAGATCAGCCATCCCTCCATTGCTAGGTCTCATCTGGCAGGAAATTCTGGCCACCTCCTGCCTAATCTTTGTCCCTAAGTAGCAGCCAGAGTCTGAGTCCAGGCAGAGCACTGTGGGGAAAGGCCAGCAAGGTCACCTGCCTGGAGGAGCTCAGCACCTTGAGAGGAGGCAGTCCCTGAGAAAGAAGGAAGGACAATGCCCTCCTCCAAGTTCATTGACCTCACAGTAGTCCAGGCCCAAGGGTGGACACATGGAAATAGACAGGCAATGTGACAGCTCCCTCCCAGCATTTTCCCCACCTCATCCCTTGTCTCAGTCTCAGATCCACTCAGCTTCCAAATACAAAAGCCCGTTTGTGACCAAGGAGGTGGGAGGTTGGCTGGGGGGCGGGTGTGGTCAGTGTCTCATGGGGAAAAGTTTGGGGAATGTTTATCCATCTTTGTTAACATCAAGATGTTATTCCTGCCTCACATGCAGTTACAAAGCCCACATATGTGAGTTCATTGCCCCAGTTTTCCTAGCATAGTTTGATTCCTAGGAATATTTTCATATCCGTCAACTAGCCGAAGGCCCCAAAATGCAGTGATTCTGTGATTTGAGGGTCACATGAAGAGGTTTCTCTGTTATTTTCTGTCTCTCAGGGAAGAGGACACATGGTGAGCAGGCTGTGGCTAAGGCAAGCAGGGGACCCAGCCGTGGCAGCCGTGGGGTAGTAGCGAGCAGTGAGGATTTCTGCGCTCAGCGTGTGCTTTAATACATCATGTATGCTCATCATACCAAACCGCACCCCATGCTTCTGCGGATCTGTTCAAAAGATCTGTTTTCCAAATGTTTTCTAAGTCTGACAACTCTCCAAAAGTTTACTACGAAATAGCAGAATTCCTTTCTTTCTTCTTCTTTCCTTCTCTCTTTTTTCTTTCAGCAAGAGCACTTAAGCAGCGTCACTTTTATCAACAAAAGTAATAAAAATATTAATGAAGAATTTGTTTTCCACAGAATTTTTTAAGATTTTTGTCTTTTGTCTGTGAATCTACAGATTCTAGAACACTTTTGTTTTGCAACATCTTCTCTCTCCCTCTCCGTCTTCTTCTCTCTCTCCTCGCATTCTGAGGAAAGGGAGAAAGACAGAGTTGTTTAGAATGGGCAGCCAGCATTTGTAAGCTATTTGCTCTCTTTCTATAGCAGCTGAGATGAGGCTCAGAGAAAACTCTCTGAAAAAGCAATTTGTCCGGCACCCTCATTTTACAAAGAAACTAAGGTTCAGAGAGTTTATTCTTCCTTCAGCACTGTTGCCATCAGCCTTCCTTGCCCATATTTCCTACTCTCTGAAATACAAATGCGAGTCACACACTGGGGGCTCTCTGAGCTTCAGCAATGCCTACCTTTCCAGCCCATCATGTACGTTCTATTGCCCAGGCTAAATTTCTATTTCTCAGGTACCCAGCATATTTTTCTCTTTTCACACCATTTCTTAGAAAGGTCCCTCTGCTGAAAATGTCCTTCCTCCTTCCCCACTTCCTGAAGTTTCAACTTCCTTCATCCCTCAAGGTCCAAGTCAAATGCCATGGCTTCCATGGGCCTTCTGTGACCCCTCACAGACCCCCCGAGAAAATCATGTTTCATCCCTCAACTCACGCCAGGCCAGATGCTGGGATAGTGGATTCTGAGTTAAATGGTATGCTGTTCTCACATGTGACATGTTGGCATTTTTGTGACATGTCCCAAAAAATACCAGCTGGGCTGTCTGGGGGTTCTCAGGAACGCATAAACTCTCTGGGGGAAAAAAAATCTCTGCTCTACTAATCCTGGAGCAGGCTCCTTTAGGTTGCCCATGTATGAAACAGCTTGACTTTAAAGTAAAACTTACTCAGTTTCTGCCTTTTGGCTTTCAATTTAGGCTAATATTTGAATCATTTTTCTTGGTCCACAATCACGGAATACATATATCTTGTATCTCACAGTCAGCAGTTACAGATGCTTCCTTGGAACCTCAATTATAGCTTCTCTGGAGGATGGCTACCCATTTATTTGAAGTGTCCACAGGTCTTCCCAAAGTGCTCTTTGCATATATTGTGTAGCTTATATTTTAAGTCAGGCCATCCCAAACATGCCCTGTAACATCATAAATTTTGAGCCACCAAGCAGAACGCTGGAGAATGCCTCTTGCCCAGGACGAATTGTAAAACAAATGCTCTCCAGTGCAGCAGGCCTCCATGCACTGCAGGCACACATACCATCCTGGCACCAGGACACCTGACAGAGCCCTGCAGCAAAAGCACATCCAGGTTGTAACCAAGAAATGGGCCCTTGTTTCTTCACAAGCCACCCAGTATTCTATGTTTGGCTTTCTCATCTGAGGCCTCAGATGCCCTTAGCCCCAGGATGTTGTTGCTAGGGGTTTTAAGTGATAAACCAAATTATCCACCACAGCCACAACCTGGTTTCTTTCTGGCGAGTCTTTTTGTTGTTTGTTATTTTTTTTTCTTTGTGCTTCAAAAAAGAGAGAACACAGAATTGATGTTACTCCTTTTACATACTCAGAAAGACCACAACCAGCTTTCCTGATCTGTATTCCATTTTCAAAAGAGGAATATAAAGGAAAAGACTTTGAAAGTAAATACATACTCTTCTGAAATTTGTAAAATATCAGTGATGTTCATGATTTTTAACCAAAAGATAACAGAATGGGATAAGGTGATAAATAGTGCAAGCAGTACTATAACTCTTAAAGAATAAAAAGAAAGAAATGAAAAGAAAAAAATAACCCATCACTAAGAATCTTAAATTCTGAAGGAGTTTTAAAAGATCTAATAGGAGATGAGTACCTTCCAACTGTTGTCATCCTGCTATTGTAACCTGAGCCCTCTCAAGTTTTCAGACTCCAAAATCAGATCTAATTAAAAGAAAGTGGGAAAGGACTCAGAGCCTTTTCAGCTCTGGAGAACATGCAGACAAATAAATTAAAAAGTGGGAGAAGTGGAACTAACCCAATAATCCGTGAAAAGCTCATTTCCCTCCCACCGCCACGGATGCAACAGTGTCCTTCCTCCCTCCCCGTTCTCTGGTTCAGGGGCAGTGAGTGAAGAAATTGGCTAACAAGATCAGAAAATTTAATTACATTTCTGCCGTCCCCACCAAGAAGTTGGCTGTCACACTTCCCTTTTGCTGATCTTCAGAATGTGCTGTCTCTGATGAGTTTCCCATCTGCTTCCATTCCCACTCATCTCCCTACATCAGCTCAGGACAGTAGACACAGACACTTCAATTTGGGGGTTTAGGAGGATTAGATACAAAGATTAAAGAGGGCAGTAAGAAAAGAGAATGTCATTATCCCCTCATTTCCTTTTGTCTGCCTGAGACACTTTTGCCTTGGTCTTATCCCAAGAGAAGTATTGTGCCATCCCACAGGCTTAGTATCCTTGCATTCCAGACCTAAGAAGCCCTGAGACCCTTTAGAAGAAAGTGAAACCTCCATCAAAGTGTCCATTTTGCATGCCAACTCAAAGATATGAAAATGGCTCCCTTGAACACTGTTTCCAGGAAGATTCTAAAATGCTTTGGGCTCAAAATTAGCAAACACACAAAATAGCATGATCGAGTTGTGGTCTCCACTGGGGAACAGCTAGCATGCAGAATGGTGTCAAAACAACCAGGTTGTTGCCATTCCTGTCCTAGGACAACCAGAGATTTATGGCCAAACCTAGTATGCAAACCATTTGGGACACAGAACAAGTGTTTCCAAAATTCAAAATTTAGCTAGTTAAAAACAACTCTTTTGTTTGCTTTTCCACTTCTGGGTAAGGTGAAGTAGCAGGATGAACTGTGCAGAGGTCCCTGGCATCCATGTGACTGAGGAGCTATTTCCCTTCACTGAATGTAGTCATCCCCTACATACATGGACCACCACACACACACACACACACACACACACACACACACAAAAATCCCATAGTAGGGCAAGACATACAAACCCAAAGAAATGACTGTGTAACTGCCTGCGGGGGCCTCTGGGACACCATTACTTGGCCTGGTCAGTGCTGGTGGGCAGAGAGTGCAGAGGGAAGAAAAGAAGCCAGCCAAGGACAGACAAGCAAGGATTAAATCATTATGAACAAGCAAGATGAAAGTTTTAAGAAAAAAGTTGTATCTGCTTGGATTCCATTTGGCTGCAGGCAATAGAACTCTGCTCTTGCCACCAAGGAATCCAGCAGCAGGCAGTCTAATGCTGCTGTGACTCCCTGGGGATGCTTTCAAGGACTCAGGCTGTGTCCAGCTCCTCCAGCTTCAGCCTGTGATTTTCATCCTCATGGCTACAAGAAGCAGGTCAACCTCTGTATTCCAGGCACAAAGAAGGGGAAGGGCAAAAGGGAAAGGTAAATTGTTTCCTCCTATTGATCAGGAGTAAAAGAGCTTTCCTGGAATCCCCAGCCAGCAGACACTGCTTACATCTCATTAACCAGATCTGAGACCCATCACCATCTCTGATCAAGGGATATGTCTAATCGGACACATTGCTGCCCCTCACTAATTGGGAATGTGTGGATGTGGAGCAGATGACTAGTAGTGTGTGCCAGAGAGTGAGCAGTCTAGGGTGTCAAAGGAAATGAGGGATAAGGAAAACAACAGAAGATGTTGGTCAGGTGAGTGGTAGGCTTCTAGTGCAGCCTCATACTGGAAGTTAGGAGTGATCAATGAGGGAACCAAGGCTGCAATATGAACTTGCCATTCTCGAAGCTTGGACCTATACATCTGGACATATAGGCCTACCCTGACCATGTACTGCACAGGGCATATCCTGGATGGCAGAGCCAAAAGTCTTCTCTGTTCCCCACCCAGTCATATTAGGACAGAGAGGAAATTCCCATCCACTGACAGAAAGCAGGAATGATGAAGAATGGAGCTGAGCTGAATATCACAGCCACACACCATGTCTCCAGGAGTCTAGATCCAGGAAAAAACTACAGAACTTTCCCCTTTCCCCAGAGAGAGTGTCCTTGTGGCTGCACTGCTGGCCTGAAGGGCTTCACCTTGGAGGTCATGAATGATAGTAAAAAGCAGATGGGTAAACCAAAGCAGAATCATTAAACAGAGGTCTTCAAATTCCCCTCAACCTCCTTGGCCTTCTCAGTCTCTTCTATCCAAAGCATTCATTTGGGCCAGGCACAGTGGCTCACGCCTGTAATCCCAGCACTTTGGAAGGCCGAGGCGGGTGGATCACCTGAGATCAGGAGTTCAAGATCACCCCGGCCAATGTGGTGAAACCCTGTCTCTACTAAAAATACAAAAATTAGCTGGGCATGGTGGCGGGTGCCTGTAATCCCAGCTAATCAGGAGGCTGAGGCAGGAGAATCACTTGGACCTGGGAGGCGGAAGTTGCAGTGAGCCGAGAATGCGCCACTGCACTCTCCAGCCTGGGTGGCACAGCAAGACTGTCAAAAAAAAAAAAAAGGACTCATTTGGCCAGAATGAGGTCTGAAGCTGAGAGTCTGCCAACCCAGGCATGTGCTCCACGTGGCAAAGTTGGAGTTGTAAGGGCCACTGTGAGAGGCCTTCCCAAGGAAAGCAGATCTCTCAGCTCCTGTCTTGTTGCTGGGGCTAACTCCACAGCCACACAGTCTCATGCCCATCAATTCAAACAGCACTTGGATCTTCTGTCACCAGGGAGATGTGCTGCCTTAACTATCTCAAGTGTTTGTGCCTAGAAAAAAGAAAGTGCAGTTAGTGCTTTATTTTTCAAGAAATTGATGAAGGAACATGAACAGGTAAATATGAACTGCTGGGAGATGTTCTTCTGATTCTTTTCACAAAGAAGGACAAAGGCTGGCTTCTATCCACACTCACCAGGGGAATGGATTCAAAACTGAGATCTCATCAAGTAGTGGTTTGTTTGCACATCCTCGATTCATTCCATTGCCCCAGTGTTCACTGCACATCAACTAAGTTTGCTGTGTACTTGACAATGTGCTAGGGACTTCCAGATGGAATTCAGTTATGAGACTTCATCTCAGAGGGGTTTCTTATGGAAGAACTCAAGAGACAAATCATTAATATTAGTGCTACCTTAGAGCCATGTAAGTCTTTAGTGTCCACAGAGTGTTTGCAGATCCATTACCCCATTCGCTCACCACCACAACCCTGTGAGATAGTCTGGAAAAACTACATTGTGTGGTGGTTAAGAGCTCAGACTCTGGATCCAGTCTGCCTGTGTTCAAAGCCTGGCTCTGCCACTGAATAGCTGTGTGACCTTGAGCTGTTAACTTAACCTCTCTATGCCTCCATTCCCTCATCTATTAAAATGGGGTTAGGAACAGCTGCTATCTAATAAGATTGCTGGGAAGATTAAGTTAGTTATTTCACATAAGGTATGTTGAACAATGCCTATTGGCACACAGCCAACCTTTGATATGTGTTAGTCACTACTACTCTCATTTTATATAGATACAGGGACTACCTGATGCTCACGTGTGGAATGTTAGATCTAAAGGAAACTTAGTTATCATCATTTATGGACAAGGAAATTGGGACACTCCGTTAATCAACAAAACAGTCCAGGCCAGTGCCATAATGGGTGACAAGCAATAGGCCTAGAAGCTTTCTGCCAGCCCTGATCGGGTGTACTGAAGTTCTGTTCAAGCCAAAAGGAAGCTACAGTATACCTTCAAGTAGCAGGAGGGCTCTCAAAAGTACTTGTGATGGTTAAACTTATACATCAGCTTGGTTAGGTAGGCTATAAGGTCTAGTTTTTAGGTAAAACACCAGTCTAGATGTTCCTGTGAAGATTCTTTATAGATGTGATTAACATTCAAATCAGTAGACTTTGAATAAAGCAAATTACCCTCTATAATATGGGTAAGCCTCATGCAATCAGTTGAAGGCTGTAACAACAAAGACTGAGTTTTCCCAAAGATGAAGGAGATTTCCTCAAGATTGAACCATAGACATCCTGCTTGAGTTTTCTGTGGGCTACCCTGAGGAATTTGGGCTCAAAACTGAAACATTAACTCTTGCCTCAATTTCCAGCTTTTAGGTCTACCCTACAGATTGCAGACTTGCCAGCCCCCACAATCACATTAGCCTATTCCTTAAAAAAAAGAAATAAATCTTATACATATCTATGTATATAAAAATATTATATATATATATACTATATATGTAATACCACAGATATGTGCTATTGTACATACATAAGTGTGTGTGTCTATATTATATATATAGCGTGTGGCATGTGTGTGTCTGTGTGTGTGTGTGTGTAGTATTGGTTCTATTTTTCTGGAGAAATCTGACTAATAAATACCCTTCTTAGGGGGACAGAGCAGTTACCCTGTATGGTTATTTCTTATGCCTGGGATGATATGCCAGTGATGTCTGCTATTTATTTTGCAGCTCTTGCCACTGTTTAAGTACAATTAGCCACCTAAAAATGACAGTCAACCTCAAAATATGTACAAGATACCCAAGATGTTCCCATCCTGGCTAGATCTCACAGGGGTCATGAAAGACTTGCAGAACATTAATTCACACCCCAGGTAAGTAGCAATGGCAGTGAGCACCACAGTGAGAGTGGACATGCCCTGCTGTGCAGTGATGCTATACTGCTGGGGAAGGTCAGGGAAGGAACAACAGCCAGATGAGGCCCTCAAGGGAAAAGGATTTACAGTGTGCTTTGAAGGTCTAAGATTTGGACAAAAGCCGGGGTCTTATTTCAGTCTGGACCAGATTGGCCATGTGGAGATACAAATGATGTGAGTCCTAGACCAGGAGAAGCCAACCATGAAGTTTGCACTTTGTTCCACAGGCAAAAGGAAGACATTGTACATTTTGAAGAAATATTATGAAGGAGATTTCAACCAAGATGAGTGTAGCAGCCATGTGCTACAAGTCTAGAAATAAGAGGCTCATCTCAGAAGGGGTGGACATGTGGTGTGAAGCAGTCAGACCCTGCAACCAAGCCCTAAGGAAAAATGGAGAGGAAGAAGGGCAGACAGTGGGTTGAGTTTAGGCACGTCATCATTGAAAGGCCAGAAGGATGTGCACAGGGAAGTGTCACCTGGCAATGCAGTTACTGGCAAGAAGTCAAGGCTAGAAATGTAAACTAAACTGTAAGGAAGTCATGTCTTAAGCCTTGAGAATGAATGGGAACAGAGAGTGCATTCAGAAAAGAGCAGACAACCTTGTTCAGACCCTTGAGTGACACTCAGACAGGGTGAGAAAAGGAAAAGAAGACAGAAAATATGCCCCAAGGGGAGACAAAAAAGGGCATTGTTGTGCTTCTGAAGCCGAGGAAGAGGAAGGGTACATGAAGGACAGATGGTAGATAATATCACACATACACATTATGGCTATGACCACTGGTCATTCATGAAGCACATTTGCATATTAATGGATGTGAGTGATACTGAAGTAAAGACACTTGTTTCTTCTGGTTTAGCACTACTTTTCCCAAGATCACTGGACACAGTACTCCTCTTTCAGGACACTCAGAGCACACTCAGAGACACAGTCTAGCCCAACCTCAAATACCTGGTAGACCCTAGGTTCCAGGATGATGTCCCAGATTTCCCAATAATTAACGCAGCATTTTCCCAATACATCACACCGAATGCCTTGAACTCTACAGGGGAACAGCATTATATAAATCTAAACGTCGGGAATGTTAAACATCCTAGACAGCTGGAGCTAGAAATCGCCATGAGGTCAGCCCACATCTGGTCTGTCTCAGAGCCTCCCCAAGCAGACTGCCCACCACCCCCACCCACCCCCACTCCCACCCCAGCCCTCTCAGGAAGAAGAGCAAAGAGATAAATAACTCCTTGAGAACACTCTTCCTTTCTCCACCTTTGCTGTCTTTTTGCCTCTTCTCTCTCCCAGGGCTTTCCCTGATGAATCCACCATGTGCCTCAAATTATTTATTTCTCTTTCCAGAATTTCAACAACGGATGGATCAAAGTACCACATTTCTTCACAGCAGACTCTTGAAATGCCAGAGGTCAAAATCATTACGTGCTGGGACAAAAGACAGGGTGAGGGGCTGGAGTGAAAGCCTTGGCCTGGAGGAGCTGTTTACCAGGGAACCCAGGCAAGCCGTGGGCGTGGGCTGTGGCCCTGCACTTTGATGGCTGGCTGGGTCTGGGTGGCCTGCACTCATTCGCCTCCTGTCTCACCCCACCACCACCCAAGATGAAGCCATCTTTTCTGGCTCCTCCTTCTTTTTGGTAGAAATGGTACCAGCTTGTGTGGTCTGGAGGGAAAGGACTTAAGGGTATGAACCTCTCAGCAGCCATGATCCTTATAGGACTTAGTGAGCTATTTAGAGGTATCTGAGGGAATCAGAGCCTTGAGAGCCCAGTAGAGACATCACTGTTGACTATTCAAAAAGGCATTATTTAGAGCAGGGTTCACAAGCTATGGCCTGTGGGCCAAATCTAGCTGGCCAACTGTTTCTGTAAATAAAGTTTTATTGGAACACAGTGTGCCCCTTTGTTTCCATATTGTCTATGGCTGTTTTTGCCCTACAACAGCAAAGTCGAGTAGTTGCAACAGAAACTACATGGTTCACGAAGCCTAACATATTTACTCTCTGGCCCTTTCCGGAAAAAGTTTAATGACCTCGATTTAAAAGGTATGGCTTAGAATATGTCTGCTCTTCCTCTCCCTGCCCCCATTCCCATCACACACACACACACACACACACACACACACACACACACACTCCTGTCCTCCCATCTATGTGCCATGACTTATCTTTGCTTCTAGTCTGAGTCTCTCTCTGTACCTCCCACCCCTTGTATGTCCCTGTCAAGTCTTTACTTTTTCATCTCTGGCCCTTCCTGGGTTGATTTATCGCTACTCCTCCCTGCTTCATCCATTTCCATTAATAACTGATTATATATAAACAAAGGGGTGTTGTTTTCTCATTTGTTGAACTTATTTAGAGACCTGTTCTAATTATGAAAGTGAATGAATAGGAGCTTTGTATTCTCTGGGGGAAAAAAAGAAAGAAAATATAATTGTGCTTTAGTTCTGTAGTCCTCAGTTTTTTCCATTGTGGTTCAATGGTCCATGGTAGAAAAGGTTCCTCTTACACACATATCTCTATATTTTTAAAAACATCCTTAAAGAATGTCATTGTGCATACTCTTTAGTTCCAGTTACCTGAGAAACCGTAGACAGTGACCCCGAGAAATTCTAGCCCACATTTGTAATCCAAGTTAGGAGACATTAATTGGAAGCATGATTCTGTAATATCTTTGTCTGGGAGGGTTTCAGTCACTTGAGAGGTTTTCCACAACTGAGCAATTATGGGGTCACAGGAGAAATTCAGCAACAGTGGTTTCATTTATTACAGCACTCATCACAGTCTAACTTATATGATAATTGTGAAGCTATGAGCAAATTGAGAACTGAGAGGATATCTTACTCATTTTCGTAACCATCACTCTCCCAACCTATCCAAGGACCTTGCTAAGTAGCTGAGACATAGTGATAATGAGCTACTGTTAATGAAAGTTGCTTCTTTGTGCCACAAATGTGTTAAGTGATTTACGTTCATTTTTCATTCCAACAACTACTTTGTGAAGCAGAAGTTATTAGTCTCATCTTACATACAAGGAAACTGAGGCTCAGAGAAATTAAGTGGCTTTCCCATCCCTTGTCCTGCTATGGCTACAGTCTCAGGGCCTGCTATCACAGGGGTCATCTCAATACTTGTTTTCTGGTTCCTAGGTCTGGATCTAATCTTGATGGCCTGACATTGACCCTGACTGTTACCCTCTAGTCTCTGGCCCAGCATTAGGTTTCCCTGCACTTCTCTCCCTCCTCACCCACTTGTCGCTCCCAGTCCTGGCTCCTAGGAGAGATGAATCCTTCTGGGTCAGCCAAGAAGAACTAGGAGAGTCTATCAGTCAATCCATAGACAGGCAGTAGGACCACAGTCCTCTTTCAACATTTCTAGGAAAAAGAAAAGGAGGAGCCAGAGTCTCAGCCCCTGCAAACTCATCAAGGGGTGCAGCCTTATGAGGATTTTTCTAGCCCAGCTGATAACAACCTGGCAAGTTGGGAATCAGAGGCTCCATTCTAATTGACCCGTCCTACTCTCTCCACCTCATTAGTTACCGTGCATGCTCAACCACCAAGCTCTCCATCCTCTATATGAACACAGTCAAAATGATAAGGGCCCTACAAATGCCCTAGATATCTTCCTACTCCCATCTCAGTAGCTTTGCCCAAGCAAGGTCAGATGGAGTCCCAGGATGTCTACTGTTGGGAGCATACCATGCAGGGACCACACCAGCCCCCAGATGTGAGCAGCAGGTATTATGCCTGGAGGTACGAAGTCTCTCCACTGCTACAGCCAACACTGGTACATGCCCAGCCTCCACAGTGTTCTTCCTCCCAAACTGGCAGAGAACTCTGACTGCTCTGCACACCTGCCATCCCCACGCCCAGAGAATCTGAAAATGGTTTATTGCTCTCATCAATCTGAATTCTTACATCTCAGTAGCTCATCTGAAGGTGGGGCTGCTGCCAGGGACAGGCACTCAGGGTTCTGGCTGCAGACACTGGCTTCCATCATCAAATGGATCTAACCCCACCCTGAGCAACCACCAGCCCGCCCGTCCTTCATCCTGCCCACTCTTTCTCTCCAGGAGAATCAGAGAAGCTGAAATTTGGAAGGAATTTATGTATCACCTAATTCTAGGGTTTTAAAAATAAGGGTCATGAATGGATTTCCAAGAATAGAAATGGATTCATTTTCATGAATCTCCTAAAATTATATAAAGAAAGCCTACACACGCACACAGAGAATTATGTACTGTTCTTGGGTATGTTCATAGTTTTCAAAAGGTTTTCAGAGGGGTTTATAGCAAAAAAAAAAAAAGAATTAAAAAGTTAAGAGCTAGTGATTGGTTTTGGAGATGCAAAAACAAGACACCCTCCCCACTCCCACCACCAAATAAAAACATCTCAGGACTTATGCTTCACCAAAGTTCCTTAGCTGTCTTTCCTCTCCCTTTTTATTCCTCCCTTTGATGTCAAAAAGAGATGCAGCAGGGGGTATAACCTAATTAGAATATGGACAAAAGCTGTCCCTTTCTGACAGGAAGCTCCTGAATCCTAAAATATGCTCCCTTAGCCCATAGAAAGGCCTTTGTACTTTGGGGCTCAACTGGGAAGGACCCCTCATCCATCAGACCTGACTGGCCAGCATATTTTGTCCTCACTGCCCATCTCTCTTCTCCACATAAATAACACCACCATTGGGAATCAGCACCGGGATGAGGGAAGGCATGAGAAAATAGAAAAAAGAGGGGAGAAGACTCTCCTCCCTCAAAGGAAAACAAGGCCAGAACACTGGGCTTCCATCTCAGAATGTCAATTCTGTCTTCCATTGGCCTTGAGTCAGAGCAGCCCTGCAATCACTCTTCTGGGCTGCAGCATCCCTGCTGGTACTCCCCTGGGCCAGACCAGGTCTTCTTCTCCTGGTACTGCCCTGGGCTGAAGCAGTTCCACAGTCGCATCTCGGGCTGAGGTGGTCCTACTAATGCTTCCCTGGGCAGGAGCAGTTCTTTGAGTTTTCCCCTGGTATGCAAATGTCCTGAAAATGCCCCCCACCCTGGGCTGCAGCAGTCCTTCTGGTGCTCCTATGAGGCAGACCAGTTCTTCTGGAGCTTCCCTGGACAACAGCAGTCCTCTTGATGTTCCTATGGAATGCAGCACTCTTGCTGATGCTCCCACAAGCAAGACCAGTTTTTGGGGTGCTCTCCAGGATGCAGTAGTTCTGCTGGTACACCCTGAAGTGCAGGCCCTGCTGGTGCCCCCATGGGCCAGAGAGTTTTCTGGTGCTATCCTGGGCTGCAGTGGTCCTACAATTCCTTTCTGAGCTGCAGTAGTCTGGCTGGTGCTTCCCTGGCTCATAGTTTCACCCCCACCCTCAGCTCATGGCCCATTGATGGTGCTTTTTTTTTGTTTGGGACAGGGACTTTCCCTCTCACCATCCAGACTGGAGTGAAGTAGCATGATCATAGCTCAGTGCAACCTCAAACTCCTGGCCTCAAGGGATCCTTCTGGCCTCAAGATTCTGAGTAGCTTGGACTACAGGTTCATGTCATCATGACAGGCTAATTTAAAAAAAAATGCAGAGACAGGATCTTGCTATGCTTTCTAGGTTGGTCTGGAACTCCTGGCCTCAAGGGATCCTCCAGCCTTGTCCCCTCAAAGCACTGGGATTAAAGGTATGAGCCACCGCACCTGCCATAATGGTGCCTTTGAAATTCACAGAGAAGATGTAAAAAAAGTTTCTTCAGAAAGTATACAATTTGGGAATCAGCAACTCTAAGCATCAAGTGGAATGCTAAGAATTAATTAGATAAAACTCCCATTTTAGAGATTCTCAGAGAATCTCTAAATTTACTTGCCCCAGGCAGTACAGTAATATCTGCAAGAGAAGACAAATAGGTGGGATAGATAGATAAATATAGAGATAGATAGATGATAGATGATAGATAGATAGATAGATAGATAGATAGATAGATAGATAGATAGGATAGATAGATAGATAGATGATGGATGGATAGATGAGAGAGAGAGATAATAACAAGAAAGTGAAATAGACAAAGGAGAAGTAACCATGATTTTTACTGGCTTTAATCTGGCATCATGATGGGTGTTGCTGTTGTTGCTGTTGTTTTTGATACTTTTAATTTTTTTAAATCACTTATCCAAATGTGTTCTTTGAAGAAAAGCAGCATACCTGTAAAGATAGGAAGAACATCGTATTGGTAGGACAAGATGGAAAGGAGAACAAATTTACTTCTATTGAGCAACCACTCTGTGCCAGGCATGCTACAAGGCACTTTACCTATGTCCTAAATGCCACTTATCAGTGGATCAGTGTCATAGCTGGTTCCTGATCCACTTGTTTATTGGACACCTTTGCCAAATAACAGAAACTCAACCCTCCCCTCTTGGGTTTCATGGAAGACTTCCAAGTGTGGAAGGGGGATTATTCTTAAATATAATTTACACTGCTGTCTATGTACCTCCCTGCCCTCTACTCCACTCCAGCTGCTACTCCAAACCTCCTTCTTGGCCATTTATGGGTCACTCTTCTCTTTGCTTTGATTCTGCCTACATTTACTCACCGCACCATCAACACTCCATTTGACAAATAAAACTCTTGGGCCAGCTCTCCTTTTCACAGATGCGTCCTGGGGACCCCTCTCCACATGCTCTGGATCCCCATCACTCTGACACTTCCAGGACCAGTCCACCATCACTGTTCTATTTAGGTGGCCACCCTTGACTGCTTAGGGCTCTCCATGCCCACACTCCATGTTCTATGAGGTTGCCAAAAATGGTGACTAATTTTCCCAGTTTGCCTGGGACTAAAGGGCTTCCTGGGTCATGAGACTTTCAGTGCTAACCCTGGAATAGTCCCAGGCAAACCAAGATGGTTGATTACCCTATAAGGTTAACCAGTGAGTGGTAGAGCTCGGATACAAACCCAGGTGTATTCAGCCTCCAATCCTTTGTTCTTTCAAAGCATCAGTCTGCAAAGTGCTGTATATGTGTTCAACATATAGAGCAGAAACATGCAGGAGAGTGACTATCAAATGAGATCTGCTTTTCTCTGAAGAATGTGATATGTGGGGTGAACCTATTCCACAGGCTGCAAAGAATTAATTGATAAA
This sequence comes from Homo sapiens, assembly GCF_000001405.40. Taxonomy (NCBI): domain Eukaryota; kingdom Metazoa; phylum Chordata; class Mammalia; order Primates; family Hominidae; genus Homo; species Homo sapiens. The sequence goes on from NC_000003.12 coordinate 135,641,563, forward strand.
GTTAATATATTACCTTAGGGTAACCACATGTCCTGGTTTGCCTGGGACAGTCCTGATTTGCATGTGTTCTGCCAACAAAATTATTAATAGCACTCTTTTTTCAGTCTCAAAAGTATCCTAGATTGGACAATAAATTATATGGTCACCCTCACCATCATATCCCAGAACCAGCTGATTAGGCTCTTGATTAATAGGGTCCTTCCCCATGACTATAACTAAAACCAGCATGGTCTCCCCTGCTATTGACAGGGCATGTTTGCCCTGCAGACCAGTCACCTGGAAAAAGCAGCATTTCTCAAGGCCCATCTCTCTCAGCTGATTGGAGCTCACACAGCCAAAGGAGCAGGCCCTCCCCTGGCTTCCAAGCAGAACCCAGCCCAAGGAATCAGTCCTCACATCACTTCAAAGAAGCAGACCTGGCATTAATTGGCACTGTGCAAAGATTTATGCACTATACATCATTAACTCCTGCTGAGAAACTAGACAGATACAGGGTATAGAGCAGGTCCTTTAGAAAAAGGTATCTTGACAGATCTTTGAACCTAAAATACATTAAGTAATTGGGACACCCACTCAGGGACATGCAAGATAAATGACCCAGTTTATAGAGTACCCACACCCTTGGCTGCCTGCCCCTCCCCCTCCTCCATTTTCTCCTCTTCCTTTTCCCAATCTTCCTTAAGAGCCTCCTATGGCCTCTCCCTGCTCATTAGTAGCTCCACAAAAAGACAAATTGGGGCAGAGAGAGAAGAAGAGCATATTAGTCACTGAGAGTAGGTTGGATGGGAGAGGAGATGGAGATGAATGGTTTGAATGAAGTTTGACCCAGCTGGTAAATTTCATTTATTAAGGCTCTACCAGTTAGCCTAGTCTTCTGATTAACAGGAGCCAGAGCTTTAGAGTTAACATATGTGTAAATTGCCTAGGATGTGGCCTGGAGCACAGTAGGTACTCAATAAATGGTGGGCAGCAGTAGTGTTGAGACCTGTCAGTAGTTAAAGCAACCAATGTGCCTACTATGAAACTCTAACATCAGAAGAGTCCACGCACCAAGCACTGAAGGTCACTTGGTGCCCAGCCCAGTCCCCCTGTCTTATCAGAGTACCTCACCTATCTTATCAGAGCATTCGGAGTGAAGTCATAAACTCATCTATGTTCCTTCCCTTCCTTTCTTCCTTCTTCCTGCCTCCTCCCTTTCTCTCTCTCCCTCTCTCTCATACACATCCACACACACATCCACACACACACACACACACACACACACACACACACACACACTTCTGCACCAGGGGCTGTGAATTCAAGAGACAGGTTGGGGTGGGAATGGAAAGATCACTGTACCAGAATGTCCTGATTCTGTTCCCACTGCAGTTTAATGAATATTTTGACCATCTGACATTGTGCACAGGATATGAAGATGATGAGGACACTGTTGCCATCCTTTGGAGTCTCACAATGAGGCGGGAAACATCCAAGTAAATAGCCCATCTCAATCATAACAAATATAAGCACAATGATAAAGACAAGCTCAGGATGCTGTGGGAATGCAGAGGTAGGCCCCTTGGCCTCCTGGGATGGAGATCAGGGAAAAGTTCCTCGAGAAAACATGCCCTTGGTGAGCCTAAAGCCATGTAAAAATGAGCCAGGAAAGAGGGAGGAAGCCAAACTCCTCAGACCCAGAGGTGGGAAGTATCATGAGGTTATAGAAAAACAAGATTATGTATGTTTTTAAAAATTAACCTATCAGACATTCTTATTTTTAACTTGTAAGATAATGTTTTCAAAGACAAAAGCCCTTAGGATCATTCCTGATTCTAAGAGAGTCTTTTATACTGGTTGAGTTCATTATAATTTGATCAATAAACTCATGGTCACAGGTTATCATAAGGTTGGTAAAAAAAAAAATCAACTTCCTGTAGCAATCTTAAATTACAACTTTAAAGAAACAAATTTAATGTTTTACAGTAAATGTTCTAACATTCTAAATGAATGTATTTTTTTCAAGGTTACCAGTTACAAGTTAGCAGGGCTTGGAACTATCGAAGAAACCTTTTAATATGGTAGGAAATCTATCTTTGCCTCTTTCAGTAAGTTTATTTTAAAACTCAATTTTATGACAAGATACAGAATAAGGACATGTTAACAAAATTTTGGTAACTGGTATATAAATATTCACTAAGTTTCTTACCTTTCTTTCTGAATGAAGAGCTGAAGTTTATCCATTGACTTGCATTTTCAAAAACACTTGTATCAAGAGCGTCTCATGTTTTCAAATTTCCTACTAAAAAATTCTGTCCATTGGCAAAACTTAATTTTTTTTGAAATAAGTGATTATTTATTGACTTCATTATTTGGGGAAGAACTTCTTAAGGTAAAAACAAAAAACAAAAATCACAAAAGGTCAAAGATTTTATCACATATATATTTCAAAATTTGTATTTAAAAATAAAATCTCACAATTAATAATCCAACAACAAATTAGGAATATTATTTGCAATAAATATCACTGACAAAGAGGAGGTATTATATATCTACGGTAAACTTATGTAAATGAATAAAATAAACAGTAAGTCTCAAACGGGTAAGCAGTCAAATGTCTTGATAATTTGCAAAATAAGAAGTGACTAGTAAACATGCAAAAGAAGTATATTCTTCTTTAATAACCTATTAACACAGCTGTTAGATATTATTTACCTGCCAAAGGTGACGGTTTTATGGAGAATGTGGTAAAATAGTGTTTGTTGTTGTTGTTGTTGTTGTTGGACACAAGCTTTCGCTCTGTCATTCAGGCTGGAGTGCAGTGGCACTATCTTGGCTCACTGCAACCTTAGCCTCCTGAGTAGCTAGGACCACAGTTGCATGCCACCACTCCCAGCTAATTTTTTAAAAACTTTTATTTTAAGTTCAGGGGCACATGTGCAGGTTTGTTATATGGTTAAACTTGTGTTACGGGGGTTCATTGTACAGATTTTTTCATCACCCAGGTATTAAGCCTGGTGTCCATTAGTTATTTTTCCTGATCCTCTTCCTCCTCCCACCCTCCGATAGGCCCTAGTGTGTGTTATTCCCCTCTATATGTCCATGTGTTTTCATCATTTAGCTCCCACTTATAAGTGAGAACATGCAGTATTTGGTTTTCTGTTCCTGCCTGAGCTTCCTAATGATAATGGCCTCCAGCTCCATCCATGTTCCTGAAAAGGACATGATCTCATTCTTTTTTTTAATGGCTGCACAGTATTCCATGGTGTATATGTACCACACTTTCTTTATACAATCTATCATTGATGGGCATTTAGGTTGATTCCATGTCTTTGCTATTGTAGTGCTGCAGTGAACATACGTATGCATGTGTCTTTATGATAGAATAACTTATATTCCTTTGGGTATATACCCAGTAATGGGATTGCTGGATCAACTGGTATTTCTGCTTCTAGATCTTTGAGGAATCATCACACTATCTTCCACAATGGTTGAACATTCCCACCAACAGTTTATAAGCATTCCTTTTTCTCTGCAACCTCACCAGCATCTGTTATTTTTTACTTTTTCATAATAGGCATTCTGACTGGTGTGACACGGTATCTTATTATGGTTTTGATTTGCATTTCTCTAATGATTAGTAAGTGATGCTGAGCTTTTTTTCATATACATGTTGGCTGCATGTATATCTCCTTTTGAAAATTGTCTGTTCATGTCCTTTGCCCACTTTTTATGGTGACTATTTGTTTTTTCTTATAAATTTACATTCTTTATAGATGCTGGATATTAGATCTTTGTCAGATACATAGTTTGCAAATATTTTCTTCCACGTCAAAAGCCTTTTCTGCATCTATTAAGAAAATCATGTGATTTTTGTCTTTATTTCTGTGTATGTAATGAATCACATTTATTGATTTGTGCATGTTGAACCAACCATGCACCCCAGGGATAAAACCTACTTGACCATAGTGGATAAGATTTTTGGTGTACTGCTGGATTCAGTTTGCCAGTGTTTTGTTGAGGATTTTTGTGTCGACATTCATCAAGGATGTTGACCTGAAGTTTTCTTTTTTTATTGTGTCTCTGCCAGGTTTTGGTATCAGGATGATGCTGGTTTCATAGAATGAGTTAGGGAGAATTCCCTCCTCCTCAGTTTTTTGGAATAATTTCAGCAGGAATGGTGCCAGCATGTCTTTGTACATCTGACAGAATTTGGCTATGAATCCATCTGGTCTTGGGCTTTTTTTGGTTGGTATGCTATTTTTTACTGACTCCATTTTGGAGCTCATTATTGGTCTATTTAGGGATTCAGTTTCTTTCCAGTTCAGTCTTAGGAGGGTGTATGTGTCAAGGAATGTATCCATTTCTTCTAGATTTTCTAGTTTTTGTGTATAGAAGTGTTTATAATATTCTGATGGTTATTTGTATTTCTGTGGGGTCAGGGTAATATCTCCTCTGTCATTTCTGATTGTGTTTATTTGGATCTTCTCTCTTTTCTTCTTTATTAGTCTAGCTAATAATCTATCTATTTTATTAATTTTTTTCAAAAGAAAGTCCTGGATTCGTTGATCATTTGAATGTTTTTTCCTGTCTCAATCTCCTTCAGTTCAGCTCTGATTTTGGTTATTTCTTGTCTTCTGCTAGCTTTGGGATTGGTTTGCTCTTGGTTCTCTAGTTCTTTTAGTTGTAATTTTGGGTTGTTAAATTGAGATCTTTTTAGCTTTTGATGTAGGCATTTATTGCTATAAATTTCCCATTTAACACTGCCTTAGCTGCATCCCAGAGATTCTAGTATGTTGTATCTTTGTTCTTATTCATTTCAAAGAACATCTTGATTTCTGCCTTAATTTCATTATTTATCCAAAAGTCATTAAGGAGAAGGTTATTCAATTTCCATGTAATTGTATAGTTTTCAGTGAGTTTCTTAGTCTTGATTTCTAATTTGATTGCACTGTGATCCAAGAGATTAGTTGTTCAGATTTCAGTTCTTTTGCACTTGCTAAGGAGTGTTTTATGTCTGACTATTTGATCAATTTTAGAGTATGTGCCATATGGCAATGAGAAGAATGTGTATTTTGTTGTTTTGGGATGGAGAGTTCTATAGATGTCTGTCAGGTCCATTTGATTCAGTACTGAGTTCAGGTCCTGAATATATGTTAATTATCTGCCTCAGTGATCTGTCTAATACTATCAGTAGGGTGTTAAAGTCTCTCACTGTTATTGTGTGGGAGTCTAAGTCACTTTGTAGGTCTCTAAGAACTTGATTTATGAATCTGGGTGCTCTTGTGTTGAGTACACACATATTTAGGATAGTTAAGTCTTCCTGTTGAATTGAACCCTTTACCATTATGTAATGCCTTTATTTGCCTTTTCTGATGTTTTTTGGTTTAAAGTCTGTTTTGTCTGAAATTAGGATTGCACCCTGTTGTTTTCTGCTTTCCATTTGCGTGGTAGATTTTTCTCCATCCCTTTATTTTGAGCTTGTGGGTTTCATTGCATGAGAGATGGTCTCTGGAAGACAGCATACAAATGGGTATTGGTTCTTTATCCAGCTTGCCACTCTGTGCCTTTTATTTGTGCCATTTAGCTCATTTACATTCAAGATTAGTATTGATATGTGTGGATTTGATCCTGTCATCATGATGTTAGCTGGTTATTATGCATACATGTTTATATGGTTGCTTTATAGTGTCAGTGAGTTTTTGTAGTGGCTGATAACAATCTTTCCATATCTAGTGCTTCCTTTGAGAGCTCTTGTAAGGCAGGTCTGGTGGTAACAGATTCCCTCAGCATTTGTTTGTCTGAAAAGGATCTTATTTCTTTTTTGCTTATGAAGCTTAGTTTGGCCGAATATGAAATTCTGGGTTAGAATTTCTTTACTTTAGGAATGTTGAATATTGGCCCCCAATCTCTTCAGGTTTGTAGGGTTTCTGCTGAGAGGTCCACTGTTAGTCTGATGTATTTCCTTTTGTAGGTGACCTGACCTTTCTCTCTAGCTGGCTTTAACATTTTTTCTTTAATTCCAACCTCAGATAATCTGATGATTATGTCTCTTGGGGATTATCTTCTTTTGAAGTATTTTACTGGGGTTCTCTGCATTTCCTAAATTTGAATGTTGGCTTCTCTAACTAGGTTGGGGAAGTTCTCATGGTTGACACCCTGAAATATTAGTTTGGTGCAAAGGTAACTGCAATTTTTGTCATTGAAAGTAATGGCAAAAGACACAATTAATTTTGCATCAACCTAATATGTTTTCCAAGTTGCTTACACTCTCCCCATCTCTTTCAGGGACACCCCTGAGTCATAGATTTGGTCTCTTTACATAATCCCACATTTCTCAGAGGTTTGTTCATTCCTTTTCATTCTTTTTTCTCTATTCTTGTCTGACTGTCTTATTTCAGAAAGCCAGTCTTCAAGCTCTGAGATTCTTTCCCCTGCTTGGTTTATTCTGCAACTAATACTTGTGATTGCATTATAAAATTTTTGTAGTGTGTTTTCCAGCTCTATCAGGTCTATTACATTTTTTTCTATGCAGGCTATTTTGTCTGTCAACTCCTGCATTGTTTTATTGTGATTCTCAGCTTCCTTGGATTGGGTTTCACATAGTCCTGCATCTCAATGATCTTTGTTCCTATCCATATTTGGAATTCGATTTCTATCATTTCAGTCATCTCAGCCCACTTCAAAACCCTTGCCGGGGAGATGGTATAGTCATTTGGAGAAAAGAAGGCACCTTGGCTTTTTGCTGCCAAGGTTTTTGCACTGGTTCTTTCTCATCTTTGTGGGCTTATGTTTGTTTAATCTTTGAAGTTGTTGACCTTTGAATGAGTTCTTTTTTCTTTTAACCTACTTGATGACCTTGAGGGGTTTGATTGTGGTATAAGGTGTATTCAGCCAACTGGCTTTACTTTTGGAAGATTTTAGGGGGCCAGTGCTCAGCTCCCAACTCCTGGACTGTGTGCTCTAACTCTGGGGTCTTTTATGGGGCCCCAACTTTGTTTTCCAGCCCTCGAAGTTAGGAATCCACTGCACTGGTGGGACTATGATGGTGTCAGTCAAAGTGTTTTGTAGTGCAGTGACATCAGGATCTATCCTCGTTTGCACATGCCAGCAGCAGTGGCAGCGGCCACATGACAAGGTGCATGCTCATTGGCTGCAGTAGGGTGCTAGCAAGTGCCAGGGTGCCTGCCTCCATGTGGGTGTTCACCACAGTGGCAGAAGCAACACAGCTCAGGAGGGCAGAGGGCCACTGCTGGCAACTGTGTGTGTAGTCGTGCTGGTAGTGGTGTTGGCATGGGGGTGAGCCATTGGCAAACACAGGTCTGTGTGCATTCTCTGTGAGCTGAAGGCAGAATTGGTCTCACTCAGGGTGAAGGAGGGTCTGTGTTCTCCATGCCTAGTTTCACTCTTGCAGCAGTGTTGGCACAAGGGCAGGGCACTGGTGTGGGCAGGGTTGGTTGACTCTGTGCCCACCAAGGCTCCAATTGCAATGGCAGTAGTGAGGGGAGGGAGATGGGCTGCACTCCCACTGCAGCACTGTCACGGCAGGGTGCATGACACATGCATACTGGCAAGACAAGGAAAGCAAAACTCACCTGCTGACACATGTGCCAGCAAAGCAATGGGGAGGATTGTCATTGGCCCCGAGGAAGCTGCAGTGTGAGGAAGGAGTGGGCAGGCTGATGCATGGCCATGGGGGCCATCCCACTGGAGCTCTATGCTGGCCAGGCACGGTCCACCAACATAGAAGCTATGATGTGGACCACCAAGGCACCCAAGGCCGCCTCGCAAGTAGGCACAGCCTGGGAGAGGCCAGTAAACAGAGAGATGTTCAGGTTGGACTGGTCCCATCTGATAGGCAAGACCACCCTGCAGAATTCAGGTCCAACAGTTCCCCTAGGACTAAAGTTGAGCCTAGGGGATGGGCATCCCTGGTCATGCTCCACTACAGACACTCCCACACCAAACACTCTGGGCTCTACATCAGCTGGCTTGCTGCCCCTACCACTTCTCTAACCAGCTCTCCCTGCCAACTCGAGTGTCAATGGTGGTCTAGGGGCCTCCTCCTGCCAGAATTCCAGTGGCCTGTGGCGAGAGTGAGTTGCTCCTTACCAGTTCAACTCACTTGTTCCCCCAGAGTCACTGGGGGCCAGGGATGAGTCCCCATGCATGATAGCCCTGTGCAGGATTCCCAGTGTCCTCCCACTTCAGCCCAGCTTCAGCGTCTTCCCTCTGTCCACTCTTAGTGCCTTCTTTCAGAAGATCTTTAGGAGTACACCAGTCTTCTTGATTCCTCATTGCCAGCTGTTCCACCTGGCTGTGTCTAGTCAACCATCTTACTCTCTCTCTGAAAACTTAATTTTAATCAAAGCTAAATCAAAGATTTTAGGGACTCACACTAACTTATTTTGAGAAGCCAAGACACACTTCCTCTCCTGTGAGTTGGGGATAATTGTCTGCACCCTCCGTCCTTTGAGAGGAGTTTGTGATGATACAATATGAAGGAACTTTGCAAATCATGATGCATGAACTTGAGCCATGGCTATCTCCCTGCCCTGGTTATCTCTTTTCTTTATGCTGGGGGTGAGGGAAATACCCTGGGCAAAAATAAAGGCCCTCACTGGGAAAGGTGAAACAGTTCTATGAGCAGTAAGAATTCCAGGGAGCCATCCTCTTGACTAGCAGTGGAAAGCCACTAAGCAACCCTCAGTGAATTCCTGTCCCCTGACCCAGATTCTTCTCTCCCCTCCCATGTCCTGATCCCTTTCCTCTGCTCCTCATCCTTGTCTGCTCCAGTAGCTGAGGCCCTTCAATAAACCCTCTTTCCTACCGAGTGTGTCCCACCTTCAGAGCCCTTCCACATTTTTTCACCAGTCCTGTTGTTCTCAGCTGCCTTCAAGAACTTACCAAACCACCTGCCCCACCTCTTGTTTCCCCAGGAATGTGAGCTCAGTCCCATCTGGTGCCCACATGTTTGGCCCTGAGCCCTTAGAATTTGGGGGGCACAGGTCTCTGGTATGTTCTGAATGCCATCCTCACCACTGGCATTTGTGTGGATCTGGCAGCCTATGCCAAGGCTTGATTTGTTTCCATAGTCCAGAGCCTGAAAGAGTCTGCAAGTCTGAAGAAACCTCCAGATAAGAGAAGATTCATTGCTCTGCACCTCCTCCACAGACTTTACCCCGTTGACCAGTGAAATCCATCCAGGACCACTGAAGTCATTTCCTAAACTGAAAATCCATCTGCCTCAGAGATAAGTATGCCACCAACCAGCTTTAGTGCTAAATAGTAAGAGTGTGTGTGTGTGTGTGTGTGTGTGTGTGTGTTTCACCCAGTCACAGGTTGTCACGTTGTTTACTCAAACTTATCTAAATCTTTGGCCAGAATATACCCTTGATATGAGTGGGTTCACCTCCCTGAGAAGTTTGGAGCAGGACACAGGGGCCCAGAAAACATTTTAGAAATGAAAAATAAAAGGACAATTGATAAAATGGAGGAGAAATGGTGGGTTGACACAAAATTGATATTAAGTCGGCATGGTGACAAACACCGGTAGGACCAGCTACTCAGGAGGCCGAGGTGGGAGGATCACTTAAGCCTGGCAGGTCAAGGCTGCAGTGAGCCATGATTATGCCACTGCACTCCAACTGGGGTGACAGACCAAGATCCTGTCTCAAATTTAAATATATATATATATATATATATATATATATATATATATATAGCAATGCTAGAAGTGAGATTTCAAGATACAAGTTATGAAAATTATGAGGAAAGAAACCACGATGATAGCAGTGCAGTGGGTTGGGGGTCTTAAGAAGGAAGGCCAAGCTGGCACCCTCTTACTGCCTACAGGACAGGTCAGGGACACAGTGAAGGCTGGGCACCAGCTACTATGCTATCAGGTTCAGAGGCTGACTATAGGGGAGATAGAAAATGTTTTTATCAAGATCAGAAGGAAAATATTACAATGGACTCTGGCTTTGGAAAAATTTACGGTTCTCTACAGATAATTTAATTGGTTATCCTGAGCAGTCCATGCAGATTTCTGTCACTGGAGGGACTCAAAGGTGCCTAGTGGGTGACTAACCATACATTCTCTAAGAAATCTATCTTGTTTGGAGAAGACCATCAAGTGCTGGAGATAGGATTGTACAGTGAAAAGAGATACAGCCTGATCTTTTTTTTCCTTCATGTCATATTTTCTGGACAAGAAAGGATGAGAGCTAAAAGAACAATTTGTAAACCATCTAGGCAATGGGAGCTACATGCAAGGAGCAGGCTATTGAGAAAAGCAGTGACAGCAGGAAAGCAAAGGTCTTCCCTGTGCCAGGGCACACAAGCAGGACTCTCAAGCCTCCTGGAAACAGAGCCCCTTGGAGAGTTGGAGCCAGCAAGGCAGGGCAGAAGAATGAGCCTGAACACGAAGCTAAGCTAGCACGTGGCAAGAACTTGGTGCTTTAACTGCTTAGACAACAAACATATAGCCCTCTACCAGACCTACAGGATGTGATCCCCTTTCCCCTTCTTCACTCTCCCACAGAACTATCCCTCTTTGTCTCTTCTTTAAGGCCATGGTTCTCAAATGGTGTCACTATTTGCCACTAGGCACTATTAGTTATCAGAGAAGTGGAAAGTATTTTGTAGTTAGTATTAAAATACCTAAGCATTAAAATATATATTTTCTTAACTCAAAAGAGACCAGGGTTATTTCCACAATAACATCATTTTCACTCCCCTGCTCTATTAATCAGGTATTGTTGGTTGGAAAAGACAAAAATTTCACTCACACTAGCTTAAGCCAAAAAGAGGATTTATTTGAAGGTTATTGAATAGTCCAGTTACCATTACTGTGTAACATATTATCCCCAAACCTGGTAGGTTAAAGCGACCACTTTATCAACCATTTTATCATGCCTATGAATTATATGGGTTGGGAATTTGCATAGGACACAATGGGAATGGCTCTGCTCCATGATGTCTGGGGTCTCATCTGAGAGGATTCAATGGCTGACGGTGACTCACTGGTTGGGGGCTGGAATCATCTAAAGATTTATTCACTCACATGCCTGGGTGGCTGATGTTAACTGACCTCAGCTGGGGCTGTCAACCGGAGCATCTACACATGGCCTCTACATATGGCCTGAACTTCCTCACAGCATGTGAGTCTCACAATAATGGAGCATCTTACATGGTGGATCAGGGCTCCATGCAATTTTTCCAGCTAACAAAGTTGAAGTTGTATCACCTTTTATGACTTGTTTTTGGAAGACTCATAATGTCCCATCAGCTGTACTGTTTTGGTTACAAGCAAAACAAAGTCTATTCAGATAAAAGGGGAAAGGAAATATACCCTACCTCTCAGAGGAAGGGCATCAAAATCATTTTCAGACATGTTTTTAAACCATCACACTGGGCTGTCTTGTGTAACTGTGGGAACTAGGGACTCAAACTCTGCCAGCACCCTCTCCTTCTCTTTGCATGCTGACTTCTTTGGCTTCCTTCTTTCTTACTGCAGACTGGCTTCAACCAGAGAGCAGAGAGAAGACATCTAGAAATATATAGCACAGACATGACCCCTGGAGATCCCTCTTTATTTTCTTAGGCCATTGTCAGAGGGGAGATAGCCTTTATGAGATAAGCAGCATCTCCAAATGCCTCTGCAACATTTGTTATCCAATATGCTCTCTTGAGTGCAAGAGCAATGGTAAACTGACAGTCAGATACTGTGGAGTTACCAGTATCTTATATTTTATCATATATATGTTCACGTCAAATTCCAATGATTGGGAAAAGGAAAATAGTTGAAAGTTCTGCTTTTTGGCACCAACTGAATTTTACCCTGAATTATAATATGGATATGTCATTTCCTTCTCTAAACTTTGAGTGCCTTGAGGAGCATATGAAACTAATGCTCAATATATATTTGATTGAATTGAAGCATAAATGAGTATTCTAAGTGGATATAAATCCATTACTATTTAACATGATAGGAAACCCCAAGTTATACAGACAGTGAATGTGTCTAAGATTAAATAAAAATATATCAGTGTATACTGAAATATTTAGTATATTTGTTTATATCTTACTTAAGTGGTATTTTCTTCATTAATAAATATGTTAAGTGCACAAGTTTGATTAAAATACTTATTTAAGTTCACTTTTAGTAGCAAACACTAGCAACTTAGTAGTGACTCGGCACGGTTCCCGATTTTATTAAGGTAATCAGCCACCACTTTATGTCCAATTGAAAGGAGATAAATTCTCTCTGGAGAAAGATAATGTCAACATACATTCATCAAAATATTGTAACATATTAGGAAGAATTAAAAAGAAATTAATGCTAGAATTAAAAATGTAATATCTCAAAATTCAGAACACACTGGATGAATTCACAAAGGTGAACTCAAAGAGCAATAGAAAATATGACTAAAGTTCAAAGAGAAAAAAAACACAGCCTTAGGAAACAGAAATATAAGTCAATAGAAAATCCAAACTGAAGTACATAAAGAAAAAAGAAGATAGAAAAACACAGAAAAGATTATTAAAGAAATGTGGGAAATGGTGAGAATGCTCCCACATACATGGAGTTGGAGAGCAAAAAAGAGGATGAGACAGAAGCAATATGGGAAAAGATAACAGTCAAAATTTTTTCAAAGTGATGAAAGACAAACCCACAAATTCTACATGCACTACTAATACTTAAAAGAAACAAAGTCAAAGGAAAGTACACTTAGACACATCATTGTAAGACTCTTGGCAGGAGAGTGAGAGACAGAGAGAAATTAAGATATTAAGAATGGCTAGAAGGTAAAGATACATTACTTTCAAAGAATAAACAATAAGATGGGTATTTGATTTTGCCACCGAAATGACAGAAGTTTGAGGATAATGGAATGATTTTCAATTATGCCAGGAAAAAAAAGCAAATAAATAATGGCCAACCTAGAATTCTGAACCTTGAGAAAATATTCTTCAAAAATTAATATGAAATAAAAGTGGTTTGGGGCAAACTAAAAGTAGGAGGAATAGCCATCAATCCTGTATTTAAAGAAATAGAGAGAGAAAAGAGGCAGAAACAAACAGAATCCTTAATTGATTGTCTTCCCCACAGCAACACCAACCTGAACAACTATCCAAACAAAAAAGCACCTTCATAAGAACCAAAAATGAGCTTAGGTACCAGTTTGGCCGCAGTGAGATAGAGTATCAAACAAGCTCTTGGGGTTGCAAATTCCTAGCTTGGCTCTTAAACAGCATTTCTAAAGCTGTCCTGGGCCAGAGGGGAGTCTACTGCCCTGAAGGGAGAGTCCCAGACCTGGCAACCTTCACCATAAACTGACTGAAGAGAACCTGGGCCCTTAATGAACATCAGCAGTAGCCAGGCAGTACTTGCCATTGGTCTAGGGTGGTGGTGGCCATGGGAAGAAACTCCTGTTTGTGGAAAGCGGAAGGAAGAGTCAGAAGGACTTTGTCTTGCGGCTTGGATGCCAGCTTAACTCAGCCACAGTAGAATAGAGCATCATGTAGATTTCTAAGGTTTCTGACTCCAAGCCCTGTCTCCCAGACAGCACCTCTGGGCCTGCTGAAGACAAAGGGGAAATCATCACCTTGAAGGGAAGGACACAAGCCTGGTTGGCTTCACCACATACCGATGGTAGAGCCCTAGGCCCTTGAACGTACATTGGTGGTAGCCAGCCAGTGTTTTCCATGATCCTGGGATAAGACCAATTGCTATGCTGGCTTCACATCTCACGCCACGCAGCACAGTTCCATTGGTGATGGCCACAGGAGTGCTTGTATCATCCCTCCTCCAGCTCCAGGCAGCCCAGCACAGAGAGACTCTTTGTTTGGGAGAAAGTAAGGAAAGAGAACAAGAGATTCTGCCTGGTGGTCCACATAATTTTTCTGAACCTTATCCAAGGCCACCAAGGAGGTCCCTCTAGGAGGCTGAAAGAGCCATAGCATTGCTGGGCTTGGGGTGCCCCCTAAGGCAGATAAACTGCAGTGACCAAAGACTTAGGTCACAACACCAAAGTCTCTTTAATACCTGGAAAGCCTTCCAAATAAGAATGGGTACAAACAAGCACAGACTAAAAAGACCTCAATAAATACCTAACTCTTCAATTCCCCAACACTGACAAACATCCACAACCATCAAGACCATGTAGGAAAATACGACCTCACCAAATGAACTAAATAAAGCACCAGTGGCCTTTCAGACAGAGAATACGAAATGGCTGTTTTGAGAAAACTCAACAAAATTCAAGACTCACAGAGAAGGAATTCAGAATTCTATCAGATAAATTTAACAAAAATATTCAAATAATCAAAAAGAATCAAACATAAATTCTGGATCTGAAAAATGTAATTTGACACAATGAAGAATACATCAGAACCTTATAATAGCAGAATTGATAATGCAGAAGAAAGAATTAGTGAGCTTGAAGACAGCCTATTTGAAAATACACAGTCAGAGAAAACAAAATAAAAAAACATAAAAAAGCATGAACCATGCCTACAAGATCTAAAAAGTGGCCCCAAAAGGGCAAATCTAAGAGTTATTAGCTTAAAGAGGAGGTAGAGAGAAATAGGGGTAGAAAGTTTATTCAAAGAGATAACAACAGATAATTTCCCAAACCTAGAGAAAGATATCAATATTCAAGTACAAAAAGGTTACAGAACACAAAGCAGATTTAACTGAAAGAAGACTACCTCATGACATTTAATAATCAAACTCCCAAAGATCAAGGATAAAGAAAGGATCCTAAAAGTAGCAAGAGAAAAGAAACAACATACAATGAAGCTTCAAAACATCTGGCAACAGACTTTTCAGTGGAAACCCAGGCCAGGAAAGAGTGGCATGATATATTCAAAGTGCTGAAGGAAAAAAAAACTTTTATCCTAGAATAGTATATCCAGTGAAAATATCCTCCAAACATGAAGGAGAAATAAAGACTTTAACAGATAAACAAAAGCTGAGAGATTTCATCAACATCACACCTATCCTGTAAGAAACGCTGAAGAGAGTACTTCAATCAGAAAGAAAAGAACATTAATGAGCAATAAATAATCACCTGAAGGTACAAAACTCACTATTAATAGCAAGCTCAAAGAAAAACACAGAATATTATGACACTGTAATTGTGGTGTGTAAACTACTTTTATCCAAAGTAGAAAGATTAAACAATGAACCAATGAAAAATAATAACTACAACTTTTCAAGGCACAGTAGTACAGTAAGATATAAACAGAAACAACAAAAAGTTTTAAAGTTGGCAGATGAAGTTAAGGCGTAGAGTTTTTATTAGTTTTGGGGGATAAAGTTAAGGCATAGAGTTTTTAGGTATTTTCTCTTTGCTTATTTGTTTGTTTGTTTATGCAAATAGTGTTAAGTTGTTATCAGGTTAAAATAATGGGTTATAAGATAGGATTTGCAAACCTCGTGGTAACCTCAAACTGGAAAACATACAATGGATACACAAAAAATAAAAAGTGAGATACTAAATCATATCACCAGAGAAAATCACCTTCACTAGAGGAAGACAGGAAGGAAGGAAAGAAAGAAGGAAGAGAATACCACAAAACAACCAGAAAATAAATTTAAAAATGGCAGGAGTAAGTATTCAGTTATTAATAATAATATTGAATGTAAATAGATTAAGTTCTCCAATCAAAAGACGTAGACTGGCTGAATGAAAAAAAAGAAAAGACAAAACCCATTGATATGTTGCTTATAAGAAACACATTTCACCTATAAAGACACACATTGACTAAAAATAAAGGGATGGAAAAAGATATTCCACACCAATGGAAACTAAAAAAGAGCAGGGGTCAGCCAGGCACAGTGCCTCATGCCTGTAGTCCCAGCACTTTGGGAGGCCAAGGCAAGTGGATCACTTGAGCCCAGGAGTTCAAGACCAGCCTAGGCAACATAGCAAAATCCCATCTCTACAAAAAATACTAAAATTTGCTAGGTTTGGTTGTGCACACCTGTAGTCCCAGCTACTTGGGAGGCTGAGGTGGGAGAATCACTCGAGCCTGAAAGGTCAAGCCTGCAGTGAACTAAGCTCTCATCACTGCCCTACAGCTTGGGTAACAGAGTGAGACTCTGTCTTAAAAAATTAAGTAAATAAATAAAAGATCAGGAGTCACTATACTTACATCAGACAAATAGATTTCAAGACAAAAACCATAAGAAGAGACAAAGAAAGTAACTTTATAATGATAAAGAGGCCAATTCAGCAAGAGGATAGAACAATTTTAAATATATATACACCCAACACTGAAGCACCCAGATATATAAAGGAAATATTGTTAGAGCTAAAGAGACAGATAGGCCCCAGTACAAAATAGCTGGACACTTCAGCGCCCCACTTTCAGCATCTTTAAGAGAGAAAATCAACAAAGAAACATCAGATTTAATCTGCACAATTGGATTTAATAGATATTTACAAAACATTTCATCCAAGAGCTGCAGAATACATTCTTTTCCTCAGCACATAGATCTTCTTAAGGATAGGCCATATGTTAGGTCACAAAACAAGTCTTAAAACATTTTTAAAAATTGAAATAATGTCAAGCATCTTCTCTGACCACCGTGGAGTAAAGCTAGAAATCAATAACAAGAGGAATTTTGGAAACTATACAAATACATGGAAATTAAACAATGTGCTCTTGAATGACCAGTGGGTCAATGAATAAATTAAGAAAAAAACTGAGAATTTTTTTGAAACAAATGATAATGGAAACACAACATACCAAAACTTACGGGATACAGCAAAAGATGTACTCAGAAAGAAGCTTATAGTTACAAGTGCCTACATTTAAAAAGAGGAAAAACTTCAAATAAACCATCTAATGATGCGTCTTAAAGAACTAGAAAAGCAAGAGCAAACCAAACCCAAAACAAGCAGAAGAAAAAGCATAAAGACCAAAGCAGAAATAAATGGAATTGAAATGAAAAAAAATACAAATTATCAATGAAATAAGAAGGTGGTTTTTTGAAATGTGAAACAATATTGATGAACCTTTAACCAGACTAAGAAAAAAAGAGAAAATGGAGGGAGGAGCCAAGATGGCCAAATAGGAACAGCTCCTGTCTACAGCTCCCAGCGTGACCGACGCGGAAGACCGGTGATTTCTGCATTTCCATCTGAGGTACCGGGTTCAGCTCACTAGGGAGTGCCAGACAGTGGGCGCAGGCCAGTGGGTGCGCGCACGGTGCGCGAGCCGAAGCAGGGCGAGGCATTGCCTCACCTGGGAAGCCCAAGGGGTCAGGGAGATCCCTTTCCAAGTCAAAGAAAGGGGTGACAGACGCACCTGGAAAATCGGGTCACTCCCACCCGAATATTGCGCTTTTCAGACCGGCTTAAAAAACGGCGCACCACGAGACTATATCCCACGCCTGGCTCTGAGGGTCCTACGCCCACGGAATCTCGCTGATTTCTAGCACAGCAGTCTGTGATCAAACTGCAAGGCAGCAGCCAGGCTGGGGGAGGGGCGCCCACCATTGCCCAGGCTTGCTTAGGTAAACAAAGCAGCCTGGAAGCTCGAACTGGG
Source organism: Homo sapiens (assembly GCF_000001405.40). Lineage (NCBI taxonomy): Eukaryota > Metazoa > Chordata > Mammalia > Primates > Hominidae > Homo > Homo sapiens. Next base: position 135,659,104 of record NC_000003.12, read on the forward strand.
TGGAGCCCACCACAGCTCAAGGAGGCCTGCCTGCCTCTGTAGGCTCCACCTCTGGGGGCAGGGCACAGACAAACAAAAAGACAGCAGTAACCTCTGCAGACTTAAATGTCCCTGTCTGACAGCTTTGAAGAGAGCAGTGGTTCTCCCAGCACGCAGCTGGAGATCTGAGAACCAGCAGACTGCCTCTTCAAGTGGGTCCCTGACCCCTGACCCCCGAGCAGCCTAACTGGGAGGCACCCCCCAGCAGGGGCACACTGACACCTCACACGGCAGGATATTCCAACAGACCTGCAGCTGAGGGTCCTGTCTGTTAGAAGGAAAACTAACAAACAGAAAGGACATCCACACCAAAAACCCATCTGTACATCACCATCATCAAAGACCAAAAGTAGATAAAACCACAAACATGGGGAAAAAACAGAACAGAAAAACTGGAAGTTCTAAAAATCAGAGCACCTCTCCTCCTCCAAAGGAACGCAGCTCCTCACCAGCAACAGAACAAAGCTGGATGGAGAATGACTTTGACGAGCTGAGAGAAGTAGGCTTCAGACGATCAAATTACTCTGAGCTACGGGAGGACATTCAAACCAAAGGCAAAGAAGTTGAAAACTTTGAAAAAAATTTAGAAGAATGTATAACTAGAATAACCAATACAGAGAAGTGCTTAAAGGAGCTGATGGAGCTGAAAACCAAGGCTCGAGAACTACGTGAAGAATGCAGAAGCCTCAGGAGCCGATGCGATGTCAGCAATGGAAGATGAAATGAATGAAATGAAGCGAGAAGGGAAGTTTAGAGAAAAAAGAATAAAAAGAAATGAGCAAAGCCTCCAAGAAATATGGGACTATGTGAAAAGACCAAATCTACGTCTGATTGGTGTACCTGAAAGTGATGGGGAGAATGGAACCAAGTTGGAAAACACTCTGCAGGATATTATCCAGGAGAACTTCCCCAATCTAGCAAGGCAGGCCAACGTTCAGATTCAGGAAATACAGAGAACGCCACAAAGATACTCCTCGAGAAGAGCAACTCCAAGACACATAATTGTCAGATTCACCACAGTTGAAATGAAGGAAAAAATGTTAAGGGCAGCCACAGAGAAAGGTCGGGTTACCCTCAAAGGGAAGCCCATCAGACTAACAGCTGATCTCTCGGCAGAAACCCTACAAGCCAGAAGAGAGTGGTGGCCAATATTCAACATTCTTAAAGAAAAGAATTTTCAACCCAGAATTTCATATCCAGCCAAGCTAAGCTTCATAAGTGAAGGAGAAATAAAATACTTTACAGACAAGCAAATGCTGAGAGATTTTGTCACCACCAGGCCTGCCCTAAAAGAGCTCCTGAAGGAAGCGCTAAACATGGAAAGGAACAACCGGTACCAGCCGCTGCAAAATCATGCCAAAATGTAAAGACCATCGAGACTAGGAAGAAACTGCATCAACTAACGAGCAAAATCACCAGCTAACATCATAATGACAGGATCAAATTCACACATAACAATATTAACTTTAAATGTAAATGGACTAAATGCTCCAATTAAAAGACACAGACTGGCAAATTGGATAAAGAGTCAAGACCCATCAGTGTGCTGTATTCAGGAAACCCATCTCACATGCAGAGACACACATAGGCTCAAAATAAAAGGATGGAGGAAGATCTACCAAGCAAATGGAAAACAAAAAAAGGCAGGGGTTGCAATCCTAGTCTCTGATAAAACAGACTTTAAACCAACAAAGATCAAAAGAGACAAAGAAGGCCATTACATAATGGTAAAGGGATCAATTCAACAAGAAGAGCTAACTATCCTAAATATTTATGCACCCAATACAGGAGCACCCAGATTCATAAAGCAAGTCCTGAGTGACCTACAAAGAGACTTAGACTCCCACACAATAATAATGGGAGACTTTAACACCCCACTGTCAACATTAGACAGATCAACGAGACAGAAAGTCAACAAGGATACCCAGGAATTGAACTCAGCTCTGCACCAAGCGGACCTAATAGACATCTACAGAACTCTCCACCCCAAATCAACAGAATATACATTTTTTTCAGCACCACACCACACCTATTCCAAAATTGACCACATAGTTGGAAGTAAAGCTCTCCTCAGCAAATGTAAAAGAACAGAAATTATAACAAACTATCTCTCAGACCACAGTGCAATCAAACTAGAACTCAGGATTAAGAATCTCACTCAAAGCCGCTCAACTACATGGAAACTGAACAACCTGCTCCTGAATGACTACTGGGTACATAACGAAATGAAGGCAGAAATAAAGATGTTCTTTGAAACCAACGAGAACAAAGACACAACATACCAGAATCTCTGGGATGCATTCAAAGCAGTGTGTAGAGGGAAATTTATAGCACTAAATGCCCACAAGAGAAAGCAGGAAAGATCCAAAATTGACACCCTAACATCACAATTAAAAGAACTAGAAAAGCAAGAGTAAACACATTCAAAAGCTAGCAGAAGGCAAGAAATAACTAAAATCAGAGCAGAACTGAAGGAAATAGAGACACAAAAAACCCTTCAAAAAATCAATGAATCCAGGAGCTGGTTTTTTGAAAGGATCAACAAAATTGATAGACCACTAGCAAGACTAATAAAGAAAAAAAGAGAGAAGAATCAAATAGACACAATAAAAAATGATAAAGGGGATATCACCACCAATCCCACAGAAATACAAACTACCATCAGAGAATACTACAAACACCTCTATGCAAATAAACTAGAAAATCTAGAAGAAACGGATAAATTCCTCGACACATACACTCTCCCAAGACTAAACCAGGAAGAAGTTGAATCTCTGAATAGACCAATAACAGGAGCTGAAATTGTGGCAATAATCAATAGCTTACCAACCAAAAAGAGTCCAGGACCAGATGGATTCACAGCCGAATTCTACCAGAGGTACAAGGAGGAACTGGTACCATTCCTTCTGAAACTATTCCAATCAATAGAAAAAGAGGGAATCCTCCCTAACTCATTTTATGAGGCCAGCATCATTCTGATACCAAAGCCAGGCAGAGACACAACAAAAAAAGAGAATTTTAGACCTATATCCTTGATGAACATTGATGCAAAAATCCTCAATAAAATACTGGCAAACCGAATCCAGCAGCACATCAAAAAGCTTATCCACCATGATCAAGTGGGCTTCATCCCTGGGATGCAAGGCTGGTTCAATATACGCAAATCAATAAATGTAATCCAGCATATAAACAGAACCAAAGACAAAAACCACATGATTATCTCAATAGATGCAGAAAAAGCCTTTGACAAAATTCAACAACCCTTCATGCTAAAAACTCTCAATAAATTAGGTATTGATGGGACGTATTTTAAAATAATAAGAGCTATCTATGACAAACCCACAGCCAATATCATACTGAATGGGCAAAAACTGGAAGCATTCCCTTTGAAAACTGGCACAAGACAGGGATGCCCTCTCTCACCACTCCTATTCAACATAGTGTTGGAAGTTCTGGCCAGGGCAATTAGGCAGGAGAAGGAAATAAAGGGTATTCAATTAGGAAAAGAGGAAGTCAAATTGTCCCTGTTTGCAGATGACATGATTGTATATCTAGAAAACCCCAGCCCAAAATCTCCTTAAACTGATAAGCAACTTCAGCAAAGTCTCAGGATACAAAATCAATGTACAAAAATCACAAGCATTCTTATACACCAACAACAGACAAACAGAGAGCCAAATCATGAGTGAACTCCCATTCACAATTGCTTCAAAGAGAATAAAATACCTAGGAATCCAACTTACAAGGGATGTGAAGGACCTCTTCAAGCAGAACTACAAACCACTGCTCAAGGAAATAAAAGAGGATACAAACAAATGGAAGAACATTCCATGCTCATGGGTAGGAAGAATCAATATTGTGAAAATGGCCATACTGCCCAAGGTAATTTACAGATTCAATGCCATCCCCATCAAGCTACCAATGACTTTCTTCACAGAATTGGAAAAAACTACTTTAAAGTTCATATGGAACCAAAAAAGAGCCCGCATCGCCAAGTCAATCCTAAGCCAAAAGAACAAAGCTGGAGGCATCACACTACCTGACTTCAAACTTTACTACAAGGCTACAGTAACCAAAACAGCATGGTACTGGTACCAAAACAGAGATATAGATCAATGGAACAGAACAGAGCCCTCAGAAATAACACCGCATACCTACAACTGTCTGATCTTTGACAAACCTGAGAAAAACAAGCAATGGGGAAAGGATTCCCTATTTAATAAATGGTGCTGGGAAAACTGGCTAGCCATATGTAGAAAGCTGAAACTGGATCCCTTCCTTACACCTTATACAAAAATCAATTCAAGATGGATTAAAGATTTAAACGTTAGACCTAAAACCATAAAAACCCTAGAAGAAAACCTAGGCATTACCATTCAGGACATAGGCATGGGCAAGGACTTCATGTCTAAAACACCAAAAGCAATGGCAACAAAAGACAAAATTGACAAATGGGATCTAATTAAACTAAAGAGCTTCTGCACAGCAAAAGAAACTACCATCAGAGTGAACAGGCAACCTACAAAATGGGAGAAAATTTTCACAACCTACTCATCTGACAAAGGGCTAATATCCAGAATCTACAATGAACTCAACCAAATTTACAAGAAAAAAACAAACAACCCCATCAAAAAGTGGGCAAAGGACATGAACAGACACTTCTCAAAAGAAGACATTTATGCAGCCAAAAAACACATGAAAAAATGCTCATCATCACGGGCCATCAGAGAAATGCAAATCAAAACCACAATGAGATACCATCTCACACCAGTTAGAATGGCAATCATTAAAAAGTCAGGAAACAACAGGTGCTGGAGAGGATATGGAGAAATAGGAACAGTTTTACATTGTTGGTGGGACTGTAGACTAGTTCAACCATTGTGGAAGTCAGTGTGGCGATTCCTCAGGGATCTAGAATTAGAAATACCATTTGACCCAGCCATCCCATTACTGGGTATATACCCAAATGACTATAAATCATGCTGCTATAAAGACACATGCACACGTATGTTTATTGCGGCATTATTCACAATAGCAAAGACTTGGAACCAACCCAAATGTCCAACGATGATAGACTGGATTAAGAAAATGTGGCACATATACACCATGGAATACTATGCAGCCATAAAAAATGATGAGTTCATGTCCTTTGTAGGGACATGGATGAAATTGGAAATCATCATTCTCAGTAAACTATCGCAAGAACAAAAAACCAAACACCGCATATTCTCACTCATAGGTGGGAATTGAACAATGAGATCACATGGACACAGGAAAGGGAATATCACACTCTGGGACTGTGGTGGGGTGGGGGGAGGGGGGAGGGATAGCATTGGGAGATATACCTAATGCTAGATGACGAGTTAGTGGGTGCAGCGCAGCAGCATGGCACATGTATACAGATGTAACTAACCTGCACAATGTGCACATGTACCCTAAAACTTAAAGTGTAATAAAAAAAGAAAATAAAAAAAATAAAAATAAAAATAAAAAAAAATAAAAATAAAAAGAGAAAATATCCAAATAAATAAAATCAGAGATGAAAAGGCAGACATTCCAACCAATATTGCAGAAATTCAAAAGATCATTAGAGGCTAGTATGAGCAACCATATGCCAATAAATTGGAAAATCTGGAAGAAATAGATAAACTCCTAGACACATACAACCTACAAAGATTGAACCTCAAAGAAATCCAAAACCTGAATAGACCAATAGCAAGTAACCAGATCAAAGCCATAATTAAAATTTTCCCACTAAAGAAAAGCCAGGGACATGATGGCTTCACTGCTGAATTTTGGTAAACATTTAAAGAACTAACACCAATCCTACTCAAACTGTTCCAAAAAATAGAGGCAAAGGGAATACTTTTAAACTCATTCCACGAGTCCAGTATTACCCTGATACCAAAACCGGACAGACACATCAAAAAAAAAATACTGTAAGCCAATATCCCTGACAAACATTGATGCAAAAATCTTCAACAAAATACTAGCAAACTAAGTTCAACAATATATTAGAAAGATTATTCATTGTGACCCAGTGGTATTTATCCCTGGGATGCAAGGATGGTTCGACATACACAAATCAAACAACATCATACATTATACCAAAAGAGTGAAAGAGAAAAACCATATGATCGTTTCAATTGATGCTGAAAAAGCATTTGATAAAATTCAACATCCCTTCATGATAAAAACCTCAAAAAACTGGGTATTTAAGTATTATTCCTCAACATAATAAACACCATATATGACAGACCCACAGCTGGTATCATACTGAATGGGGAAAAACCAAAAGCCTTTACTGTAAGATATGAAAGACAATTAGGATGCCCACTTTCACCACTGTTGTTCAACACAGCACTCGAAGTTCTAGCTAGAGTAATCAGTCAAAAGAAAGAAATAATTAGAAAGGAAGAAGTCAAAGTACCCTTGTTTGCAGATAATATGATTTTATATTCGGAAAAACCTGAAGACGCCACCAAAACAATATTAGAACTGATAAGTTCAGTAAAGTTGCAGAATACAACATCAACATCCAAAAATCAGTAGCATTTCTATAGGCCAACAGTGAACAATGTGAAAAAGAAATCAAAAAAGTAATCCCATTTACAATAGCTACAAATAAAATATTTCTGAATTAATTTACCATAGAAGTCAAAGATCTCTACAATGAAAATTACTAAACATTGATAAAAGAGATTGAAGAGGACACCAAAAAAATATAAATATATCCCATATTCATGGATTGGAAGAATCAATATTGTTAAAATGTCCGTACTACCCAAAGCAATCTACAGATTCAATGCAATCCCTATCAAAATACCAACAACATTCTTTACAGAAATAGAAAAAACAATCATAAAATTTGTATGGAACCACCAAAGACCCAGCCAAAGCTATCCTGAGCAAAGAAATAAAAACTAGAGGAATCACGTTATCTGACTTCAAATTACACAACAGAGCTATAGTAATAGAAACAGCATGGTATTGGCATAAAAACAGACACATAGACCATTGGAGCAGAATAGAGAACCCAGAAACAAATCCATACATCTACAGTTAACTCATTTTTGACACAGGTGCCAAGAACAAACATTAAGAAAGGGACAATGTCTTCAATAAATGGTGTTGGGAAAACTGGATATCCATATGCAGAAGAACGAAACTACACCCCTCTTTCACCATATGCAAAAAAACAAATCAAAACTAATTGAAGATTTAAATCTAAGATCTTAAACTATGAAATCACTAAAAGAAAGGATTGGGGAAATGCTACCACAAGTTGGACTGGGCAAACTCAGGTAACCAAAGCAAAAATGGACAAATGGGATCACATCAAGTTTAACAGTTTCTGCACAGCAAAGGAAACACAAGTGAAGGAAAAATGCACAGAGCGGGAGAAAACATTTGCAAACTATCCATCTGACAAGGAATTGCTAACCAGAATATGTGAAGAGCTCAAACAACTCATAGGAAAAAAATCTAATAGACCAATGAATAAATGGACAAAGATCTGAATAGACATTTCTCAAAAGAAGATACACAAATGCCAAACAGGAACATGAAAAGGTGCTCAATATCATGGATCATCTGAGAAACGCATGCATGTCAATCCCAATACAGTCATTTCTTTAAGTTTGCTACTTTGTTTGATGTTCATAACAGTCATTAAGTCGTCAAGAGAAAATCTTGAATGATGTTTATAAAAATTGTTTACTAACAAAGTGTGTCAATTCAGATTCCCTGTGAAAGAGACACCAAGATGAAATTAGACATGTTGAAGATTTACTAAGGGATGTACTTGCGAAGGATAAAAGGGAAGAGGAGCAGAAGAAGGCATGAGAAGTTTCAGACCATGATATAGGTCTAGCACCTGTGTAAGGAAAGAAGGAAGGAAGTACTGGGTTAGAAAAGTCACAGACCACAGCACATTTCTGAGAAAATTTCTAGCAGTCTAACAGGGAGTCTCCAAGCAAAGCTGTCCTTCAGAGGAATCTCAAGTTGCACAGGAACGAGCTGGCACTATGGTACAATTCCATGTTGGACAGGAGGGAGTCTGCCAAGCTCATTTGTTGGCTAGGAGCTGTGCAGAGGAAGCATCAATTCAGCACCCATGGGGGCAGCAGCTGGAGGCTGTCAATCAACTGTGCCCTCTGTAGTAAGTTCACTTGAGAAAAAATTCTGAATGGTGTGTCCCATGGCCACCACAGTTAAACCCTTAACCACACAGATTCACTTCCCCACTCATTTTCAAGGAGCAGTTACTCTATGCTCCCCTTGGATTTCTCTTTATATGAGAAAACTTAAAAGGGTGAGGTTAGTGGAATGAACCATAGGCCCCAATGCTGCAGTTGATCTCAAGGCCATAACTAATACTCATCCTCTCCCTCCTACACTATGCATTCTAAAATCCCCTTATCCTCAACTATTGCCTTGGCAAGCTTGGTGGCTTACATGATAGTATGACACAAATCATCATTCTAAAGAAATCTGAATCACTGGTAGTCATTCCCTTGTCAAGCTAGAGTTGCTTCACATGTCCACTCACAGTTACAATTGGACAAGGGAGTACCAATCAGGAAGCACCTAAGTAAGTCGCCTTGGTTCCACAAGCATTCCTCCTTGTCCCAGTTTTGTAAAGGCAGTCTTCCTGCCAATCAGGGTCAATTACTTCTGCCAATGGACTTCTTTTCCTGCCTGCTGGTCCCTGGGTACATGGAGTCCAAAGTGCCCTAGCTACAGCATAATTTGTTTAATGGGATACTTACCCTCTCTCCTGACAAGAGGGCACTTTCATTTGGAAAAAAGGCCTCCAATCCTGCAGTGCCCATAGTTTCAGGGATGGAAAGCACAAAATTCCCAGTGGGTTGTTGAGAGTGGTGCTAAGTGGGACTACTCCTGCTTTTGAGTCTTGTTTCCTGGACATATATATCCTTCTTATTTAGCACACAGCACCAAATAGAGGTCTGACTGAATACACAAACTACATGTTGAAGGTAGGCACCCCATCTATTCTGACTGCTGCCTCTGCATTCATGAGGGCAGCAGCTGGAAGCTGTCAGTCAATTCTCCTCCCGTTCAGCAGGTATTCTTTTATTTTTTTTTTTATTTCAAGCGTGACTTATATTATGGACAGTGGCAAACATCTTCTTGAAAAGAACACTGATCAAAGGAAAGATTCTTGTGGTTCTCTGTCAGATTCTTTTTACTCCCACCCTTACCCCAGTTCTAGCTGAGATCCCTGGGAAAGCCAAGCTCAACAAAATCACTACTCTAGCAGAAGACCAATGGTATTTCAGGGATGGCATGAGTTTGTCTCTTTTTTGGTCCATTTTCCCATATTATTGTGGTCCCACACTACCTGTGCAGCCTCCAAGATGCACACTGATATTCACATTGGTATTTTTCTGGTTCCCATCAGTCTTCCCTGCTCTTTGACCATCTGGTTCCCTTCAGATCCTACTTCTCTTTTATTTATTTATTTTTTATTATTATTATTATTATACTTTAAGTTTTAGGGTACATGTGCACAATGTACAGGTTAGTTACATATGTATACATGTGCCATGCTGCTGTGCTGCACCCATTAACTCATCATTTAGTATTAGGTATTATCTCCTAATGCTATCCCTCCCCCGTCCCCACACCCTACAACAGTCCCCAGAGTGTGATGTTCCCCTTCCTGGGTCCATGTGTTCTCATTGTTCAATTCCCATCTATGAGTGAGAACATGCAGTGTTTGGTTTTTTGTCCTTGCGATAGTTTACTGAGAATGATGATTTCCAATTTCATCCATGTCCCTACAAAGGACATGAACTCATCATTTTTTATGGCTGCAAGTATTCCATGGTGTATATGTGCCACATTTTCTTAATCCAGTCTATCATTGTTGGACATTTGGGTTGGTTCCAAGTCTTTGCTATTGTGAATAGTGCCACAATAAACATACGTGTGCATGTGTCTTTATAGCAGCATGATTTATTCTTGAAAGGGATCCAAGTGGTGCACCTCCATAACCACCACCACAGCCAAGAAAGGGCCAAAAGTGTTGTAGAATGGTTTCTAGGCAAACAGCTCAACTTTAACTATTTCCACAGTTGTTCCATAACAAATCACTCCAAATTTTAGTGGGTTAAAACAAACACCATTTTATTATATCTAATTATTTTGAAGAGTAGGGATTTGGGCAGGGTTTGCTGGGTAACCCTTCTGCTGCACAAGGCATTGTCATACACTTAGTGGTATCAGCTAGTAGATGGACTGGTCTGGAGGGTCCAAGACATTTTCACTCACAGGCCTGGCACCTTGCTTGGTGTGCATGGAAGGAAAGCTGGGCTGAGTTATAACTATTAATCTAAGGGTCTACATGTGGATAGTCCAACACAGCAGCTCCAGAGTAGCAAGACTTCTTACGTGGAGGCTCACTACTCCAGGGAACAAGGCAGAGGCTGCACAGCCTTTTCTGAGCTAGCCTCAAAAGTCACAGAACATCGCTGCCACCGCACTCTATAGATCAAAGCAGTCAGCCTAAAAAGGGGGGAACACAGAACTATGTAGAATGGGAGCAGGGCCAAAAATGGGTGCCCATATTTTAAACACATTAAAAGGATGAAATTTTAGTAAATTAGAAGAACTGCTTACTCAAAGCACCTCAATTGCCAACATTGCCAGTAATAAAGTGTGTCACCGTAATCTAAAATATCTATAATTACACAAGGGAATAACAAAAATATCTGTTCAATTAATGCATGAATAAATGTTTATTACAATCGGAAGACAAGGGAATAAACCAGCTGGAGACACTGATGCCTGCCTCTTTCATGACAAGAAACCCTCTTCCACCATTCCCCTAGTCCCTTGAGCAAAGGAAAGACTGTCATGGCTGCCACGCTCTCCCTCCTCCCACTCCCAGCCTCACCATATTTATCGCTTTGTAAGGCAGAGCTGCAGGGTTTGCTCACAGTTGTGGCCCCTCTGGTCTGGCCGTACACTCAGAGCCTCACTGCTTCTGTTAACTGTGAGCAGTCCCCAGTGTGTGCACAGCCCAAACACACCTGAGGTCACATGTACTGGAATACAGCTTGCGGCTCTGATTCCCAGTCCTCCTCAAGACAGGGTGCAGTCCTCAGTTCTCCCAACTATTGTTTTTGAATTGTTATTCTTGGCCCCATGGCTTATTTTCCTCATTGCCCCCCTGAGGACAAATGTCACACAGCAGGCCTCACCCACATTAATCCTTTCATTTGTTTAGCAAATAGTTATTGATCATCTGCTACATATCAAGCCCTCTGCTATATGCTGGGGACACAAGGGTAAACAAATCATCACCTGTACTCTCAAGAAACTTGCATTGTAGTCACTGTTTAACATATAAACAGTAATTACAATACTGTTAGTTAATATCCAGAGACCATGTGTAAGATGTCTCTGAAGTGATTTGGCACCTTACAAGCCAAAAGAAGAAGAAACAATGAACACCCCAGTCGTCTGTGTGCTCAACTCCTCCTCCAGGCTTGGAGGCCAGTCCCCACATCAGCTCAGTACCCAGCAAGTGGGACTCCCATGCAGACGATGCCTGGGCTTCCCTCCCTATTCGGGGTGGGATAATAGCCCAACATGCTGTCTGCCTCAGTCTCTGAGCCAGGCCATGTTCTAGCCACCAGGACACGCACACTGGCCTTTGCAGGTTCTCCATCCTCACCACCCCTTGTTGGGATGTTGGGGCATCATCCTAAGTGTGTCCCAGATTTATGAAGCTACAAAGGTGGCCCAGTGTTGAAGCAGAGCACATACACATGGTTTTGTTTTATTTGTTTGTTTGTTTGTTTGATTTTTAGAGACAGAGACTTACTCTGTCACCCAGGCTGGAGTGCAGTGGCACGAGCTTGGCTCACTGCAACCTCCACCTCCTGGGTTCACATGGTTTGACTCTAGCTCTCAAATTTCATGGTGTGCAGTGCTGACCAGTTTCCTTAACTTGTTGTGTCTTAGTTTCCACATCTGTGAAAATAGAACTAATGTTTACTTGTGGGATGTTAGGTTTAAATTAGATTAGTGCTGTGGCACACATGGACCCCAACAAGTGGTAAATATTATTCATTTTACATCAATGACTAGGACGGTCAAATTTAGCAAATAAAAATACAGGTGGCCCAGTTAAATTTAAATTTCAAATGAACAACTAATTTTTTAATGTATGTTTCATGCAACATTTGGGACACATTTATACTAAAGTATTATTTTTTACTTGAAATTTAACTTTTTTATTAAGTTATAGTTGACAGATAAAATTGTGTATATTTATATTGTACACTGTGATATTTTGATCGATGATAGATAGATTGTAAAGTGGTTAAATCAAACTAATTAATATCCATCATCTCACATACTAATCATTTTTTGTGGTGAGAACACTTAAGATCCACTGTTTTAGCAATTTTCAAGTATACGATACGTTACTAGAGTCATCACGCTGTACAATAAATCTCCTGAATTTTTTCCTCTTGTCTAACTGAAACTTTGTAGCCTTTGACCAATATCTCCCTAGACCCCCTCCCTGGTAACAGTCCCTGGTAACTACCCTGTATTTTCTGCTTGAATTAGTTCAATATTTTCAGATTCCACATACAATTGAGATCATGCAATATTTGTCTTTCTGTGCTGGCCTATTCACGAAGCATAATGTCTTTTAGGTTCATCCATGTTATCACAAATGACAGAATTTCCTTCATTTTTAGGGCTGAATGGCATTGCACATATATACATACACACTGTGTGTGTGTATACATATATGTGTGTGTATACATAGACATACATGTATATATACATAAATACCATAGTGCTTTTTGGTTATGAATTCTTTTATATACCATAGTTTCTGCGTATATTCTTCCATTGACAGACACCTAGGCTGATTCCACATCTTGGCTATTACGACGAACAGGGGAGTGCAGCTACGTCTTTGAGGAACTGCTTTAATTTCCTTTGGATATATTCCCAGAAGAGGGACTGCTGGGTCATATGGTAGTTCCATTTTTAATTTTTTGAGGAACCTCCATAGTGTTTTCCATAGTGGCTGTACTAATTTACATTCCCACCAACAGTGTGCAAGGGTTTTATTTTCTCCATACTCTCACCAACACTTCTCTTTCATCTTTTTGAGAGAAAATTAAACTTTAACTGGGAATCCTATATTTTATCTAGTAACTCTATTTAATGATAATCTTGCTTTAGCTTAGCTACACAGTAACCTATGTGGAGTATTTAAAATCGTCTTACTGATAAAGAAACTGAGATTCAGTGGCACTTAATAACTTGTCCAAAATCACGTTGGTAATGAAGGGCAGAGCAGGATTCAGAATTGAGCCTCATGAATACCTCTTGTCCCTGCACTACTAGTGAGCCTCAGTTTCCCTTCTGGCCCAGGAAACCAATCATCCTCACAGAAAATCAGCTTTAGTGTGCTATATATAACAGGCCTTTGCTCTGTGGAACCAGGATGGCTGTAAAGTGTTACTGGGAAAGCAGCCCAGAAGTGGAGACTGATATACTTCCCACCAGGGCAGCTTCCTCATGGATGCCACAGAATGTTACAGGTGAAAGCCAAGGTTAATGCAGCCAGGGCAGATGGGCCTTTGCTGGTGCCTCTGCCCCAGCCACATCCACACAGAGAGCTCACGATGTGCAGGCCACAGAGGCAGCCTTGGAAACAAGCACCAGAAAATTCATAGCCCAGGCCTTTCTGGATCTGTCTGCCAGGAATTGTACTGAATCTGCCTCCCTCCCACCCCTGCAATATCTTCCAGCAGAATTCAGAGGGCCCTGGAGAAGCCAATGGTACCTGCTGAAGGGGTTGACAATCGATGCTGGGTAGAAGGGATACCCCACATGGGAAGATGAGAAAGTGACCTTTGGGATCCCAAGTGTACCACTTCCTGGGAAGAGGCTATAGGATACAAGACATGAAAAACAAACACCAGACTTCCTTCTCACCAGTGTGTAAAGGAATGTATTTGTCCTCTTTTCTCCCTCTAGATTCTGACCTTCAAGAAGTCTGCCTCTTTGATAGATCTTCTCTGTCTGGCTTTACTGGGGTCACCTTCCTTACATGGTAAGTCATGAGTGTGAGTCTTCTAGAAGGAAAGAGGTGGTCAGTGTGGGCTGGAGAGGTCAGGGCAGATGCACACGCTTGGTCCTAGGGCCTGTGTCTGCTTCAGGACACAGTGGGGATGAGGAGAGGAGAAAGCACAAGTGGGAGGCTCACAGTAAGTATGTTTGTATGGAGGTGGTGGGAAGAAAACGTCCGGCTCCAGGGGAACAGTCAAATACCAGACAGGCTGAGGGGACTCAGGAAGTCAGGCTGAAGGTCGGTCCCGGAGTCCACTCCTTCAGGCAACCCTGCCCTCCCTGAAGCCTCTCCAGGAACACAAAGGGGTATCTTCCACATAGACCTCAGGTCAGCTTCATTCACCACTTAGCCAAACAGGCCAGGGAGCAAGTTATGCTGGGGACCCAGGTGTGCATTGCTCCCCAGAGGTAAGAACTGGCTTGACATTCCTGATCCCCTGTCTCAGTCCATTTTGTGCTAGGTAATGTGTAAAAAAACAGAAATTTATGTTTCACAGTCTGAAGGCTAGGAAATTCAAGATCAAGGTGTCAGCATCTGGTGAGGGCCTTCTTCCTGCGTCCTGACATAGCGGAAGGTGGAAGGGAAAGCAGGGGACCAACCCTGTGTGCTCACATGGCAGAAGGGAGAGAACCCACTCCCACAAGCCCTTTTGGAGCAGCATGAATCTATTCATGCTTTCATCACCTAAATTCCTCCCATTAGGCGCCACCCCCAACACTGTTGCATTGAGGATTAAATTTCCAACACATGAATTTTGGGGGACACATTCAGACCATAGAATCCCCCTTTTCCTGATAATAGCACTAATCTCATGCCTGTAGTCATCATCACCTCTGCATTGTATAATGTTTGTCAAGCACTCAGTTATACCATAATACTATTTGGTAGAGGGTATTGGAAACTGAGCCTACCTGGGGAGATGACAAAAATAAGTGTAGATGAATCACAAATCTACCTACATTTTATTCATATATTAAAGACATCTAACCTTTGTATTTCCTTCAATGGTAGCTTTTGGAGGTCCTCCCCAGGGGTAGTTGGGGTTCTGGTTGTCACAATGCCTGGGGGGTGCCACCAGCACTTAATGCCGGAGGCTGGGAATGCTAAATGTCCTGCAATTCCTGGAACAGTCCTGCACAAGGAAGAACTGCATGGCCCAAAGGCTGATAGCATCTTCTTGGAGAAACACTTTCTAATCTCCTACAAGTTCTCCTCACTATGGGGTGGTGGGGGCTATTGTGGGAGAGACCAGGAGAAACCAAACTCAAAATTGGCCAATTCACGGTTTTTTTCACCTTCTGTTCCACTTTACAGTCTCTTTTGGATGATTCAGTGTTTTGGGAGTACATATTCCATTTTTAACATTTCTTCCCCTCCCCTTTCTCTTCTCCAAAATGGTATTAGTGTATATGAGGGCAGGGCGTATTCACTCTGTGGATGTGGGAGAGAGGAGATGGTCTACCTGAATATGTGTGAAGAGACTCAGCGTACTTGCATGTCTGAACATGTCTTTATGTTGCTCTTACACTTGAATGTGGCTAAGTTGCATATGTCTGTATTTGCATATGTCCCCCAAAATCCTACCCTAAGACAAGGATGTGAGTGGAGGTAGTTTATTTGTGAGGCTATCCCAGGAAACAGGAATAAGGATGGTGGGTACTCAGACAGAAAAGAAGGAAAGTCAGTCTAAGAGTGTGATTAAGGAAGCTCCCACAAGCTGGAGGCTTCATTCTTCTAGGACCACCTGAAAAGTATGTGGAATGTCCTTCTCAAATTGTCCTCCTGAAGGACACAAATCTAGGGTGGTTTTCCACCAGCTCCTGTCACCAACTGGATGAGAGTTAGAGGGTTTCTCAAGGGCATTAACTAACCCCCCTCTTCAGGGTGGTCATCCGAGAGATAAGGAGGGAGGTTGTTACAAGGAGATGAGTGAGCTCCTGTGGAAACGTCCACAGAGGTGAGCCAAGGGATGACATGGGTACCATCTGCACAATATAGAGTTGGAACTTCCAAATGATTTCCCTTTAGAAACTAGAGGATATGATTCATTCACTTTGAGCTTCCAGGATTAGCAAAGAACTCTAATGCCCATTGATTCCTATTCCTTTATAGGTAAACTTGTTTTTCTCTCTGGAAGATTTTAGTATTTTCTTTCATTCTTGAGGTTCTGCAATTTCACCAGTATGTATTCAGCTATGATTTTTGGTCATTCATTTTGTGTGTCTCTCTGTGACCCTTTTCAATTTAAAAACTTGTGAGGTTTTTTTCAGGTCTACATTTTCTCATATTTTCCTATTTCCCCTCTTCCATGCTCTCAGGGCTCTCCCTTTTTTCTTTTCTTTTCTTTTTTTCTCTCCTGTTCGTGAGTTCATTCTTTATCATGTAAGCCAAAAATAAAATACTAAGTCCCCCACCCCCCAACCATCTAAATGGACTTTCTCCTCAGCCAGGGTGCTCTTTTAAAATTTAACCTGAGAGACTGGTTCAGGCCATGATGGGAAGTGGGGGTCAGATGTGCCTCATTATACCTCTCCAGCATTAACCTCAACACAGACTTCAAGTTTGATAAGAAGCACTTTACAGCCTATTCTCTCTGAAGCCTACTACCTGAAGGCTTCCTCTGCAAATAAGAACTTTGGTATCCACAACCTCTTGTCTTAACCCAGACATACCTTTCTATTTCTCCCAGGTCTTCAGATAAACTCAATCAATTGTCAACCAGAAAATTTTTAAATCTACCTACATGCTAGAAGCAACCCCCCATCTCCCACTTCAAGTTGTCCCACCTTTCTGGACCAAACCAATGTATTTCTTAAATGTAATTGATTGAAGTCTCATGTCTCCCTAAAATGTATAAAACCAAGCTGCACCTCAACCACCTTGGGCTCATGTTCTCAGGCTCTCCTGAGGGCTGTGTCACAGGCCATGGTCACTCATATTGGGCTCAGAATAAATCTCTTCAAATATTTTACAGAGTTTGACTCTTTTTATCGACAGTCCATATCCATTCTGCTATTGAGGGTATCTATTTAATGTTCAAAAACATTTTGTGTTCCTGGAATCCTAACTGACCCTTTCTTTTTTTTTTATTTTATTATTATTATACTTTAAGTTTTAGGGTACATGTGCACAATGTGCAGGTTTGTTACATATGTATACATGTGCCATGTTGGTGTGCTGCACCCATTAACTCATCATTTAGCATTAGGTATATCTCCTAATGCTATCCCTCCCCCCTCCCCCCACCCCACAACAGTCCCCAGAGTGTGATGTTCCCCTTCCTGTGTCCATGTGTTCTCATTGTTCAATTCCCACCTATGAGTGAGAACATGCAGTGTTTGGTTTTTTGTCCTTGCAATAATTTGCTGAGAATGATTTCCAGCTTCATCCTTGTCCCTACGAAGGACATGAACTCATCCTTTTTTATGGCTGCATAGTATTCCATGGTGTATATGTGCCACATTTTCTTAATCCAGTCTATCGTTGTTGGACATTTGGGTTGGTTCCAAGTCTTTGCTATTGTGAATAGTGCCACAATAAACATATGTGTGCATGTGTCTTTATAGCAGCATGATTTACATTCCTTTGGGTATATACCCAGTAATGGGATTGCTGGGTCAAATGGTATTTCTAGTTCTAGAACCTTGAGGAATCGCCATACTGACTTCCACAATGGTTGAACTAGTTTACAGTCCTACCAACAGTGTAAAAGTGTTCCTATTTCTCCACATCCTCTCCAGCACCTGTTGTTTCCTGACTTTTTAATGATCGCCATTGTAACTGGTGTGAGATGGTATCTCATTGTGATTTTGATTTGCATTTCTCTGATGGCCAGTGATGAACAGCATTTTCTCATGTGTTTTTTGGCTGCATAAATGTCTTCTTTTGAGAAGTGTCTGTTCATATCCTTCGTCCACTTTTTGATGGGGTTGTTTTTTTCTTGTAAATTTGTTTGAGTTCATTGTAGATTCTGGATATTAGTCCTTTGTCAGATGAGTAGGTTGCGAAAATTTTCTCCCATTTTGTAGGTTGCCTGTTCACTCTGATGGTAGTTTCTTTTGCTGTGCAGAAGCTCTTTAGTTTAATGAGATCCCATTTGTCAATTTTGTCTTTTGTTGCCATTGCTTTTGGTGTTTTAGACATGAAGTCCTTGCTGATGCCTATGTCCTGAATGGTATTGCCTAGGTTTTCTTCTAGGGTTTTTATGGTTTTAGGTCTAACATGTAAGTCTTTAATCCATCTTGAATTAATTTTTGTATAAGGTGTAAGGAAGGGATCCAGTTTCAGCTTTCTACATATGGCTAGCCAGTTTTCCCAGCACCATTTATTAAATAGGGAATCCTTTCCCCATTGCTTGTTTTTCTCAGGTTTGTCAAAGATCAGATGGTTGTAGATATGCGGCATTATTTCTGAGGGCTCTGTTCTGTTCCATTGATCTATATCTCTGTTTTGGTACCAGTACCATGCTGTTTTGGTTACTGTAGCCTTGTAGTATAGTTTGAAGTCAGGTAGCATGATGCCTCCAGCTTTGTTCTTTTGGCTTAGGATTGACTTGGCGATGCGGGCTCTTTTTTGGTTCCATATGAACTTTAAAGTAGTTTTTTCCAATTCTGTGAAGAAAGTCATTGGTAGCTTGATGGGGATGGCATTGAATCCATAAATTACCTTGGGCAGTATGGCCATTTTCACGATATTGATTCTTCCTACCCATGAGCGTGGAATGTTCTTCCATTTGTTTGTATCCTCTTTTATTTCATTGAGCAGTGGTTTGTAGTTCTCCTTGAAGAGGTCCTCCACGTCCCTTGTAAGTTGGATTCCTAGATATTTTATTCTCTTTGAAGCAATTGTGAATGGGAGTTTACTCATGATTTGGCTCTCTGTTTGTCTGTTATTGGTGTATAAGCATGCTTGTGATTTTTGTACATTGATTTTGTATCCTGAGACTTTGCTGAAGTTGTTTATCAGCTTAAGGAGATTTTGGGCTGAGACAATGGGGTTTTCTAGATATACAAGCATGTCATCTGCAAACAGGGACAATTTGACTTCCTCTTTTCCTAATTGAATACCCTTTATTTCCTTCTCCTGCCTAATTGCCCTGGCCCTAACTGACCCTTTCATACCACTTGTCTTAACTGATGGTGTGCCAGCCCCTCATAACTGAACTTTATGCTGATCTTAAAGTTATTTTTCTCTTTCCATGAACACTCGCCATTTTATTTGTTGATTTTGGTCCTTCTTTTTAATGTTTGTTTTCTTTAAATGTTTGGATATTCTTAACTATTGTTTGCATTTGAATTGGAAATTCCTGTTTGCCTGAGTGAAAGTACTGGTTCCAGCTGCCTTTGGTGACTTGGGGCGGGACGGGAGGGAGAGGGACAGGAAAGTGGAGAGTAAGGTGTGCAAGGAAGTAGCTTGCCTCCTGAGAAGGGGGGCTCCCGGCTCTCCCCTTCTCACAGGGTTGTAAGTCATCTGGAGTCATTTCTCTCCTTCTCTGGCCCAACTGTCCATTTGAGTTTCCTGGGTCAGGACTCCTGCTTCAGACAGCTGTGCTCAGAGTTTATTCTACGGGCAAATGCATGAATCAGCCATCCTCATTTTCTGTTTTCCTTGGCTGTCTGGAGTTACTTCCGGCTCTGTTCTGCCTCTCTGGGTTGTTTCTTCCCATCTGGGGGATTTATCCTGGGTCCAAACATCACCCCTGCTCTCTGCTCAGTAGGTGTGAGGAGGGACAGGGGCCTAGTGGGTTCAGCTGTTCCAAATACAAAGCCTTAGTAATTAACCTGATGATTGTCCAAAAGCCCCTTCTGCTTTCTCGACTTGTTGAGTCTGAGCTTAAAATATTTCTGGAATTTCTATTACTTCTGCTGTAGCTTTCTATTGTCTATGTTTGGGATTATGTTTTTGTTTTTTGTTTTTTTTTCTCTTCTGCCCTTATGTTTCTGCAATCTGATCCCATCTGCTTCCTATCTTCCAGGAATTTTTTCAAAATCTGTCTAAGGATAGTTACCTTTCTTGTTTCATAGGGCCATCATGGATTCCTTTACATCCTCCTCCTTTCATCCATTTATCTTATTAATCCTCACAATGATTCACTGAAAGAAGTGTTTATTATTACCTTGTTTTTCAACAGGAAAACTGAGGCTCAGAGAGGTTAGATTAAATTCTCTAAGCTGTCACAGACAGAACATGGCAGTGCTGGAACTGACCTCTGGTTTATCTGACTTCAAGTGGGAGTAAAACTATTCCCTCCACTTGTCCATTTGTCAGGGATCTTCCTTATGTTTGCCTCTTAGTTCTTTCCTCCTATGGCCTGAGAACTCCTTGAGCACAGAGGTTGTACAGGAGTCCTCTTTGTATCCCCTGCAGCACCTTGCACAGTGCAGAGAACCCCTAACACAGGCAGCATGAGTCCATGGCAGGTTGTCCAAGATCACATGGCTAGAAAGTCAGTATTTGAACTCAAGAAATCTTGCCCCAGGGACTGTACCCTAATGTCATGCTGCCACTCAGATCTTAGGTGCCACCAATTTTCTCCCAAGCAACCCCTTCCTGGGAAGAAAGCACATCACTAGGCTAACAGCCAATCTGTGCACTGGGAAGACTACCTTTGAGGGGCTTCCACTGCTGTTTTCTTACAAGTATAATGGCACTATTTGACTTTTAAAACCAAGACCATGCATTGTTTTGACAAAACAGAGAAGAAAAGAAACAAAAAGAAAAATAAGAATGCAGAATATGGGCCAACAGGACTATCAGCAAACTACATGGATACAACAGACATTGGGAATGTGCCAAGCTTCTGAATGAGGAAGGGAGGGGCATTATGAACATGGCAAGACCACACCATAAGGAGGCAAGAACCTGGGGTTTATGATCTGCCACTAATTAACAGTGTCACCTTCAACAAGGGGAACGATATGGGCTTCTGTTTTTCCATTTATAAGATAAGCTCATCTCTAAGGTCCCTCTAATTCTGACTTTTGATTATTGTAAATTAATAGTAAATTCACTTTTATCAAAATTAAAAACTTTATTAGTGTCCCCAGCCTCTCTGCTTACGTGCGTCTTTCAGAGCCTGAGTACTTCTCCAATCCTATCTGTTATTATTCTTTGCCTCACACTTTTACAGCCCATGGACCTAGGCACATCATTAAATTTTTTCATACAAGTCCTTCTTCATCTCAGGTTGTACTATTTCCTTTATGACCACACATACACACACACATTTTTGGCCAGGTTTATATTTGTTATTTTACAGATTCTGTTTAGCTATAATTTCTTCCAGGAAGAGCTTTCTGATACCCCTTCCCAGGATGAGTGACATACTTACCTTCTGTGCTCCTCTCTAGTGCTTGATGGGAGTGCATGGTGTGCTGTAGCACTAACCTAATTTAAACCTAATAACCTTCAAGTGAATGTTGGCTCTATCTTTACATATGGGGAAACTAAGACTCAACAACTTTAAGGAAACTGCTCAAAACTGTTCACCATGAAGTTTCAGAGCCAAACTATGTGTGTGTGCTCTATCCCCACACTGGGTCACCTTTAGTAGCATCTGTCTCATAAGGCTGAGGCACATTTGGATGATTCCCAACACCCCAACCGGGGTGGCAAGGATGGCAAACCTGCAAAGGCCATTGCACAGGTCACAGCAGCTAGAACATGGCCAGGCTGAGAGACTGAGGCAGAGAGCATGTTGGGCCATCGTCCCACTCTGAGTAGGGAGGGGAGCTCAAGCATGGCCTGCATGGGAGTCCACTTGCTGAGCACTGAGCTGATATGGGGACTGGCCTCTAAGCCCGTAGGTGGAGTTGAGCACTCAGACATTTGGGTGTTCATTGCTTCTTCTTCTGAGTCTTTAGATGCCAGTCACCTTACAGTATGATCATACATATGGTCTCTGGGGATTAACTGATGACTGGGCTGGAGGCCATGTTGGCCTGCAGGCTGCTACATTTCCACTGAGCCTCTCCCACTTGAGGGCACAAAACTGGAATTAATAAGGTCAGCCCAGAATTGTTTTGCTTGCAACCAATCACTATTATAAATTACATAGAGCAAAAAGTAGATATAACATGCTTTTTATAGTAAGTTATAAGATAGAAACAGTGTAAAGTTAAAACAAGTTTCTAGTTCAGGGTTATTCAAAAGTTTTAGAGTAATTCTCTTAAATGGAAGCATTAGGACCTTACATCACTGTCATTTTAAACTACTGTTTAGTTTAAAATTTTGAAGAGGTAAAGTTAATGGATTTTTCAGTAAGTAACTTACCTTAGCCAAAGTTGTTCTAGGAAGAATTATAGTTAAAACTACTTTCAAATATGCTGAAAAAATAAGGTGCAATAAGAAATATAGATATGTTAAAACCCAAGTAGACCAATAACAAGTAACAAGATCAAAGCTGTAATAAAAAGTCTTCCAGCAAATAAATAAATAAGCCCAGGACCCAATGGCTTCACAGCTGAGTTTTACTAAACATTTAAAGAACTAATACCAATCCTACTCAAAATATTCTAAAAAAAATAGAAGAGGAGGGAATACTTACAAACTCATTCTATGAGGTCAGTATTACCTGGATAACAAAACCAGAAAAAGACATGTCAAAAAAAGAAAACTATAGGCCAATATCCCTGATGAACATAGATGCAAAACTCCTCAACAAACTACTGGCAAACCAAATTCAACAATACATTAAACAGTTCATTTATCATGACCAAGTGTGAATTATTCTAGGGATGCAAGGATGGTTCAACATATACAAGTCAATCAATGTGATACACCATATCAATAGAATGATGGACAGAAACCATGTGATCATTTCAATGGTTGATGCTTAAAAAGGCATCTGATAAAATTTAACATTCTTTCATGATAAAACTCAAGAAACAGGATATAGAAGTATCATACTTCACAATAAAAGCCATATACAACAGACCCACAGCCGGTATCACACTGAATGGGGAAAAACTGAAAGCCTTTCCTGTAAGATCTGGAACACATTAAGGATGCTCACTTTCACCACTGTTATTCAACATCGTGCTGGAAGTCCTAGCTAGAGAAGTCAGACAAGAGAAAGAAATAAAGGGCATTCAAATTGAAAAGGAAAAAGTCAATTTATCCTTGTTTGCAGATAATATGATCTTATATTTGAAAAAACCTAAATGCTCCACCAAAAACTCTAAGAACTGATAAACAAATTCAGAAAAGTTGCAGGCTACAACATCAACATACAAAAAACAGTAGCATTTCCAATATATGACAACAGTGAATAATGTGAAAAAGAAATAAAAAAGTAATCCCATTTACAATAGCTGCAAATAAAATAACATACCTAGGAATTAACTTCACCAAAGAAGTGAAAGAACTCTTTGATGAAAACTATAAAACATTAATGGAAGACATTGAAAAGGACACAAAAAAATGAAAAGATAATCCATGTTCATGGATTGGAAGAATTAACATCGTTAAAATGTTCATACTACCAAAGCAATCTACAGATTCAATGCATTCTCTATCAAAATACCAATGACATCCTTCACAGAAATTTTAAAAACTCCTAAAGTTTGTATGGAACCATAAAATACCCAGAATAACCAAAGATATCCTGAACATAAAGAACAAAACTGAAGGAATTAAATTACCTGATTTCAGATTATAATACAGAGCTATAGTAACCAAAACAGCATGGTACTGGCATAAAAGCAGATACATAGACCAATGGAACAAGTAGACAACCCAAAAACAAATCCATACACCTACAGTGAACTCATTTTTGACAAAAGTGCCATGAAAATACATTGAGGAAAGCACAGCTTTTTCAATAAATTGTTCTGGACAGTCAGAGTGGCTATTATTAAAAAGTCAAAAAATAAATAGATGATGGTGAGGTTATGGAGAAAAGAAAACACTTATACACTGTTGGTGGGAATATAATTTAGTTCAATAATCATGGAAAGCAGTGTGACAATTCCTCAAACAGCTAAAAACAGAACTACCATTCAACCCAGCAATCCCATTACTGGGTATATTCCCAAAGGAATATAAATCATTCTACCGTAAAGACACATGCATGCATATGTTCATTGCAGCACTGCTCACAATAGCAAAGACATGGAATCAACCTAAATGTCCATAAACAGTAGACTGGATAAAGAAAATATGGTACATATACACTATGAAATACTATGCAGCCATAAAAAGAAGGAGATCATGTCCTTTGCAGAAACATGGATGCAGCTGGAGGCCATCAGTCTTAGCAAACTAATGCAGGAACAGAAAACCAAATACCACATGTTCTCACTTATACATGTGAGCTGAATGATGCGAACACATGGACACAAAGAGGAGAAAAACAGACACTGGGGCCTACTTGAGGGTTGAGGTGGGGAAGAGGGTGAGGTACAGAAAAAAATAACTATTGGGTATTAGGCTCAGTGCCAGGTGACAAAATAATCTATACAACAAACCCCAATGACATGAGTTTACCTATATAACAAATCTTCACATGTACCCCTGAACCTAAAATAAAAGTTAAAAAATAATGGTGCTGGGAAAACTGAATATCCATATGCAAAATATGAAAGTAGACCTCTATTTCTAGCCATATACAAAAATCATATCAAAATTGATTAAACACTTAAATCTGAGACCTCAAACTGTGAAACTACTAAAAGAAAACATTGGAGAAATGCTCCAGGATGTTGATCTGAGCAAAGATTTCTTGATACCCCACAAGCTTAGGCAACCAAAGCAAAAATGGACAAATGGGATCACATCAAGTTAAAAAGCTTCTGCACAGCAAAGGAAACAACAAAGTGAAAGGACAACCCACATAATGGGAGAAAATATTTGCAAATAACCCATCTGACAAGGGATTAATAACCAGAATATATAAGGAGCTTGAACAACTCTATAGGAAAAAATCTAAAAATCCAGTGAAGAAACGGACAAAAGATCTGAATAGACATTTCTCAAAAGAAGACATTCAAATGACAAACAGGTATATTAAAAGGTGCTCAACATCACTGATCATCAGATAAATGCAAATCAAAACTACAATGAGTTATCATTTCACCCCAGTTAAAATGGCTTATATTCAAAAGACAGGCAATAACTAATCTGGTGAGGATGTGGAGAAAAGGGAACCTTTGCACAGTGTTGGTCAGAATGAAAATTAGTACAACCACTATGAAAATAGTTTGGAGATTCCTCAAAAAACTAAAAATAAAAGTTCCATATGATCCAGCAATCCCACTGGTAGATATATACCCCAAAGAAAGGAAAACAGTATATTGAAGAGATATCTGCCGTCCTATTTTTGTTGCAGCACTATTCGCAACATCCAAGATTTGGAAGCAACCTGAGTGTCCATCAATAGACAAATGGATAAAGAAAACATGGTACATATACACAATGGAGTACTATTCCAGCCATAAAAATAAATTGGATCCTGTCATTTGCAGCAACATGGATGGAACTGGAGGACATTATGTTAAGTGAAAGAAGCCAGGCACTGAAAGACAAACTTTGAATGTTCTCACTTATTTGTGGGAGCTAAAAATTAAAACAATTGAACTCACAGAGATAGAGAATGGAATGATGGATACCAGAGGCTGGGGAGGGTAGTTGGGTGGGGAGTGGGGATGCTTAATGGGTATAAAAACATACTTTGATAGAATAAGATCTAGTATTTGATAGCACAACAGAGTGACTATAGTCAACAATGATTTATTGTGCTTTTTAAAATAACCAAGAGTATAATTGGAATGTAATTGGAGTATAACTGGAGTAACACAAAGAAATGATAAATGTTTGAGGTGATGAAAACCTCATTAACCCTGATATGATTATTACACATTGTATGCCTGTATCAAAATATTTCATGTACCCCATAATTATCTACACCTACTATGTATCCATTAAAATTAAAAATTAAATTAAACAAAGAGATAAAGGTACATTATTTAAAATTATAGAAGCATGGCTAAGACCATGGGCTCTGGAGTCAGATTGCCTGGGTGTAAATCCTGGTCTTAGTTGAGGTGTCTGTGCCTCGGTTTTTCTTATCTATTAAATGGAGATAAGGATATCTACTTACAGAGTTATGTGATAATTAAATGAGTTGATGCTATTGGAAGAAAGCTTGGCATATGCTAAATACTCAATAAATGCTAGCTATTGGTTGATTATTAGCTATTATTTTTGGCAATTAAACATGATTAATAAAGTAAATGTTATTCTACTGGTGAATTTATATTTAATTTATTCTATAAATCATTATATATGTACACATGTACAAACTCACTACAAATCTGGAAGGAGAAGAAAGGCTAAGGAGGAGAAAAGGGAATGTAAGATAAATTCTTATTTATTAGAGGAGCCAATAATTATTTTCTAAATTTAATAAATAAAAAACATAACTATAAGCATATTAATGAGAGTTGCGTTTACCAGGAGAGTTACAAACAAACAATTTTTTTAAGTAGCCTCTGATATTTGGGGATATTTGTAATAAATTTTAAACCATCCAATAGCATATGGCTTATAGTTTAAAAGTCAGAGTAGTTGTTATGCTGGGGGGAAAGGTGATTGAGTTAGTGGCTAGAAGGGAAGATGGCTGGGCACTTTCTGTGGTGCTGGTAATATTTTAGTTCTTGCTGTGGTTGCTGTTTACATGGGTGTAAGTGCATATGGGAATTTTCTGTATGTACATGGTATAGCCATACAAGTTTAAATAAAAGGTTGCCTCTTCAGAGTAGGACTATAGTACATAGACATGGGGCTGGAGTTTTCCTTTGTATTGGATTATATTTAACAATTGTGTTTGTTTACTCTTAAAATCATTCTCTAGTGTTCCTATACCGTCCAGACAAAATGAAAGGTAATGTACAGGATGACCCTCTGACTTGGGAAGCTCATGGCTGTATCTTTTCTGAGCTAGGTTAGGACATAGGAGCCCAATGACAAAGGCCTCTGACCTTAAGCAGCAGTGGATACTGTGAAGGCTACCTGGAGCTCAGGACTGGCAAACCCAATCAGAGGAGTGGCCCTCAGCAGACACAGGACACGCTGTTGCCATGAGTGTCTCTTCTTCAGTCCACACTCACATGTCAAGCACCTGCTTGTGCCAGACACTGTGCTAGGAGCCAAGAACACAAAGATAAATAGAACTCAGAGTGAAGGTTACAGGGGGACAGCCATGATGACAGGCCTCATGGTGGGCAGCAGGAGCTGTGAGGAGAGGGGCACTGGCCAGCACCAACAGGACCAGCGAGAAGGAGGGTAGGTTCAGAGGGTGCGGTGCCTAAACTGCCAACAAAGCAAAGATTGTTCTACCAGATAAATAGAACTAGTAGGTCATATATACACATGACTTTTTTCAATAAATTGGCTTTGCAATTGTTGGAGCTAGCAGAGTCTGAAATCCATCAGGCAGGTTGACAGGCTGGAAATGCTTGGGCAGGAGCTGACCCTGTAGTCCACAGGCATAATTTCTTCTTCCTCAAGGAAACCTCATTTGCTCTTAAGGCCTTTCAACTCATTGGATGATGCCACCCAGGTTATACAGGATAATCTCCTTTACTTAAAGTCAACACATTGTAGATGTTAACCACATCTACAAAATACCTTCACAGTAATGCCCAAATTAGTGCTTTATTGCAGGGGTCCCAACCCCCTCACCCATGGACTAGCCTGTTACAAGCCAGGCTGCACAGCAGGAGGTGAGCCGCCGGTGGGCCCAGGAGCCAGCATTACCACCTGAGCTCCACCTCCTGTCAGATCAGCAGCATTAGATTCTCATAGGAGTGTGAACCCTATTGTGAACTGCACATGCCTAGGATCTAGGTCTGGGAGCTCCCTAGGAGAATCTAACTAAAGCCTGATGATCTGAGGTGGAACACTTTCATCCCGAAACACTGTCATTCCCTGCCCAGTCTGTGGAAAAATTTTCTTCCACGAAACCTGTCCCTGGTGCCTAAAAGGTTTGGGACAGCTGCTTTATTGGATAACTAGGCACTATAGCCTAGCCAAATTGACACATAAAACTAACCATCATAGTTGGGTTGGAAGAGGGGCAGTATATCTCAGGCCAAGGGGCAGGAACCCACAAGGGAAGCACCAGAACTCGTGTGTGTGTGTGTGTGTGTGTGTGTGTGTGTGTGTGTGTGTGTGTGTGTGTTGGAGGGGCAAAGGGTACTGAAGAGTCACCGAAGTACAAGTGACATTCAATCCTACAGCCCTTTAATCATTCCCCTACATCCAGTCTCAATCTGGCTATGTTCACAGTCACCCACCCTTTCACACCCTTGAAGGTGTGATCCTTCAAGGGTCCAACAGTGTGCCAGAAGTCTGTGTGTGTGTGTGTGTGTGTGTGTGTGTGTGTTAGTGGAGGGCAAAGGAATGCCCAGAAGAAGAAGGGTATGGCAGGAGACAGCAGCAGATAAGTCTGCAGAGGTGAGCAAGGACACCCAGTGTATAGATGTCTTTGCTTGCCATGCTGAAGAGCTTTTCTTTGCGTTGCAGCCCAACTCAGGTTGATCATCGGAGTCATCTAGAATCTCCTAGGTATCATTTTTGAAAACACAGATTCTTTGGGCTCCTCTCAGACTTAATGAATCAGATAAAATAGTAGCTTATATTATTAAAAAGTCCTATTTTAGTCCCCAGTCTGATGACCAGGTTTGAGTATCCCTGCTTTAGGCTATAGAAGCCACTGAAGTGTAAAATGATAGGAGCCACATTTTATTTCCATTTAACTATCTTCCTTGTTTAAGTGTTTGTGCTTTTCACATGAATAGGACAACTATTCTATGGTGGCTTCAAACATCAATGCAGGTAGCATGTGACTGGGAAAAACTTGGCTAAGATCCTTCCTAGTATGCTTATCTTCACAGACACAACCTAATTGGGATCAGAAGGGCCAAAGAACTGGAGGCAGGCGATGGAGTTCTTAGTCATTGTCAGCTTCATTTCCATGGAGATCTATTCATTCACCACACATTCACTTAGAGGACCTAGTCCATGCCAGGTTCAGAGTGGGACAGGAAGACAGCAGAAGCCAGCTTACAATCTTGCAGACACGTGCATCTGAAACACGCAGATTTGAAAAGAGCAGAACACAGAGCTTTTTTTTTTTTTTTTTTTTTTTTTTTTTTTGAGACGGAGTCTCGCTCTGTCGCCCAGGCTGGAGTGCAGTGGCGGGATCTCGGCTCACTGCAAGCTCCGCCTCCCGGGTTCACGCCATTCTCCTGCCTCAGCCTCCCAAGTAGCTGGGACTACAGGCGCCCGCCACTACGCCCGGCTAATTTTTTGTATTTTTAGTAGAGACGGGGTTTCACCGTTTTAGCCGGGATGGTCTCGATCTCCTGACCTCGTGATCCGCCCGCCTCGGCCTCCCAAAGTGCTGGGATTACAGGCGTGAGCCACCGCGCCCGGCCAGAACACAGAGCTTTTTTAAGGCAATATTTAAGGCAAGCATGGGACATGACAGTACAGATGGAAAGTGTACATGTCAAAGACCGAGGCTTGTTTAACAAGGCAACTCACACAGAGTACTGAGTACACACCTGGCACATAGGCATCATTAAATGAACATTGGTGCCTGGCCTTCCTAAGCCCTTAGTAATGCCAGCACCCGCTCTACAGCAGTCATAGTCTTTGGAGTCCTGGAATAAATTTTAAGAAGGAAAAACCATGTCTAGCTTCCAGAATCTTAGGAGATTTTATTAATATCATGGTGTCCATCTGGTTGACATAGGAGACAGGATGGATGTCTGTAGCTGAGCTCCAAAATAGATATTACAAATAAGGCTTATGTAGGAAATAGAAACACCCTGTCCTCGGGACCACATTTGTCAGTCCTCTCTCAATTTAGACCTCTTCAAGTATCCCCAGAGAAACTATCAGGGCCCATCACCACCACCTCCAACTCCAGAGGAAAAGGTTTTTCTTGGAGAGGACTTTCCTTTTGTGAGGTTTTAGTACTAGAGCCTTGTACTGAAGTACAAGTGACATTCAATACTAGAGCCCTTGAATCATTCCCCTACATCCAGTCTCAATAGTTCAAATGCTCAGATTCACATGGATCTTGCACATCTATCTACAAGGAGAATGATAAGCCTTTCTAGGAGAATGGGCTGCAGGTTATCCCAGGATGGTGTTTAAGATGAAAAGATAGTGCAGGTGCTAAAGTTGGAAAATGGCTTAAACCTGCTGCAGCTCGGACCTCAGACACACCCAGGCCCAGGGTTGCTCTCCCAACACCATTCTCAAAACTGAAGTCCTAAGCTGTTAAGTGACCCTACGATGTCTTTCTGAATTTCCCCATCTTGTAAAGAGTGTGTAGATCAACCCCTCATCTCCCACCCTCAGCTTCCACAATCACACACTAGGAGAGATTTCACCCTTCCATCACTGGTAAACCAGGAATCACCTTCTTGGCCAGCTGCTTTGTGGGCTCATGACCTGCACCTGGCTCTCTCTGGCTATGTTCACACTTACCCACCCTTCCACCTAGGTGTGATCCTTCAAGGGAACCACACAGTGCATCAGAACTAACAGAAATGATCTAAGAGTCCAAGGATTAAATTAAGTGCCTATAATTCATGAAATAATACATTAACTAAAATCTGATATCCAAGAATAGAATAAACAGAATAAAATCTTAAATTCTTGACGTTACTCCTATAGAGATGCACTTTGAAACAAAAGAGAATCTCCCAGTCTAATGCATAGAATTTTGCCAAGATGTACCCAAACTTTGCCTCCAAAGCTGGACAAAAAGAGGGGTCAGACCCTGCTAGGACTGTAAGACAAACTTCAGGTTTGTCTATGTAAGCATATGTAAATCATATTATTTCCTCAGAGTAGCAATTTCCTCAGTGGCATGAGCCAAGGCCTGGAAACACTTACTCTGAATGGAACACAATGGTTAACAACACACCTGTGGCTACAACAGACCACAGTTGGGTCCTGCAGGACAGAAAGACTGTCCCTGAGTTGGGCCTCACTCAGAATTCCAGGCTTTGTCTTAAAACCACTGTAGATTGACACTTAAAGATACATCTGCTTCTGTTGTAACACACCAACTTTCCTGCCAAGAGCAACTAAAAACAAATGTCAAAAAGAACCTTCTGTTTTAAGACACCACTCATCCATCAGGCCCTAGGATCTAAGAGCCCAGGATACTGGAGAGAAGGAAAATTCACTGAGCTGACTCCTAATATTCTATCCCACTTCTTCCCTCAAGGCACTTACAAGTGATGCTGAGAGTCAAGCAGAAAGCAGCTGCTAAGTACTTGACAAACTTAACAGATCTTCAGGCAATTTCCTAGGCCTGGGGAGATAAAAGCTGGGGTTCAGGACTACCAAGATAGCCAGGACATGTAATTCCAGAAACCCAGAAATAAAAGAAATGCAAAGAGTGAACCCAGCATTGGGCACTACTTTCCACTCACTGCTTTGCTGACTCCTACACAATACAAGCTGGGCAGAAAGAAGCATCTAAGAGATAAGAAGATAAGGAGAGCTTTGGGCTGCCTCATTCGGCAGAGAGGAGAGAGGATATTAAACTATAGGATCCCTCCAAAAGGAAAGCTCCTTTCAGTTGAAAGCCACGAAGGGCCACATCCTGGGAGCCGATCCATTCAGGGATTAAGCTGCTTCTGAGGAATGGCCTTAATCTTCCACCCTGGCAAAAGAAGGATTAGCAACCTTAGATAGATCTGTTGAAAATACTCAGATTAACACAGAGTGAGAGATAAAAATGGAAAATGAAAATAAAAGGTTGAAATAGACATGTGTCACTTAATGATGGGGACATGTTCTGAGAAATGCATCATTAAACAATTTCAACTTTATGCAAATATCATACAGTGTACTTACACAAGTCTAGATGGTACAGCCTGCCACACCTAGGCTGCATGGTGTAGCCTATTACTTACTCCTAGCTACAAATATATACGGCTTTTTATTGTACTAATCACTGTAGGCAATTGTAACAGAATAGTCAGTATTTGTGTACCTAATATATCTAGATATAGAAAGGTATGGTAAAAATATGGGGTAAAAGATAAAAATGGTAAACCTATATTGGGCACTTACAACGAATAGAGCACAATGAATGGAGCTTGCAGGACTGGTAGTTGTTCTGGGTGAGTCAGTGAGTGAGTGATGGTGCATGTGATGTCCTAAGACATTGCTGTACCCTACTGTAGAATTTATGAACACTGCACACAGAGGCTACACTAGATTTACATAAAAAACTTTCCTCAATAATAAATTAACCTCAACATACTGTAACATTTTTACTTTATAAACTTTTTAATGTTTTTGACTTTTTGACTCTTATAATAATACTTAGCTTAAAACATACATTGTACAGCTGTACAAATATATCTTTTCTTTATATCCTTATTCTATAAGCTTTTTTCTATTTTACATTTTTTTCTTACTTTTTGAACTTTTTTATTAAAAACTAAGACATAAACATACACATTGGCCTAGGCCTACACAGGGGCAAGATCAACAAGATGTCACTAAGCAATAGGAATTTTTCAGCTCCATTATAATCTTATGGGACCACCATCGGATATGCAGTCTATCATTGATCAAAAAGTTACGTGGCACATGACCGTAAATAAGTACTTGTGGCCAAGCGTGGTGGTTCACGCCTGTAATCCCAGCACTTTGGGAGGCCAAGGCAGGCGGATCAGGAGATCAAGAGATTGAGACCATCCTGGCCAACATGGTGAAACCCCATCTCTACTAAAAATACAAAAATTAGTTGGGCATGGTGGTGCATGCCTGTAGTCCCAGCTACTCAGGAGGCTGAGGCAGAAGAATCACTTGAACCCAGGAGGTGGAGGTTGCAGTGAGTCGAGATCGTGCCACTGGACTCCAGCCTGGTGACAGAGCGAGACTGTCTCAAAAAAATAATAATAATATTTATTTATTTATTTGTAAATATTAATACCCATTAACTACCCATGTCCACACCGTGGAAGCTGCATGTCGCCCCTTTCCTCCACATCTCCAGCACTTCTTCTTTCGTAAGACCAGCTCAAACATATCTCCCTTGTTAAAGCCTGCCCTGATGTTTCTAACCTCGAATACTGCCCCTTTTTTCTATGTTTACTTCAGTTCAGTTCAGTAAACATTAATTTAGTTCCTGCTATGTACTGGGCACTGGATATTTCCATAAGATTTTATTTACTTATTTCCGTTGCATTTACTACTCAAGAAAGTAAACAAAATATATTTTCTTAAAAAAAAAATAGGCCAGATGCGGCGGCTCACGCCTGTAATCCCAGCAATTTGG
This sequence comes from Homo sapiens, assembly GCF_000001405.40. Lineage (NCBI taxonomy): Eukaryota > Metazoa > Chordata > Mammalia > Primates > Hominidae > Homo > Homo sapiens. The sequence continues at coordinate 135,692,592 of NC_000003.12, forward strand.
GAAGCTGAGGCGGGCGGATCACTTTGAGCTCAGGAGTTTGAGACCAGCCTGGGCAACATGTTGAAACCCCATCTCTACAAAAATACAAAAATTAGCCGGGCGTTGGTGGCTCGTGCCTGTAGTCTCAGCTACTTGGGAGGCTGAGGCTGGAGAGTTGCTTGAGCCCTGGAAGCACAGGTCGCAGTGAGCCGAGATCGCACCACTGCACTCCAGCCCGGGCCACAGATTGAGACCTTGTCTCAAAAAAAAAAAAAAAAAAAAAAAAAAAAAAAGAACAGGCACGCGCGGTGGCTCACGCCTGTAATCCCAGCACTTTGGGAGGTTGGGAGGCCGAGGCGGGCGGATCACGAGGTCAGAAGATGACCAACATGGTGAAACCCCGTCTCTACTAAAACTACAAAAAAACTAGCCGGACATGGTGGCTCATGCCTATAGTCCCAGCCGCTCGGGAGGCTGTGGTGGGAGAATCACTTGACCCCGGGAGGCAGAGGTTGCAGTGAGCCAAGATCGCAGCACTGCACTCCAGCCTGGGTGACAGAGCGAGACTCTGTCTCAAAAAAAAAAAAAAAAAAAAAAGGAAAAAAAAAGGAATCCGAGGTTCCTTTCACGAGCATCCTCAATCCTAGCTCCTCCCAATCCTACCCAAAGGTGGCCACTATTATCACTGTCGCTTTGGTGATAGCTTTCTGAAATTCTGGTCTTTGGTTGTTTTTTATTTTATATAGATATCTACGGCCCATAGAAAATGTATAAGTTTGTTTTGTGTTATTTTTTCTTTTGCTTTTTATTTTACATACGGTATATTATTCCATACATAATTACTTATCACTTAGTTTATTCAAAGGAGTTGTCCTAAAGATCTAGCGATAGATCTACCTTATTCTTCTTAATCTGTACAATTTTTCATGGTATTGCTTTAACCTCAGTTTATTTAGCTGCTCCCCTTTTGGTGGACATTTAGGCTGTTTGTAGAATAATATTACAAGCAGTACTTCATTTACCATACTTTTATATGCCCTATCTGTGCACATAAATGAATAGCCACCTGGCGTACAAACCAAGAAGTGAAAATGCTGGATCACAGAGTGTATCCATTTTTTACTTGGATGGATATTGCCAGATTGTCTTGGAAAATTACCCCGAAGGCAGATCTTAGTTAAATTTATCTCAGTATCCTGCCCCTCACCTTAAGCCTTTCGCATAGTAGGCACTCAATAAGTATTTTTAAGTTGATGGATAAAAGAACCCATGGCAATAGTGAAAATATTCTGAATCATTTCTCTGACTCACCATGAGATGATTTACAATAATTTTCCTGAATGTCTTGTCTAGACTTCAACTGCTAAACCACAAATAATGTGTCTTCTGTTTTCTGCATCACACATAGCAACTAGCACCTACATGGGTGTTTAACAAATACTGGTGTTTGTTGAATCAATAAGCGGATATGTTTAATGTTAATAGTACAAATAAGTTGGAGAAATAATCATTGTGATTATAGTAATACACAGTAAACATCACGTAAAGATGACATTGCACAGGCCAATTACTATGGGAAAGGATCTAGGCAGGTGGACATGTTTCTCTAGCCCAAATGACACAGTAATGAAGGTCATTAACTGGGAGCACAAAACAATTGGCTAGGTGCCATTCCTCTTCAGTAGCAATAGGTTACAGCAAGAGATGGTGGAATTGCACTGGGGAGGAGAATGTGGCTCCACTCCACATTAATGGGGCTCTCAATGTTCCACTGATATGCAAATGGGCCACAGGAAACATTCTAAAGCAAGGACAGTGGTGAGAAAGAGAACTGCCCTTGCTTCTGCTTTAAAGATCGTAGGAAGCAGTGTATCAGAGCTTCTTGATAAGTCTGACTTGCTTCTTGCCTAGACAGTTGGGCCTTGGAGCCATCACCCATGTCCAAAGTAGCCTCCAAAAAACCCACTATCTGAACCTACCTCTTTCTAATAGCATTGATTCTCAAAAGCCTCAGCCTTTCAGGTGAAATGAATCCCAATCATTAAAGCAAGAGAAATGCTACCTTCTCATTTCCACAAGTGTCTATTTCTTCTCAGTTTTTCTAATCATTTTCTCATTAGTCTCATTCTCAATCTCACTTCATTATTATTCTGTTTATGTAATGTCACTCACCAAGCACCTTCCAGACTCCTTCCCACCAGCATGCACAATACATTCCAATTATGTAATTATGCCATTGTAATCAAATCATTAAGATTCACATTAAACATGTATTAAAGTTCACAAGGAAAAAAACGAGCACCAGACACAAGCACCAAGAGGGAGGGAAGCAGACAAACATGCTTATAATTGCAACTCACTTTTAATGAGCCTATGACTGTAGGTTTGGGGTCCTGCGAGGATTTTATAACTGAGAAGAGGTGGTTCATTTCTAAAAGTGAAAAGCAACTCTCCCCTCCCCACCCCTATGATTCCATTGAGCTAATCCCTTGATTATACAGTGAATTATAAGAAACGACCGAAAACAAGTTCACTGCATGTGGGGCACACACACATACACACACACACAGTGAATAAAACAAAAAGAACCATCCTGGAGACTTGCAAGCACTCACTGGCCTGGGAGAAATAATGCTGTACCTGTGAAGAAACTCAATTTACTAACTGATTTCAGTGGTGTGAGGTATCTACATAATCAATTTAGAAATACAAGACCAAACTAACTGAAGTTGATTTTTTTCTGTTGGACACAGTTGCTACAGTGCTACCAGTGGACAACAGGCAGATGATAAATCTGCCCTGAGTTGGGTTGCCCAAGTCCAGTAGTAAGGCCAGTGATTTGCACGTCTGGCAGCATATTAGAGAGTGTTGGTGGAGGGGAGCTTTAAAATAATACACAATACGGCTGCCCAGGCCCCATTTCAGACCAGTTAATTACACTCTCAAGGTGAGGAGTCCAGGATTTTTTTTTTTACTAGGCAGTTCTCTCTCTGTCCCCCAGGCTGGAGTGCAGTGATGTAATCACAGCTCACTGCAGCCGCAGCCTCATCCTCCTGAGTAGCAGGGACCACAAGTGTGCACCACCAGACCCAGTTAATTTTTTTATTTTTATTTTTATTTTTCTTCTGCAGAGATGAGGTCTCATTTGGTTGCCTAGACTGGTCTCAGACTCCTGGCTTCAAGCAATCCTCCTGCCTAGGCCTCCCAAAGTGCTGGGATTATAGGCATGAGCCACCTTTCTTGGCCAAGCAGCCATCATTATTTTTAAGAGCTTTCCCAGTACCTCTAATATGTAGCCAAAGTTGAGAGCTATTAGTATAGTACAGTAGTGATCAAAATGTGGTCCCAGACCAGCAGCATCAGCATTAGATAGGAACTTGTTAGAAATGCAAATTTTCAGGCCTCATCCAAGATGTACTGAATCAGAAACTTGGTGTTAGGTCATCATTTGTGTTTAAGCGCTGCAGGTGATTCTCAAGCACACTGAAGTTCCAGGACCACTGGGCTAAATCACGTCCAAGTCCAGATGATGAAGAGAAGAATACATGCACATTTTTAAAATAGCCACCATGCTATGGTCAGTGAGCTAGACACATTAGACATATCATTGCTTTTAATTTTTCAATAATTTACTTATTCACTTAATAAACATATCCTGTCTAATCCAGGACCTTGCTAGGCATTGAGAATATAAAGCTACATAAAACACAATGCCTTACATTCAAGGAGACTTGTGGTAAATAGATAATTTTAATATAAAGTGGTAACACTAATTGCTACACATATTGAGTGCTAATCATGTATCAAGGACTCTGCCAAGTGCTTTACCTACATTACACCTACATTATCTCTAATCCTCACAGCAATCTTAGAGGAACAGGTGGTGTTATTTCCAGCTCCCATTGGAGGAAACTGAAGACTTAAAGAGGTTAAATGAGCCACCCAAGGTCAAACACCTCACAAGTGGTAGAGCTGGGTTTGAGCCATGTTCTTAATTACTCACTACTCCAGTGGTTCCTAACCTATGGGCCCAATACTCTTAAGTACTATCTCATAGGAGTACAGAAAATCCACACATGCCCAAGCATTTTCCATAGCCTGATTAAATTCTAGGTCCAGTTCCTAGGTATACTTTTCAAGAGTTACTGACGTATTGTGCTCAATGAAAAACTGACTGCATTGTAACTGTTGTCATATATATTTTTCTTAAGGTACTATAAGTACAATTACAGTTTTATCGGAGAGCCACAAACTGTGGAGCTGTCAAAGCGGGATCTTCTTATTAAGAAATATTAGGAACCATGTACTATACCATACAACATTGAGAAGGCATGAAGCGTATTCCAATTATAAATAATGTATGAATGACTCCACATTAAAATAGGCAAAAATATACTTATAGTCCCCAAGTCTGTGAATTTTGTTGGAAAGCCACTTTATTAAAAGTTAAACACTTTCACTTCAGGTGACCACTTGCTGACAATTAGATTTTAAACATAAATACAAGTGTCTCTGCACTAAAAATCCACTGGAAAAAATTATCCATGGCAAATACTCTTACCCTTACAAACAGAACATGCAGTTGGTTCAAAAAAATCCTATTGGAAGATCCTTTTTTTTTTTTTTTGTCTACCTAGAATCACTTTGAGAAACCACCACTCTACTCATTGTGCTTTCTGTGGTTCAAGTAGGGCTGACATAACCCTAAATTTCAGATTTGGGCCATTGGCCCCAACTTGGTTAATTAGAGAACCCCAGCCCATGGCACAGTGGCTCGTTCAGGAATCATAGGCACATTGCCGGGCTGGGCAATTAGAGCCTTTTCTAGGTCTTCTAACAAAATCGTCAGAAAGAAGCATTCTATTTTTGCTGGAATACCAGTTATGAGAACAACATAAGCCAAGAACATAGGTTACCTTCTTTCCACCACCTGGAGCGTCTGCTTGAGACAAAGCCAACACTGAGGAAAAATTGAACCAGGAGATAGAGAAAAATATAGACTTCTGGTCTGTATACTTTTGAGCTATATGAGCTTCTGGATCCAGCCCCACCTAAGGCCACCTACACCCCTTGTACTTATTGGATACATGGGCCAACACCTTCCCTGAGCTTTTTATTTTTAAAGCTAGCGTTTTCTTTCCCTTACAGCCAAATGGGTCCTAGCCAACATATAAATCAGTACTAGGAATAGGATGTTATGAGTGACAGACCTACATGGAAGTGACAGAATTTAAGTAGACTGAGGTACAATAAGGATTCCCCTTTCCCACATTGAAGTTGGTAATCTTTTTATGGGATAGTGAAAGCGATGGTGAAACTGTCATGTTCCACCTTGGTACTCAACTTAGAAGAAAAAAATATCATGATGTTAGAGTGAGTTGCTATTTCAGTACAGACTGTCCAAACTAAAAGCGGAAAGGGAAGGAGATAGAGTCTTGCTAAGAGGCAGTGGCCAGAAACCTGAGATGTCTGGATAATATATTATCTTCCTAAAACTAAAGTTAGTGTAAGTACAGAAAGACAAATATGGCATCTTCTCACTCATATGTCGGAGCTAAAAAAGTTGATCTAATGGAGGTAGAGAGTAGAATGATAGATATCAGAGGCTGGGAAAGGTGTGAAGGGATGGCTAATGGGACAAACATACAGGTAGATAAAAGGAATAAGTTCTAGTGTTTAATAGCAGAGTAGGGTGACTATGATTAACAACAGAGTATCATATATTTCATAATAGCTAGAAGGGAGGACCTGAAATGTTCCCAACACATAGAAATGATAAATACTCAAGGGGATGGATACCCTAATTACCCTGACTTGATCATTACACATTCTATGCATGTAAAAAAGTCACATGTACCCCGTAAACATGTACAAATATTATTCATCAATAAAAATAAATAGAAAATAAAAGTAGTGTAAATAAAGATAGTTAGGTGGGAAACACAGCAACAATTAATATTGGGACCTAGACAAAACCAGGACTATGGAGTGAGCCTAAAGGCCCAGGCCCCTTCCAACACCTCCTAAGTTTCACTTGCTGCTTGAAAAATATAACTACCTCCATAGTAAAGACCTCCAGGGCAAAGGACACAACATTAGCCTTCTTCAACCCATCGTTTGGACAGATAAGATGGAAGCACTTAAGCCCAAGGCTAGGGACATGCTCAGAGCTCTTGAGCTTATTGCTAAGAGAGAGATGCTATAAAAGCAATGTCAAAACTCATGGACCATGACTCCATAAGGTCTCTGACTTAGATTAATATTCCTTGAAATTTCTAGAAAGTTACCTACCTGGCCAGTTGATCCAAGCTCAGGTCCTGAAAATAAAGGCCTGTGATTGCTCAATCCCTCAGGTCAGCCCCAGTGCCCTAGAACTCCCTCAACAGGAAGTGAACTAGGACAATAAAAACATCTTCTAGAAAAGAAGCATGCCCCATTGCCCATCTCACATATGGTTGTGGAGAGCAGTACATAAGGAGATGTTCTTGAGGCAGGGCAAGGCCAACCATCTTGGCCCAATGGGAACTCCTCCACTACCTCATCAGGGTGTCTGGAATGCTCACCCACAACACTTTGGTATGTGGTACTCACTAATGTCAACAGCATCATTTCCACTGTTCCCTGTTTTGTTTTTATTTTTGTTTTTCCCAAAAAAGAAGTTTCTTATAATGGCTATAGACTTTTATCTCCATCATTTCCTTCCTGGTATGTTGAGAATGATTAAATGTATGATTTGACCATGGTTTATATTTGAAGAGGCAGCACATCATACAGAGACAATGGCGAGAGGGGATGGGATAGGACTGATATATAAATGGAGCTTCAACTGCATCTATAATGCATTATTTCTTTCTTTCTTTGAATCGGTAGGGAAAAATTATATTTGAAGAGGGTTTCTTTATTTATAGTAAAAAATAAAATGCATTGGCTTATAGAATCCATATGGTATACTTTTAGTATTGCACTGGTTTACGAGTCAAACCTACATTTAAATCAAACCCTTTGTCTTCCCTCCCACACTAAAGGAAACTACTTTCTTTTAAATTGATGTTTTCTCTGTTTTTATACTTTCACTACCTTTGCACATGTTCATAAATACTATATGATATTGATTTGTGTTTTTAAAACTTAGATAAATAGTATGTTATGCTTATCCTTCAGAAAGTTGGCTTTCTCCCTCAGCATCATGTTTTTAAGATTTGTGCATTTGGATACATTCATTCATTCTAACGAATTGGTAGTATTCTAACATATGAATAAATCACACTTTACTTATCCATTCGCATTCTGACTGCCAATTTGGATTTCTAAATTAGCATTACAGTTTATTTTAACAAACAAAGATCATCGTTGGCCATATCTTCTTATATTACACATAAGAGAATTTTCTAGGGCATATACCTATACATGAGCTTGCTGGGCTGTATCGTCTGCCCAACTTCACATGTACTATGTATTGCTAAATTGCTCTCTGAACCATCTTTGACAAACCTACAGCCAGCATCATACCGTACATGCAAAAACTGGAAGCATTCCCTTTGAGAACTAGAATAAAATAAGGATGCCCACTGTCACCACTCATGTTCAACATAGTACTGGAAGTCCTAGCCAGAGCAATCAGGCAAGAGGAAGAAATAAAAGGCATCCAAATAGGAAGAGAGGAAGTCACACTATGTCTCTTCATAGGTGATAGGATTCTATACCTAGAAAACCCCATAGTCTCTACCAAAAAGCTCCTAGATATGATAAACAACTTCAGCAAAGTTTCTGAATACAAAATCAATGCACAAAAATAAGTAGCATTGCTATATCCCAGCAATGTCCAAGCTGAGAGCCCAATCAGGAACACAATCCCATCCACAATAGCCACAAAAAGAATCAAATACCCAGGAATACAGCTAACCATGGAGGTGAGAGAGTTCTACAACAAGAATTATAAAACACTACTGAAAAAGTCAGAGATTACATAAACAGATGGAAAAAACATTCCATGCAAGATTACATAAACAGATGGAAAAACATTCCATGCTCATGGATAGGAAGAATCAATACTGTTTAAATGGCTATACTGCCCAAAGCAATTTACAGATTCAATACTATTTCTATCAAAGTACCAGTGAAATTCCTCACAGAATTAGAGAAAAAAACTCTCTTAAAATTCATATGGAACCATAAAAGAGCCCAAATAGCCAAAGCAATCCTAAACAAAAACAACAAAGCTGGGGGCATCACATTACCCAACTTCAAACTATACTACAAGGCTACAGTAATCAAAATGGCATGATAGTAGTACAAAAACAGACACATAGACCAGTGGAACAGAATAGAGAGTCCAGAAATAAGACCACATGCCCACAACCATCTGATCTTTGACAAAGTTCACAAAAACAACCAATGAGGAATGGACTCCCTATTCACTAAATGGTGCTGGGATAACTGGCTAGCCATATGCAGAAGATTGAAATTGGATGCCTTCCTTACAACATATACAAAAATCAACTCAAGATGGATTAAACACTTAAATGTAAAACCTAAAACTATAAAAACCCTGGAAAATAACCTAAGAAATGCCATTCTAGACATATACCCTGGCAAAGATTTCATGAAGATACCAAAAGCAATTGCAACAAAAACAAAAATTGACAAATGATCTCTAATTAAGCTGAAGAGCTTCTGCACAGCAAAAGAAACTATCAACAGAATAAACAAACAACCCACAGAATGGAAGAAAATATTTGCAAACTATGCATCTGACAAAGGTCTAATATCCAGAATCCATGAGGAATTTAAACAAATTAACAAACAAAAAACAAACAACCCTATTAAAAAGTGGGCAAAAGATAGGAACAGACCACTTCTCAAAAGAAGACATACATGCAGCCAAAAAGCATATAAAAAAATGCTCAACATCACTAATCATTAGAGAAATGTAAATCAGAACCACAATGAGATATCATCTCACACCAGTCAGAATGGCTATTATTAAAAAGTGAAAAAATGGCAGTTGTTGGCAAGGTTGCAGAGAAAAGGGAATGCTTATGCACTGTTGGTAGGAGTGTAAATTTACTCAGCCACTTTGGAAAGTGGTTTGGTAATTTCCCAAATAACTTAAAACAGAACTACCATTCAACCCAACAATCCCATTACTAGGCATATACCCAAAGGAATATAAATCATTCTACCATAAATACATATGCATGCATATGTTCATCACAGCACTATTCACAATAGCAAAGACATTGAATCAACCTAGATGCCCACCAACAGTAGACTGGATAAAGAAAATGTGGTACATATACACCACAGAACACTACACAGACATAAAGAAGGAGGTCATGTCCTTTGTAGCAACAAGGATGGAACTAGAGAACCTTATCCTAAGTGAACTAATGCAGAAGCAGAAAACCAAATACTACATATTCTCACCTTTAAGTGGCAGCTAAACATTGAGTACACATGGACACAAAGCAGGGAACAACAGACACTGGGGCCTATTTGAGAGTGGAGGGTGGGAGGAGGGTGAGACTCAAAAAACTATCAACAAGTACCATCCTTATTACCTGAGTGATTAAAAAATCTGTACACCAAACACCCGTGACATGTAACTTACCTGCACATGTACCCCGAAACTAAAATAAAAGTTTAAATAAAATAAAATAAATTGCTCTCTGGTGTAGTTTTACCATTTGACATTCCTACCAGTAGTGGATAGGAATTGCTGTTTGTGGTGTCTCCTGACCTGATGTGTGGTGGTTTGATTCATGAGGTTTGTCTGTTTTATATTGTAAGCTCCTCTTCATCGGGGCATTAGCTCTGTGGAATTCTATGTGCCCTGGATTATGAAAGGATTCCTGCTGAGAAGTTTTATAGTTGCTTATACTGTAGCCTCCAGGGTTTCAATGATCCTTGACCAGGTTATGATAAATTCTCAGCTTGGATGTCCTGAACCAGATAGATAGTTTAAATTTGAATCACATGCCTTTACATACTTCAGGCCAGGAAATTTAGTTTTTCGAGTGATTTTTTTTTTCTACCTAAGGCTCTGGACAAATGGTGGCAAACTTCCATGTTGCCTCCCCTGGCCAATTTGTGCTGTTTTCCAGTATGCCTTTTATGAGCAGGGCAGCTCTTGGAGTTTCCAGGCTTTACACAGGCTTCCTCCTCTCTCTATCACCTGTGGTCTGGAGGTCACATAACCAGTCCTCATGTGTACATTAGAGGCCTGGCCCCAAGCCTTATATGGAACCCAAATGCCCATGAGTCTTCTTAGCATCAGGTCTCCCTTACTCACCCCCTCACAATAGCTTTCATCTCCTTTTCTTTCTGCTACACTTGAGATTGTCTTTTCTTTCTTTCAAGTTGAGCAATAGGGCTTTACCAATTTTTTTTTTTATCTAGCATGTCTACATATTCTAAGTTAAAGGGGGGATGATCAATTAACTTAGGCTGTCATGTGACTGAGAGTCTTCTAACATGATTAAGGTCACTTTCTAGTCTGATACACTACAATTTTAAGTAATTACTCTATAACAGACAAGTGAAGGAAGAGACACATTATGTAACAAGATCTAAAGAACCATACATACCTGGGTAAAAATGATGCCTAGTTCCCCTTAATAGTTGACTCCTATCACCTGTTACTTAACCTGACTCTGATACTCAGCCATTCATTGTAAACCCACTCACTCTTAGGTCAGAAATTTTCCCGGGGTATGCATAACATGATTCTTCAGTCTTTGCAGCCACAGAGGCACTGAAGAGTGAAGGCTAACAGCTTGTGCTTGATGCATTCTCCCTCTTCATCACATATGTGTCTTGTCAGGAAAGGTCAGTGAGTAGGTACATGCTTTATTCAAATTCCCCCACACAAGATCTGACTTCTTCCACACCCAGAATAATCTTATTTCAGTAAACCTGCCACAATGAACTCCCTACACTGCCCTCCCTAACTGCTTGACCATACCAAAACAAGGCTTGAGAACATGCAGCCTGGTGTACAGGGGGCCTTCTGTTACGGTCCTGGGCTGCTGGCTTATCATGGCAATCCTCAGTACTTCATGTCCCTCCTTCTGTCTTCATAACAGTTATTTGCAGGCATGTCATTTCCACAGAAGGCTATAAACTCTTTGACAGTGGTGTTTACCTCTGCATATCCCATTATAGCTATCACAATGGCTAATACATGTAAGTACTCAATAAATTATTCTTGGATATGTTATAGCCAACCAGACACCATAAGTTGTGGGCACCCCCTTCCTAAATTCCCCTCATAGGACCCTGGTTGGCCCACAACCCTTCCTTTCATTGTTAACCTCCTATCCTTGGCATGTGCCAACCTTTAGCTAAGGTGAAGGGCTGAAGACCATCTCTTTTAAAGACATCTGCTACAGCATGAAGACCAATAGCCACATAAATGGAGTCAAGAGGGTTTCTTTGACTTCATATTGGGCACAAATGGTTGAAAACCTGTGAGGGAAGGTTCTCTCTCCACTATGAGGAATGTGAGAAGTACACTTTTGTGAGAGGAGGCAAAACAAGGGGGAGAAGCACAGTGAGGGTTTGTTGGAGTGGGCCCTCCAGCTTGGCTGGTGAGGACACAGTAAGTACAAATGCTTGTAGAATCCAACTTCAAATTACGAATCAAGCACCTGAAATGCCCATGGGCTTTTTCTTGTCACCTGACTTCTAGAAACAGAACCTAACAAAATAAAGCAAAAATAGGGGTGGGTGGGAACATATGCTTTAACAGTATCATTTCAATGATATAATGAAAATTTTAAAATGGCAAGCAATCTAAATATCAAAACACTCAAGAAAGGGTTATGTAAATTATTATATTTTCACTAGAGGAAACATGCAGTCATTAAAACTATGGTTATAAAGGCCATATAGCACCATGAAAAATGCTTATGACTGAATATAAGTGAAAAAAATAAAAGAAAATGTTTTATATACAGTAGGATTACTACTAGATTTTAAAAGAAGGTGCATAGCAGAAAGCTTAGTAGGAAATATATCAACATGCTAACAGCAATTCTGTTATGTTGTTAGTATTATGGGTACTTTTCCTTTTCCTTTGAAATGTAGTTCTATTACCTTTAGAATGAGATACATTACACATAAATGTTCCAACTTTTTTTAAAATTGGAAAAAGAGTCAATCCTGGTGAAAAGCAGAAATGTTTTCCTCCATTCTTCCTCCCTTTCTTCCTTCCTTCTTTTTCTTCTTTCTTCGATAGGGTGAACAAAGGGGAACAGTTTAAAAATCAGGAAGAAGAAGTTTACTAAAAGTGTAAACTTCTTGAATAATTCTTTTTCCCTTTTGTATTAACAAAGGTAGAGAAAAATCCTGAAGAGAAACAGACACTGAAACCAGCAGCGAGGCTGTTCAGGGAGGTGGCACTGGGCATAGGTGCAATCAGTGAGTTTCAGGGAAATGCAGCAATCAGCAGCCCCGTGGAAACCAAGTGTCACGGGTATGCAGAATGATGGCAAAAGTTAATTTGGGGAAATGAGGGGCAAACATGGGCTAATCAGCATCGAATGACTGGGTAAAATACTATTTACAAAACACTATGGATGCTTTCCTGCTTTATCTAACCAGAATACAAAAAAACAGCTCCCACTGATTTTTGCTATGTTGTTGCTAGCAATGAATGTGGATTAAAGGATGAAGCAGGGATTGATTGTTATCTCTCATGGGCCTTGGGCTTGTACACATGAACTGTTCCCAGACACTTAGTTCAATCTCTGGTCACCAGTCAGGTCGTCCACATACCTGGAAACTGAAGTCTGATTAACTGCTCCCTCATGGTGCTCTCACAGGCTCAGCCTGCATGCTCGGCAGGCCCACAACTAAATCATGGTTGGTTTGGGAATTAACTCTTTTCCTGTCCATCTGCCTATCAACCATCTATATGTCTTATACAGCTCCATATCCAGGCAGGTCTTGGAAAGAAGAAGCCATGTGTCTAAGATAGCCCTTCTACAGCATCGACAGCCATGTTTGGGACAGTCAACCTGAGATCGTCGTCTTAGTCAAAAGATGGTGGAATCCTGAGGGACTGGCCTGAGTAAGGTGGGTCATTACCATCCACTCTGGCAGTCCTTGTTCAGGGTAATAACCAGGAAGCATACAGCCAGAGACTGAAAGAGAAGAGGCCACTACTGTTGTGGTAAGAGTGTTAGGAAGCCTGGGATCATAGGCACCTACAGAAGCTTGGAGCAGAAGTTTCTCTGACAGATGTCAAGGGCCTCTGCTACCTCTAAATTAGAGCTTTCCAGCTTTAAACTCTCAGTCCTATTCATCTGATTGATTTTTGTTCTGTTTTGTTGTTGTTGTTGTTGTTGTTGTTGTTTGCTTGTTTGTACTTTTGAAACTCCTTCATAATCGAGTCCTTTTTCTTGGATAGAGAAGGTAGTCTTGACAGAAAATTGAAGTCTCCAACACTTGACACTTGCCATTTTGTGCCATCCTTGCCTCTTCTTCATAACACCAATCAGAACCCAGACTAGGAGTAGCTATGGGGTGGGGTGGGAACAGCCTAGAGCAGCCTGGCAAGTGCCTTGAATGTGTGTTAAAGCTCAGGGCCTCACAGAGGCCTGGGTCAACCTCCAATGCCAGATCCCACCCAGAAAGGCGATAAGCACAATGTCCTTGTTTTCACCTCACTCATCTAAGTCTAGCCAGGATGAAATGTGCCTTAGACAGAACTGCTTCTTACTTTCCTCCAATGTGTCCTTTCTGGATTATTTTATATTCATAGGTTTCCCTCCCTACTTTTTCAAGTGTGGGATCACCCATCAACAGCAGCTGCTAAGAAATTATCTGTACTAGATGTGTGTACTTTAGTGAGAACTAACCTAATGGTGTTTCTCAAATGAAAACATCCATGAGTATCACTCAGAATTATTTTAGACAATGCACAGAAAACAATATTAATAGTTACATGTTTATTTTAATGTCGATTAAATATAATAAAATTAAAGCAATCATAACAAGCTTATGAGTTTATCACTATTAGTTAAAATAAGGCTAAGATAGGTAATTAAAATTAAAATAAGTTTAAAGAAAAGTATTAAGTAATATCATTGGTGACATCTGCATATAACAAAAACCATAAGAAAGTGGGGCTTGATAATTGAAATTTGGGAAATACTCTGTAAATTACCTCCTTTAGATAATTTCACATTAAGCCTAAATCTGAGTAGGAATAAAAAGATTTGTCCCTCATTAATTCACATCAAGCAGACTGGGAAGGTGGACTTAGGGGAGGCAGCCTCCTGGCCCTGCTGAAAGGTACCCACAGACAGGAGCACACACTGCTGAGATATAAGGCTAGGCTTGTTTCAGCAGCACAAATGATTGGGAGTTCTGCCAAGAATGAAACAGACTATCCCGCAGCTGTTATCTCATTTGTATGAGTAATATGAAAAACACTGCACAATTTAATATGCCATCTTATACTTTTATTCTTATCTCACCAGTAGGGCAGGTGATGATGGTATACACGTTCGAAAGCCAATGCAGACTGGTACAGAGGGAGGGCCCCAAGAAATGATGTTAGCTGCTATCTGAGCTGAATAAAATGACATGAGCATGGATATTATTTTATAAAGGCAATCTCACTTGTATCTTTGCCAGTGAGATCTTAATCACAGCATGCAATGGAAGTGAATACCTCCTTTCCTGGTTATCTGGGTGCAGGATGACTGCCTCACCATCACTGGGAGAATGGTTATCTGTTATTTCACTTGTGAGAGACCAACAAGAACATTATCAGGGCATTTGTAACCAAACGTGTGTGGCTCCAAATGATAATGGAAGGGGAAAGCGGCTCATCTCCAAGGATATGGAGATAATGCCACTTGTGGTGGGAGGAGATGGATGGTATTGTTGAAAGTGGTTTCAAATATTGGGAACTGATTAAGAATCTCTCACAGCAGCTCAAATTTTGGCTCAGGAGAAGAGATAAATAAATAAGAGGACGTGGGTGAAGAAAGAGACCCTGGATGAGCGAGTGATCATCTCAACCCCTTCAACCTTAAAAGAAATGTGGTTAAATAAATCTTTCATGACTCTCTGTATCTGAAGATGAACTACAGCAACCTTCAAACTACTGAGGGACACAAATAACATTTTTTCTTTCTCTTATTCTCAATCTTATTTATCTTTTCTTATTTTCTTTTTAAACAGCCAAGATCTCAAATAAGCTTTCAACAAATAAAACTGTTAAGACATTAAACAAAAAAGACGGGTTTGGGGGCACAAATTCTTTCCTGTAAAAGACACTAGAAAGAGGCTCCCTACTATAATACAGAAAGTTAACCCCAAAATAATCCATTCCTGTAATTTATAAGAATAAATAACAATGTCAGGTTAAAGAATCAGAACTCTACAATGGCATTTCTGTTAGGCTCAACTGCCTTTGACTTTTCACCAGTTTTTCCTGTGGTTGGGAAAAATCTATTTTTTTTTTTTTTTTTTTTTTGAGGCAGGGTCTCACTCTGGCACCCAGGCTGGAGTGCAGTGGAACAATGATAGCTCACTGCAACCTCGAACTCCTGGGCTCAAGTGATCCTCCTACCTCAGCCTCCGTAGTAGCTGGGAGTACAGACACGAACCATCATGTCTGGTTAATTTCAGGGATTTTTTTTGTTGAGACAGGGTCTCACTATGTTGCCCAGGCTGGTCTCAACTCCTGGTCTCAATTAATCCTCCTACCTCGGCCTTTCAAAGTGCTGGGATTACAGATGTAAGCCACAGGGCCTGACCCAAAAATCATTTTTTTTCTCTCCCATGAAGTCTGAAGTCCAAAGTGTTAATGCTCTGACTTTATTTCTTTTTCTCTCTTTCTCTTTTTTTGTTTCTTTTTTAACTTCACTTCTATCTCAATGGAATGATTAATCATGAAGATATTACTTATAACATTCAAACAAAACAGAAGTTTATTTAAAAGTCAATTAATTCCTCCTACCCTCAAACTCTCTCCCTTGAGGTAACTAATGTCAGTAGCTTAAGGTAATTGTTTTCATAACTTTTTTTAGGCCTCAATAATACACTTAATTTTTCCCTATAATAGAGATCCATTCAAGTCAATAAATATAAATCCAAGTCATGCTTTTTACTGGCATTATAATATTCTGTATGGTAAATGTATTGTAAGTTATTCAGTCATCCCCAAAATGATGAACATTCATGTTCTCCAACTCACAGTCTTTTTTATAATCACTGCTGCAATAACTACCTTTGTATTTTTCTTTTATGTATTACTACCTTTATTTCTCTGAAATAATGAAATTATTGGATCAAAAGATACGTGCATTGTTATTTTTTTAAATATGTTTAAATTACTTCTTAATAAGGTGCTAGCTACTCACAAACCTACAAACAATAAATGAAAGAGCTAATTTTCCCCACACCACCTCAAGCTTTGGCAATCGTCAATCATTTATGTTTTGCCAATCCACTGAGTAAAGATGGCATTCCATTTTTTCAATTTTCATTTTTCTGATTTCCATAAGAAGATCTTCCCCACCCCAGGAGCATATATGTTAATACTTGGAGGTTTTTTTGCATTCTTAATTTTATTTTGTTAAATTCCATAAAATGGAGAAATAGGATATACCTCGACGTGATCACTCAATTGGTTTCTGGAGATGTGGTCTTCTTGATATCACTCTATCATAACCTGGTTTTTTCAGCCCAAGCAACAGGCAAATAAATAATTCTTCCATCCCTCCTCCCAAAAAACAGTCAGTAAATATCAATAAGACAACTGAACTAAATAAAGTATACATCCTTTAGGGAAGGTGCAAGAAGTAGCATAAAAAATAGAAGAAGCAAGCTGTCAAAAGTCCAGGACATTGACACTCAATCCCCACATGAGTGTCTAGACCTGATCCACCATTGAATCCCCACAGCAGCCCTCTCAGGGACTTGTACAGATTAAACACTTCAACAAGTATGCTTTTACTGGTTAGATGGATGGTTGGATGAATGGTTATCAAATAAAACTTTAACAAGCACATCTCCCACTAGAAAATTAACTAAGAACAAATGTGAAGGAATTAGTGCTCAAAATTAAAACTCCTACAAATATAGTCTATATGCAATTAGTAGTTTACATTTCGCTCATCTATGTAACAAAATCTATCTCTCAATTCATTCACAGCATGATTAAATTGCTTTCACAGAAACGTTTTCCACTTCAAGTAACAAAGAACTCTTAAGTAGCAGCCATCTGAGGTGGAAGTCATCGAGCCCAAAGGAAATCTATTTACCCTGTCTGGTCACTGAATGGCAAAAATGAGTCGCTCCTGATATGATTGTTGTGACAATATTAGAAACTGTGATACTACAGATGGCAAAAGGCTTTCTATACATTTTCACATATAATTCCCACACCCATTCTACAGATGAAGAAACTGAGTTCGAAAGAAGTTAAATTAATGGCCTGGCCTGAACAACGAAACCAAGATTTAAATCAAGGGTTTTCTCTCTGTGAATCCCATTCTCTTGTCACTTGAGTAAATATATTCACCACCAACACCACAAACCTCATTCCCTAGCAAAGATGGAAAATAAAATTACGTGGTTATTGTCCCCTAAAGGGATAGTTACTTTTTACCTTCCAGGGATCTACACTTGAGCTTGCTTCTCTTTTGTCTGTTTGATAAAACCCACAGATTATCTTTAAATGGCACCAGAATCTTCGCCTTCCAATACATGGGTGTAGTTGAATTTTAAGCAGCAGAGACTTCTGTTTAAGCAACATATCTTACACCACGGTTACACCTCCACATTAGGGAGGTAGGAGGGGGACTGAACTCAGTCAAGTGAGGGATTCTTCTGAAATAATTGTAACAAGTAAGAATGTTGGTCCATGAACTCCAAGTGTAAAAGAATTATGACTTTCTATCAGTGAGCTTTGGGCAAGGTGGGGCTAGGGTGCAGCTATACATCTTCCTGGCATCTGTTGAAATGTCTTCACTACCGATTTGGGTGATCAGACCATGCAAGTCACTGCTGGGCCATTCTTGACTCCCAACACAAGCCTCCTTTGGATCTGGCCTCTTCTACCTCCCACCCCTCTGCCACATTCACTTCACAATGATACCCAGGACACTCAATGTGGCCCTGTCTCTCTCTCTCTCTCTCTCTCTCTCTCTCTCTCTCTCTCTCTCTCTGCATTTCTAAGCCCACAAGCATCCTCAGGAATGGATATTCTCTTCTAGGCTACCCTAGGCCCTTTGCACCCCAACCCATAGCAACTCCCAGTCTTGGGTCTTGCCCTTCCCTAGTTCCTATCAAGGAAAGAAAACCCCTAAACCAGTAATTCTCAACCAGGACTGTTCCCATCCCCCATGGGATATTTTGGAAATTTGTGGACGTATTAATTTGTTGTCACAATTATGGGAGTAATATTACCCATGAATTTCATTTTACTTCAGGATAGTAAAGAGAACTTCATAAAATATTTACTACATAAAGGAGTTGTTAGTTTTAATAAGGTTGAGGATCACTGCCTTCAACTGACTGTTCTTCTGTCCTCTTCCCAGGATACACTGAAAAAGGGTAACCACAGAGTCCTATGTTCTTGGGACCCTCACCCTCTTTTCACTCCCACTTACCCTCAGCTCTCCCTTCCTCCAGTCTTGGAAAATCCTATCCAATACTAGTGTACAGAAAGCCCAGTTGTGACTCCCTCTGACTTCACTATTCCTTGAAGCCCTTCACAGTCTCAGTGTTTTACACCCAAAGCCTGGCCAATGTTTCTGCTGTCATTTGCCTTCCCTGAGGCAAAGCTGCTCCAGGGTCCAGCTGCCCAGATAGGGCAAGGGTCCCCAGGTAAGGAATGGAATAGGAAAAACACGCCTGCTAGTATTTCCAATGTTATTCCACCACATAATCAAGAAAATACCTGATTACCAAGTGGTCATTTGAACCAGGTTCCAGAATGGTTTTATGGCCCCATCACGACCACAATACAGGATAGTTACTTAAGTGTGTACAAAGCTACTAGATGAATCTGACATTGCTAACAGCTGCAGCACCATCAAAAAATAGCAGACCCCTAACCAAGAGGATTTTATCAAGCATCAGGCTTGCATCTCCTTACCCTCTTCACCCAGAGAGCTCTTATTGGCCTTCAGGCCCTCGCCACAAACTCTCCTGATCCTGTTTACACAGAATCAATTGTTCTTGCTTCTGCTTCCCCATGGCACTTTTTAGAGTTCAGATCTAATGTGTTACATGCAGTAAGAGCTGTAGGTTTACCTCTGCATGTCTCCCTCTAGACTCTGAGCTTCTTTTGGGCAGAGGCCTTGTCATATTCACTCCTAAATTACCAAACTTCAGCATTGTACCCCTAGTTTAGCCCCCAGCATCCAAGGACTAAAAAAGAAAAAAAATCAATCTAGTGCAATAGGCAGGACAGCTCTGAACCCATCTAAGAAATAACATGTTTCTTAGTGTTTCTGACCACATAAATGTGAGTCAGCCCCAGCTACAAGGGTTGATGGGGAATTTTGGGAGATTCCTCACCCCACTTCTTGGGATCACCCAGGGAGTCCTGTGAAAATTCATGCAGCCCAGAATAATTGAGGCAGATATCTTGTTGTTGTTCCAGGTGCAACTGGCTGGGGCCAGCATCACAGGTGGTAAAAGAATTTACCAAGACAGTCATGGGTAAGAAAGGCAGATTTATTAGAGAAAGTACAAAGATAGATGGCAAGAAAGCAATGGGCAGCACAGCACAGAAGGGACTGTCTGCCAAGAGACAGGGGCTGGAGGGAAGTTTTATAGGGTAATACTGCAGGGGCTACATGCAGATAAGGTGTGCAGATAAGGTATTGCTGCTGGGGCTACAAGCAGAATGAGGTATTTTGGAACAGAATGTTTTGCCAGTGGGTTGTCTGTGATTAGCAGTCACTCAGAACAATTGTTCTCCCCGAACTGGGACCACTTCCTTGTTGTTGCTTACTTATTAGGACTCCAGAGTTTTTCAGTTCCTAGTGTAATGGATAAACTACCTAATTTATAGAGCCCAGTACAGAATAAAAATGCAGGGCCCCTTGTTCAAAAAGTATGAAGAATTTCAATATGATGACAACAGAGCATGAAACCAAGCAGGAGGCCCTATACCACTGCACAGGTCACATGCCCATGAAGTCAGCTCTACTAGTGGGTATCCCTCCCATACTCCCAGCTCCAGAGCACAGGTGGTCTGTTCAGAAGCATGGGACTTCCCTGTGCCCTTGCCTGTTATAATGGGAGCCCATGTCCTGAGGTCACAGTGCCCAGGTCTACCCCCATGGGCATACAACTGGGACACTGCCTAAGCAGGGGCTGGGTGTCTGCCACACAAGAAATGCATTATCTTCCATCTCCCACCTCTCAGAATGAACTCTTCCTGTCCCTGGCCCACAGAAGTCTTTCATCCCCAGAGAGCAAGCCAGTCCCCTCTCCAGGCAGAAAGACCACCCTCCCTTTCTCCACTTCAGAGCCTTTTCCTTGATAAGCCTCTCCTTCCTAACAAAGGCCTGAGGTGGAGTATTTTTCTTCACAGAGGCCCCCTTAAATACAAAGAAGTGGTGCAAGAGGATCCTAAACCCAGAATATAAACCAAAGGGACAAGGTGGGCAACTCAGCCTCATTGTAGGGAGATGACGGTGAGTTATAGGTATGAGGAATGAACACTCAACATGTCATCCAAAGGGGTGACGATGGTGGTGTGCTAGTAAATGTTTAACTGGCTTACTGAGAGAAAAAAAATCTGACTTATAGCTTTTCGTGGTATAAATACTCTCATCATGGCCGACTTCAGTGTTCTCAACCTACCAATGTAAAGCTGCTGAACATAGAACTGCTGAGCACAAATCTCTCTCAAAGGCCAGAGAGAGCCAGTTCCAGCCTACCACAGAGCAGCCACCACTGGCTGCAGCCCAGTATTAGCATGTGGACTGAGGCTGGCAGATCTAAACTTTTGAGAGACTGGAAATCAAATTTTCATGTTTGATGTCTTTGTTTCTAAATATTGGCTACTAGTTCAAATCTCTTTCAAACACTCTGGAGGTTAAAGTCATGCAGGCCCATGTGTCCCTGAGTTTGGAATCCTGACCTGGCCCAGAGAACTCTCGTGAGGAGATGCAAAGGGAAGTTTTGCCTATTGTCCTTCATATCTTCTACATTCGAAAACAAAATATTAACATTTCAAAAGATTACCCTACTCTACTGGGGCTCTCTCTTGTGCATTCACCATCAGTCTCACAGAACATTCTGGGGCTTGTGATTCCTCTGCCAGAACCATTCCCAGACACCACAGTGAAAGACCTAAAAGGTAGAGACTAATTCTTTGGTATCTCTTCAATGATATCCACAATATTGGGAAAGTATGAAAATAACTGATGGCAATAATAATGGTTGATGATGAAATGATTTAAAGAGCATGAGTCTCCAAGTTTGCTGGACCTTCAGGCCTCTGTTTTGGCCTTTTCCTCATCTCCTGTCATTTTTGATGATACTTTATGTATATTCCATGTCAATCAGCAGCTCCAGGAGATGGATGGCTATGGGAGCAAAGATAGCAGGTGGAAGCATTGAGAATTTTCTCTTGCCTGCAGCAGATACATTTTTCAAGCCTGAAACATCACATAAACGGAATGATTTTTTAGATGTCTTTTATTTTCACTCACTTACTTTTTGTGAGTTTTTTTTTTTCAATTGCTCATTTTGCTTAAGGAGCCTCAAGGCTAGAGTGCAACCGAGTATCATTAATTAAAATATTTAAAATTATAGCAGTGGTGACAAAGCTCCCAAATAAGCCCAGGCAGCACAGACAGCAAACACAATTATTATCCATAATAACAGCCAAATCATCACTACCGCTCTCTATTCAGAAACAATGCATTCTTCCCAAAGTGCTAAGTGGCTGTGACAATGAGCAAATCATGACTACCTAAAATGGGACTAGACAGGATCTCTGGGGTGGTTCTCGATCTTTGAGGAAACCTTGCCATTTCTTCTCCCTCAGCCTCTCCTCACATGAGGGGTTTGGGAGCAGAAAGCTGCTGTGTGACAGCCACCCACTTCCCTTCACAGCTTTTCTCCAGGAGCCCAGGAGGATATGTGGCAGTGAACCACCCAGGGCCAGGGCCTGGTGTGTCAGTGGGTACACCATAAACATGTTAATGCTTTTCCTGCACCTGGAAGACCCCTCTGTAGGAAATGATTCCCATAAAATAAGTCTGCAAGAGTAGAAATGGTAATAATTTATGTGTAAACTTTTAGATACAGGAACATGTAGAGGATTACCAATGCTATCCCAAATGATGAAGAGAATTCCCTACCCATTTATTCATTTATTTATTCATTCATTCATTCAAAATTTATTGAGATCCCAGTATATGCCAGATTCTGGGCCAGGTCTTTTTCTAGGCACCCAGGGGTACTGAGGTGGAAAACTTGGTCTGCATCTTCAGCAAGGTCAGAATTTAATGGGAGATATGCAGACAGTTACAATACAGTGAAAGGCAAATGGGATGCGAGCAAAGCAGAAGAGTACCCAACCCACTGCAGGAAGAAAACTAAGGGGGCATGGAGAACTTCCCATGGCAGGAGATGTCTAACTTGAATTCTAAAGGTACTCATAAAGAATGCTATTGGTGCCCCTTCCATATCTCCTTGGCACTTAACATGTCCCTGAAGTCCCAATTTCCAACTTCCAACTTCCAGCCCCTGCAACTCTGAGCCCTAGGGCTTCCTTCAGCTGCCACATGAGCTCTGCCTGCTGGAGTGGCAGACAAGAAGTGCCGAAGAATTAATCCTTCTTGGAGGCAGTCCTCCACTAATGGCTGACGGAAGTTAGTGGATATTCTAGGAACCTCGTCCCACAGGTAGAATAACTCAGAGTACAGATCTACACTGTTTCCCAGAGTTCCCCAGAGGGATTAAGTCAGTTGCCCGTAGGAATAACATGCTTGCTCGACTGCCTTTACTTCCCTATCTCTTACCAGTGCACTTCCCCAATCTCCTGCCAGTGTCTCATGGGATCACCTCTTAAAAGAACTACTTGCACTAAAAATTTGTGTCTCATGAGTTACAGGGAGCAACAAGGCAGAGGCAGGACACAGATATGAACTGGGTAAGGCTGAAGTACAGTTAGATGAGAGAAGAGCTGGTCCCTGCAATAGTGACAGCCAAGGTTACAGATGCTTCTTAATATTTTGTTTTGTTTTTTCGGTCTGTGCCTTTGTGCAAGGAATACTCATATACACCACACATACTCAGGTTAAATATACGAAGTTGCTTACTTTGCTCCTTCATACCACTCTGGGTCTCATTCTGGTTTCCTCTTCTCATTTCATCCCATCTCAATTAAGTGATCTGGCTCCAGATACTTTTTCTTGGGGCAAGAGACCTGAAAGCCCCATATGACATCCTTATAGCCATTATTCTAATTCCAAAACCATTGGCACAAGAATCACTGGCCAGTCTCCAAGATGGCTCCCACTAACCCTACTGCACGCCAATATTCTTAGCTTGTGTAGTACCCTCTCACATTGTTTCAAGGTTGGTCTGCATGACAAAAAGAATATGAGAAAAACTGTAGCATGTGACTTGCAAGGCTAAGTTATCAAAGCTGTTGTGGTTTCTGCCTTTCCTTCACTCTTGGATCACTCACTCTAGGAAAAGCCAGTTGCCATATTGTGAGAACCCTCAAGCAGCTCTGTGGTAAGGTCTATGTGGTGAGAAATGAAGGCCTCCTTCCAAAGGCCAGCAGAAACCCGAGGCCTCCAGCCCACTGTTGTGTGAGTGAACCTTCTTGGAAGCAGACCCTTCAGCCAACCCCAGGCAAGTCTTCAGGATACTGCAGTCCCAGGCAGTATCTTGACTTTAACTTCATAAAACCCTCTGAGCTAGAACCACCCAGATATCCACTCCCAGATGCCTAACTCTCAGAAGCTGTGTTGTGTGAGATAACAAATATTTATTGTTTTAAGGCACGAAGCTGTGGGGTACATTGTTATGCAGCAATAGATAACTAACACAGTGTCACATCCCCACTTTTTACCCAACCTAACCTCACCTCTCAATCAAGGTAAATAAGAAAGGAGGAAAGGATTATACCAAGAGATGAAAGAGATTATAGCAAGGGTGTTCATTTTGGACACCCTGAGGAACATCCAAAAGAAAATGATAGGAGATGAGCATTTGGAAATACGAAGCTGATATCAATGCAGGAAAAAACTAGGGTTGGAGCTCCAGTATATACTGATGAGTTGTCAGATACGAAGTCAGTGAAGACATTGTTGTGAAAGAAAAGGCCCAGGAAGTGCATATGTGGTATAAATTGTTTAAATTTTCCCTCTCATAAACACTGGTACAGTGGGAAGGGGAAGGTAGAGTTACTCAGTTCTGAGAGTTGGGTTTAACAAGAAACTAAACCTATCATAGGTTTCTCTACTTTAAAGATTAAAAAGCTCAAAAATCCCGGGGAACGCCAGTATTAGCTACTTATTGCTGCATAGCAATTTATTCCATTACTTACTGGCTTAAAATAATGAATGTTTATTATCTTACACAGTTTCTGTGAATCTGAAATTCAGAAGCTGCTTAGCTGGGTGGTTCTGGAAATGTATACAAGAGCATTTATCATAATGTTGTTTATAATAGCAAAATATTAGAAACCATCCAAATGTGCAATAGGAAATGATCAAAAACTCTGTATCAGCTAAAAATGAGGTTTAAGAACTTTTGCTAACATGGGAAATTGCCCATAATATCACTGAAAAAGCATGTTGTAAAAGTATACAGTATGAACTCAATTTTATTAAAATTTTTAAGGTTTATTAAAAAACTAAAAGTGCATGTGCCAAAATGGTAATGGTACTTACATAAGTTATCTACTGATGAGTAACAGAGCACCTCAGAAATCAGTGGCTTAAAACAACCTTTAATTTGTTCATGATTCTGCAATCTAGATAGTTCTGCTGATATCTCCTGGGTTCACCTATGCAGTTGCAATCACTTGGTAGCTTGACTGAGATTAGAAACCAAAAAGGGCTTCACTCACATGTCTGGCCCCTCAACTAGGATGGCTGGAACAGCTAGGGCCTGTATAAATATCTCTTTTCCTTTTCCTTTTCCTTCTCCTTCTCCTCCTCCTTCTCTTCCTCCTTCTCTGTCTTGTCATCTCTCTTGCCCACTCTCACTCTCACTCTCTCTCCATGGTCTTTCCAGAAGGGCAGCCAGGCCTCTTCACACACATTGACTTATATAATTGTGGGGGCTGGCAAGTCTAAAATCCATACGGTAGGCCTGACAGGCTGAAAATTTAGATAAGAGTTATGTTGCAGTCTTATTTTTTTTAATTGACACATTGTAATTGTATATTTTTATGGGGTAAAATTTGATGTTTTGATACATGTATGTGTTGTATAATGATCAAATCAGAGTATTTAGCATGACCATCACCTTGTGCACTTAGCATTTCTTTGTGGTGATAACATTCAAAAGCCTCTCTTCTAGCTATTTTGCAACATTCCATATCTTACTGTTAAGCATCATCACTCTAATGTGCAATAGAACACTAGAACCTATTCCTTCTACCTAATTGTAATTTTGTACCAATAAATCAACATTTCCCCATCCTCCCCTCTTCTTGCCCCTCCCAGTCTCTGGTAATCACTGTTCTGCTCTCTGCGTCTATAATATCAACTTTGCCTTTTAATGTCCAATAATGAATGAATGGATAAAGAAAATGTGGTGTATATACACATAATGGAATATTATTCAGCCATAAAAAAGAATGAAATCCTGAAATTTGCCACAACATGTATGAACCTGAAGGACATAGTGTTAAGTGAAATAAGCCAGACACAGAAAGACAAATACCACACAATCTCTCTCATAGATGTTGTAGTCTTGAGTCTGAATTCCTCAAGGCAACAGGCTGGAAACTCAAGCCAGGCTTCTGTGTTGTAATATTGAGAGAATTATTTCTTCCGAGGAAAATCTCAATCTTTGCTCTGAAGACCTTCAACTGATCAGATGAGGATAATTTGTGTGACAGGTAATCTGCTTTACTCTAAGTCTACTGATTTAAATGTTAATCACATTTAGAAAATGCCTTCACAAAAACATCTACACTAGTGTTTGACCTAACAACTGGGCCCCATAGCCTAGTCAAGTTGGTGCATAAACTTACCCATCACACATGGCCAAGGCCTGAGTCATCATGGGAGGGGGCATGGATACCCAGAAGCATTGGTCATTAGGAGCCACCAATAGTAAATATATCTGGATGGCAGATTTTTCCTTTTCTTAGGTATGTTTTTCCTTTTCTTATGCATGTTTCAAATTTTCTGCAAAGAGCATGTATAACATTTTGGGACAATGATAAATGTTATCATTCACAGTCACTATTTTCAAAATGCAAGATATACAGAAAAGTACAAATCAGCAAATCACAAGAATTCTTATCAATCAGAAATGATCAGTGTTAACATTTGTGATCTTTCTTTAGACTCTCTCTGATACTTATACAGATGTTAGGATAGAAAGAGAGGGGGAAAAGATGAGAGGGACAGAGAGATTTCTAAAAATAAGATAATTCTATAAATGCTATTTGCTATTTGCAAATTTAATTTTTTTCTTGAATGTAACAGAAAAGAAAAAAAAAGGGAATTTGAAAAATTTATAGCGTATCCAATAAATATTTCTTCATCCCTAAGAGATATTACTACTTACAAATTACTCTAAGATTAAAAAAAAGAAAATATTATGAAAACCATTAGGAAGTTGCAGTTGTATTTTTTAAATAGAACTTTAAGTAGTGGACTAACTTGCTGTTACAAGCAGCATAGAGAGGATAATACTCTCACACTTCCACCTTCCCTCTCTCACCTTCCAAACAGGTTGGCTTTGCTTTGTCAGAATTTATAATAGTAGCATTCTATTCTACAACCATAATTTGCCTGGAAAAGTAGTTCTTTATTTAAATGAACTCAGTGCTCATCACCAGGCTTTTTTTTTATAGCCTTGCCAAACCTGATCTCATCACCAAAGAGCTTTGGCTTTATGCAAGCCGGTTTTGTAGATGTACCACTCCCACTGTTATTTCATATTTAAGACTGCTTATCTGTTGCCTTCATACATGGACAACTACTTGGGTGCATATAATTTTTTGAGGTCTCTCCAAACCTCAGAACTTTATAAACATTGCTCCATTATCTTTGAACACTGAAAATTACCATAGTGTATCTGAGGATGCCCTAATTTTTCCCACTGTCAGGAAATACTTTGTGCCTAGATGCCTCAGGAATACGTTCTTTATTCTTTAAGTTTAATAATTCAACCTAGAAAAATCCTTGGTGTCTGTCATTCTGAGTTTGTTTTTCATGGTATGCAAGGTACCCTTCCTAGCTGCAGATCTGAGTCTTCTCTGAATACTTCCTCTGTCCTTTTGTTGAATTCTTCCCTGCAGGGGCATCAATTACCTTATTTTGAATCACTTTTGTTTCTCTTCCTCTTCTAATTATTTAATCTCTTTTGCATGCAGTATGATTATCTCTAGCTTTCCTTTCATGCCATTAATTCAGTTTTTAGCTATGTCTATTCTATTCCTTGCTATTTTATGTTACTTTATTTCAATTCATTTCCTTAGGTCTGCAATCTCCTTTTACAACTCATTCTGTTGTTTTATCATCTCATCTTTGAGCCCTTGTTTTATTACATTTATATTTCTACTAATTTATTCTCTACAGGAAAACATTCATGAGAAAGCCACTTTTATCACCCAATTTATATTTCATCCAGATTGGGTTCTGGACTTTTCCATAACATGCCTGACTTTTCCATACCATGCCTGACTTTTCGACTAATTGATTTTCCTGTAGTATATCTGCCTAGTTGCTCTGTCATTTCTTTTCATCTTGCTTATGTTTAATGTAAGCATCTCTGTCTCTGACACCCTTCTCTCCCTAACTGGAACAAGTTCACCTTCCCCCACTTTGTACTTCATTCTGAGGCCTGGATGTTGTCAGTCTAGCCACTTTTCTGTAGCCTGAGAGAAGCCAGAGATCAGCTAGGAATTAGATCTGCTCTTGTTGAGGAATCTGTGCTCCAAGAGCACAGTGCCTTGTGTGTAGGAGACCACTAAATGCCTAAGACCAGGGCCCAGTGCCCAGTGCCCACAGCCGCAAGAGTGACCGACTCACCCCTTGGGCTTTGGCTCATCCTTCAACCAAGCCCAATGTCTTGGATGATAACAAGCTCTCTACCCTGATAGTAGGATTGCAAACTGATAACCACCTTTCCAGAAAACAGTTTAGCAATAGGTATCAATATCTTAATATTTATAACTCCAATCCAATAATGTCTCTTCTAAGATTCTAGTTGGAAAAAAAAGAGAAAATAAAGACTCACTTGCAAAAGAAATTCTTTGGAGCATCATAGATAATGGCAACAAATTGGAAACAAGTTAAATGTTCAGCATAGAGACATACTGTGATAAAGTTTGCAGCAAATAAAATAAGGTTTATGAAGAGCTTTTAAAGATATGACTAAATTCTTATTATACTATACTGAGTAAAAAATCAGAATACAAAATTAAACATATGGTAATATCTCAATTATGTTTTCAAAAGGAAAGGAACCATACCCAAGAAGAGCCACTAGACCAAAGCTCCAGGAGTGCAGGAACCATGACTCTTTTGTTCACTCCTATGTAACCAGAACCTAACATAGTGCTTGGCACGTAACAGACATACAATGAATATTTATGAATAAATGAATAAAATTAATTCAAAGCAAAAGAAATTTATCTCAAGTCTCAATAACAAGAATAATTTTGCTTCTGAATGGCTTTGATTTTATAGATTTGTGATCTTGCTTTGACTAGTTGAAACTATGACACATTTGATCTATCTGGATAGAGACTCTTACAAAACACATTTTGTATATCACCATCTCATTGTCCCTACCCTTATTTTCTCTTTGACAGGAATCATTTTTCAAAAAAGCAGCTTTGTTGATACATAATTTGCATACCATACCATTCACCCATTGTAAGTGTACATTTCAATAATATTTAGTAACTTTATAGCATTATCAAAACCTAATTTTAGAACATTTTCATCACCCCCAAAAATTTCATCAGGCTCATTTGCAGTCAATCTCTATACCCACCCCTACTCCAAAGAACCACTGATCAGCCCTCTGCCTAAATCATTGTCTTAACTGCATATTTCATATAAATGAAATCACACAATATGAAGTCTTTAGCAACTGGCTTATTTCACTTAACACTTTTGAGTTTCATCCATGTTGTAGCATGTATCAATACATCACTCCTTTTTATTGCTGAGGAGTATTCCATTGTACGGATAAACCAAACTGTGTTTAGCCAGTAGATGGACATTTGGATTGTTTCCACTTAGAGGCTTTATGAATAATATTGCTAAGAACACTCTCATATAAGTCTTTGTGTACACACATATTTTCATTTCTCCTGAGTAGACTCCTAGGAGTGGAAACACTGGCTCATATGGTATGTTTTTATTTAACTTTTTTTAAATGTCAAAGTATTTTCCAAAGGGGCTGTACAACTTTATATCCCACCAGCAATGGAGGAGTGTTCCATTTTCTCCACATCCTAGCCAACACTTAATATCATCTATTTTCCTTGATTGTAGCCATTCTAGTGGTTGTATAGAGATACCACATTTAATTTTTAATTTGTACATCCCTATTGACTAATAATGTTGATCACTTTTTCATTTAATTGGCAGCCACTTATATTTATTCTTTAATGAAACACTTAAGTCTTTGTCCATTTTTAATTGACTTTTCTCATTATTGAGTTTTCAGAGTTCTTTATATATTATGGATAGAAATCCTTTATTAAATATATTATATGCAAATAGTTTCTCCATGTCTGTGGCTTGTCCTTGCATTTTTCTTAATGGTGTGTTGTAAAGTGCAAAACAGTTTTCATCTTAATGATGTCTAATTTATCATTTTGTTCTTTACCTTAAGCTTTTGATGTTATATTCAAGAATTCTTTGCCTAACCCAGCATCACAAAAATTTTTTCTGTGTTTTCTTTTAGAAGTTTTCTAGTTTATCTCCTATATTCAGATTTTTTATCATTTCAGTTAATTTGTGTATTGTATAAGTGTCTAAGTCCATTTTTATTTTTTCAGATGGATATTTAGTTGTCCTAGTTCCATTTGTTGGAAGGACTATTCCTTCCTCATTATCTTGGTACCTTTTTTGAAAATCAATTGACCATAAATGTAAGAAATCTCAGTTTTGTTTCATTGATCTATATGCCTGTTCTTATACCAATACCACACTGTCTTGATTACTGTAACTTTATATTAAGCTTAGAAATCAGGTAATGTAAGTATTCCAATTCCTTCTTTTTCAAAATTGTGTTTGCTATTTTAGGTCTTCATATTTCCACATAAATGTTAGGATTTGCTTGATGCCAAGATACTGCTATAATAGACAATGTTCCAAATCAAGTAAGCCTCTTCTGGAAGTGGTATCAAAACAACTGGATTTCATGGCCTTTCCTACCCTATCCCGGATGAACTACTGCACCAGTAGAGCTGGAGTGAAGATGGGTGCAGCCCCAGATGAAAACATTATAGACTTTTACTGTTATTAACCACGACTCAGTAGTTTTCATAAATAAATGCTTTCGTCACTTTCCAGTAGACTAAAATTGTTGTTCTTTATAGTTGTGTTCAGCTTTATAGTTGCATTGGGAGGGAAACATCTGTTGACCCCCTCATTTAGTCATGCTAGAAATCAATCAGGAAAACTTTTCTTTTAAGGTTTATTTTGTTTTTAATTGACACATAGTAATTATACATATGTATAGGGTACAGTGTGATGTTTTGATATATGTATACACCATATAATGATCAAATTAGTGCAATTAGTATATCCTTTACCCAAATATTTATAATTTCTTTGTAGTGAGCACTTTCAAAATCATCTCTTCTAGCTATATGCAAATATGCAATACTTTATTGTTAACTATAGTCATCCTACTGTGCAATCGAACACCAGAAATTATTCCTTCTATCTAACTGTAACTTTGTAACCATTGACCTACCTCTCCTCATTCTTCCATTTCCAGTATTCTCCCCAGCCTCTGACACCTACTATTTTACTCTCTACTTCTATGAGATAAACCTTTTTAGGTTCCACATATGGGTGAAATCGCATGGTATTTGTTCTTCTGTGCTTGGCTTATCTCACTTAATATAATGTCCTCTAGGTTCATCCATGTTGTCTCAAACAACAGGATTTTATTCCTGATATGATTTGGGTCTGTGTCCCCGCCCAAATCTCATGTCAAATTGTAATCCCCAATGTTGGAGGTGGAGCCTGGTGGAAGGTGATTGGATCATGAGGACAGATTTCCCCTTTGGTATTGTTCTTGTGATAGTAAGTGTGTTATCATGAGATCTGGTTGTTTAAAAGTGTGTAGCACCTCCCCACTGCTCTCTCCCCCTTCCTCCTGCTCTGGCCATATGAAGACGTGCCTGCTTCCCCTTCGCCTTCTGCCATGATTGTAAGTTTCCTGAGGCCTCCTCAGGCATGCTTCCTTTACAGCCTGTGGAACCATGAGCCAATCAAAACTCTTTTCTTGTAAATTACCCAGTTTCAAGTATTTCTCTGTAGCAGGATGAGAATGAGTTAATACAATTCCTTTTTATGGCTGAATAGTATTCCATTGTGTAAACAGACACATTTTTTAGCCATTCATCTGTTGATGGACACATAGGTTGATTCCATATTTTGGCTATTGTGAATATTCATGCAATAAACATGGAAGTACAGATATCTCTTCAACATACTGATTTTATTTCCTTTTAGATATATGCCCAGCAGTGGGATTGTTGGACCATATGGCAGTTCTATTTTTTATTTTTTGAGGAATCTTCATACTGTTTTCCCTAATGGCTGTACTAAATTATATCCCCACCACACTATGTAAGAGTTCTTTCTCCATATTCTCTCCAGTATTTCTTATTTTTTGTCTTTTTAATAATAGCCATTCTAACAGGGATGATGTTCTCATTCTGGTTTTGATTTGCATTCCTCTGATGATTAGAGATGCTGAGTATTTTTTCATGTATCTATTGTCCATTTGTATGTCTTCCTTTGAGAAATATTTACTCAGGTCTTTTGCCCATGTTTAAATTAGATTGTTTTGTTTTGTTTTTCTATTGAGTTGACCTTCTTATATATTCTGAATATTAGCCTCTTGTCAGATACATACTTTGAAAATTTTTTCTCTCATTTTGTAGGTTGCCTCTTCACTCTGTTGATTGTTTCCTTTGCTGTACAGAAGCTTTTTAGTTTGCTATAATCCCATTTGTTTATTTTTGCTTTTGTTGCCTATGATTTTGCGGTCTTATCAAAAAAAGAAAAAAATCCTCGCCCTGACCAATGTCATGAAGCATTTCCCTTGTGTTTTCTTCTAGTAGTTTCACAATTTCAGGTCTTATATTTAAGTCTTTAATCCATTTTTAGTTGAATTTTGTATACGATGAGACATAAGGGTATAGTTTCATTCTTCTGCAGATGTGTAAATATCCAGTTTTTTTAGCACCATTTATTGAAAAGACTGCCTTTTCCCCAATATGTGTTCTTGGCACTTTTGTGGAAAACCAGTTATTTGTAGGTGTGTGAATTTATTTCTGGGTTCCCTATTCTGTTCCATTGATCTGGGTGTTTGTTTTTATGCCAGCCATGCTGTTTTGATTACTGTAGCTTTGCAGTATATTTTGAAGTCAGGTGGTGTGATGCTTCCAATTTTGGTCTTTTTGCTCAAGATTGCTTTAGCTATTCAGGGTCTTTTGTGGTTCCTTATGAATTTTAAGATTGTTTTTTCTAGTTCTGTGAAGAATGTCATTGATATTTTGACAGAGATTGCATTGAATCTGTAGGCCACTTTGAGTAGTATGAACATTTTAACAATATTAATTCTTCCAATCAATGAACACGGGATATCTTTCATTTATTTGTTTCCATTTCTTTCATCAATGTGTTAACATTTTCATCGTAGAGATCTTTACCTCCTTGCTTAAATTTATTCCTAGGTATTTTAATGTTTTTTAATTTTATTTAGGTTCAGGGGTACATGTGCAGGTTTGTTATATGTAAATTGCATGTCACAGGGGCTGACTACACAGATTGTTTTGTCACCCCGGTATTAAGCATAGTACCTGATTGATAGTTTTTTTACCCTCACCCTCCTTCCATCCTCCACCCTCAAGCAGGCCCTGGTCTCTGTTGTTCCCTGCCTTGTGTCCATGTGTATTCAATGTTTAGCTCCCACTTATAAGTAAGAACATGTGGTATTTGATTTTCTGTTCCTGCGTTAGTTCACATAGGATAATGGCCTTCAGCTCCATTCATGTTGCTGCAAAGGACATGATCTCATTCTTTTTACAGCTGTGTAGCATTCCATGGTGTATATGTAGCACATTTTCTTTATCCAATCTATCATTGATGGGCATCTAGGTTGATCCCATGTCTTTGCTATTGTGAATAGTGCTGCAATGAACACATGTGCACATGTTTCTTTAGGGTAGAACAATTTACATTCCTTTGGGTAGATATCCAATAATGGGATTGCTGGGTTGAATGGTAATTCTCCTCTGAGTTATTTGAGAAATCTCCAAATTGCTTTCCACAGTGGCTGAATGAATTTACATTCCCACAAGCACCATATAAGTGTTCCGTTTTCCTTACAGCCTCACTAGGATCTGTTATTTTTTGACTTTTTAATAATAGCCATTCTGACTAGCATGGAATGGTGTCACATTGTGGTTTTGATTTGCATTTCTTTAATGATTAGTGATGTTGAGCATTTTCTATAAGCCTGTTGGCTGCATGTATGTCTTTTTTGAGAAGTGTCTGTTCATTTCCTTTGCCCATTTTTTAATAGGGTTGTTTGTTTTTGCTTGTGAATTTGTTTAAGTTCCTTATAGATTCTGGACATTAGACCTTTGTTGGACGAATAATAGTTTACAAAAATTTTCTTCCATTCTCTAGGTTATCTGTTTACTCTGTTGATAGTTTCTTTTGCTGTGCAAAACCTCTTCAGTTTAACTAGGTCTCATTTGACAATTTTTGTTTTTGTTGCAATTGCTTTTGGTATCTTCATCATGAAATCTTTGCCAGGGTCTATGTCTATAATAATATTTCCTAGGTTGTCTTTCAGGGTGTTTCTAGTTTTAGGTTTTTACATGTATGTCTTTAATCCATCTTGAGTTGATTTTTGTATATGGTGTAAGGAAAGTGTCCAGTTTCAAATATGGCTAGTTAGCTATCCCAGCACCATTTACTGAATAGGGAATCCTTTCTCCATTGCTTGCATTTGTCAACTTTGTTGAAGATCAGATGGTTGTAGATGTGCAGCATTATTTCTGGGCTCTCTATTCTGTTCTATTGCCCTATGTGTCTGTTTTTGTACCAGTATCATGGCATTATGGTTACTGCCACCTGGTAGTATAGTTTGAAGTTGAGTAATATGATGCCTCTGGCTTTGTTGTTTTTGCTTAGGATTGCCTTGGCCATTTGGGCTCATTTTTTATTCCATATGAATTTTAGAATAGTTTTTTCTAATTCAGTGAAGAATGTCAGTGGTAATTTGATACGAAGAACACTGAATTTGTAAATTTCTTCAGGCAGTATGGCCATTTTAACAATATTGATTCTTCCTATCCATGAGCATGGAATGTTTTTCCATCTGTTTATTCATCTCTGATTTCTTTCAGCAGTGTTTTGTAATTCTTGTTGTAGAGCTCTTTCACCTCCAGGGTTAGCTGTATTCCTAGGTATTTTATTCTTTTGGGGGCTATTGTGAATGGGATTGCATTCTTGATTTGGCTCTCAGCTTGGATGTTATTGGTGTATAAAAATGATACTGATTTTGGTACATTGATTTTGTATCCTGTGACTTTGCTCAAGTTATTTGTCAGACTGAGGAGCTTTTGGGCAGCAACTATGGGGTTTTCCAGGTATAAAATCATATCATATGTGAAGAGAGATAGTTTGACTTTTTCTCTTCCTACTTGGATGCCTTTTATTTCTTTCTCTTGCCTGATTGCTCTGGCTAGGACTTCCAGTACAATGTTGAGTAGGAATGGTGAAAGGAGACATCCTTGTCTTGCTCTGGATTGCCAGGGAAATGTTTGCAGCTTTTGCCAATTCAGTATGATGTTGGCTGTGGGTTTTTTTATAGATAACTCATTATTTTGAAGTATATTCCATCAATACCTATTCTATTAAGAGTTTTTAACATGAAGCAGAGGTTGAATTTTATTGGAAGCCTTTTCTGCATCTATTGAGATGATTATGTGGTTTTTGGTTTTGGTTCTATTTATGTTGTTGATTTGCATATGTTGAAACAACCTTGCATCCCAATGATAAAGCCTACTTTATCATGGTGAATTAGCTTTTTGATATGCTGCTGAATGTTGTTCGCTAGCGTTTTGTTGAGAATTTTTTAATCTATGTTAATCAAGGATACTGACTTGAAGTTTCTTTTTTGTTGTGTCTCCACTAGGTTTTAGCATCAGAATGGAACTACCCTCACAGAGTGAGTTAGGGAGGAGTCTGTCTTCCTCAGTTTTTTGGAATAGAATAATTGCCCAATGGGTTCACCTTTCCTAATGCCTAGACAGAGCTGATCTATCAAGACATGGGAATTGCAATAGAAAAAGTGTAATTCAAACAGAGCCATCTGTGTGGGAGACCAGAGTTTTATTATTACTCAAATCAGTCTCCCCAAGCATTCAGGGATCAGAGTTTTTAAGGACAACTTAGTGGGTGAGGGGAAGCCAGTGAGCCAGGAGTACTGATTGGTCAGGTTAGAGATTAAATCATAGGGAGTCAAAGCTGTCTTCTTATGCTGAGTCAGCTCCTGAGTGGGGGCAACAAGATTAGATGAGCCAGTTTATCAATCTGCGTGGTGCCAGTTGATCCATTGCAGGGTCTACAAAATATCTCAAGCACTAATCTTAGGAGCAGTTTAGGGAAGGTCAGAATCTTGTAGCCTCCAGCTGCATGACTCCTAAATCATAATTTCTAATCTTGTGGATAATTTCTTAGTCCTACAAAGACCGCCTAGTCACCATGCAAGAAGGAGGTTTGTTTTGGGAAAGGGCTACTATAATCTTTGTTTTAACCTATAAACTAAGTTCCTCCCATAGTTAGTTCAGCCTATGCCGAGAAAGGAACAAGGACAGCTTAAAGGTTAGAGCCAAGATGGAGTCAGTTAGATTAAATCTCTTTCGTTGTCACAGTCATAATTTTGCAAAGGCAGTTTCAATAGTTTCAGTAGGAATTGTACCAACTCTTTATACATTTGGTAGAATTTGGCTGTGAATCCATCTGGTTCTAGACCTATTTGGTTTAATAGGCTTTTTATTACTGATTCTATTTCTGAATTGTTTACTCATCTGTTCATGGATTCAGTCTCTTTCTAGTTCAATCTTGGAAAGTTGTATATTTCCAGTAATTTCTCTATTTCCTCTAGGTTTTCTAGCTTGTGTGCACAGAGATGTTTGTAGTATTCTCTGAAGATTTTTTGTATTTCTGTGGGGTCAGTGGTAATGTCCCCTTTGTCATTTCTGATTGTGTTTATTTGAATTTTCTCTCTTTTTTCTTTATTAGTCTAGCTAGTTATCTATCTAACTTATGTATTTTTTCAAAAAAAACCACTCCTGGATTCATTGACTTTTGTATGGTTTTTTGCATCTCAATTTCCTTCAGTTCAGCTGTAATTTTGGTTATTTTTTTATCTTCTTCTAGCTTTGGGGTTGGTTTGCTCTTGGTTCTCTAGTTCCTCTAGTTGTGATGTTAGGTTGTTAATTTGAGATCTTTTCAATTGTTTGGGTGGGCACTTAGTGTTATAAACTCCCTCTTAACACTGCCTTAGCTGTGTCCCAGATATTCTGTTATGTTACATCTTTGTTCTTATTAATTTCAAAGAATTTCTTGGTTTCTGCCTAATTTCATTGTTTACCCAAAAGTCATTCAGGAGCAGGTTGTTTGATTTCCTTGTAATTACACAGTTTTCAGCAAGTTTCTTAGTATTTATATCTATTTTTATTGTGCTGTGGTCCAAGAGTCTAGCTGGTATGATTTCCGGGGTTTTTTTTAATTTGCTAAGGATTTTTATATGTCTGTGTGATTGATTTTACAGTGTGTGCCATGTGCAGATAAGAAGAATGTATATTATGTTGTCTTTGGATGGAGTGTTCTGTGGATGTCTATTAGGTCCATTTGGTCAAATGTCCAAGTTCACATCTTGAATATCTTTTTTCTGCCTCAGTTATCTGTCTAATACTGTCAGTGGGATGTTAAAGTCTTCCATTATTATTGTGTGGTTACCTAAGTCTCTTTGTGGGTCTCCGAGAACTTGTTTTATGAATCTGGGTACTTCTGTGTTGGGTGTGTATATATTTAGGATAGTTAGGTTTTCTTGTTGAATTGAACCCTTTATCATTATGTAATGCCCTTCTTTGTCTTTTTTGATCTTTGTTGTTTAAAATCTGTTCTGTCCGAAGTTAGAAGAGCAATCTGTCCTTTTTGCTTTTCTCCATTTGCTTGGTAGATTTTTCTCCATCCTTTTACTTTGAGTTTCTGGGTGCCATTGCATATGAGATGGGTCTCTTGAAGACAGCATACCACTGAGTCTTGCTTCTTGACACTCTGTGCCTTTTAATTGTAGCATTTAGCCCATTTACATTCAAGGTTAGTACTAATATATGCGGATTTGTTCCTGCCATC
Organism: Homo sapiens; assembly: GCF_000001405.40. Classification (NCBI taxonomy): domain Eukaryota; kingdom Metazoa; phylum Chordata; class Mammalia; order Primates; family Hominidae; genus Homo; species Homo sapiens. Next base: position 135,730,397 of record NC_000003.12, read on the forward strand.
ATGTTGTTAGCTGGTTGTTATGCAGACTTGCTTATGTGGTTGCTTTATAATGTCACTGGTCCATATACTTAAGTGTGTTTTTGCAGTGGCCAGTAACAGTCCTTCCTTTCCATGTTTAGCACTCTCTTCAGGACCTCTCATAAGGCAGGTCTGGTGGTAACAAAATCCCTTAGCATTTGTTTGTCAGAAAAGAAACGTTATTTCTCCTTTGCTTATAAAGCTTAGTTAGGTTGAATATGAAACTCTTGGTTGGAAATTATTTTAAGAATGCTGAATACAGATCCCCAGTCTCTTCTGGCTTGTTGGTTTTCTGCTGACAGGTCTGCTGTTAGCCTGATGGGGTTAATTTTGCAGGTGACCTATCCCTTTCCTCTTGCTACCTTTAAAATTTTTTCTTTCATTTCAACCTTGGAGAATCTGATGACTATGTGTCTTAGGGATGGTCTTCCTGTGTGGTATTTTGCAGGAGTTTGCTGCATTTTCTGAATTTGAATGTTGACCTCTCTCATGAAGTTGGGCGGGGGTTGCAGTTGTCAGACAAGCCTTATCCTTGCTGGGTTGGCCGTAATCTGCTGTCCATGTACTTCCCAGGGAAACATGGGGTTGTGCCTGCCTTCAGAGTTCAGGCAGAAGCAGGACTGCTGGGCTTGCAGCTCTAAACAGGCATGGCTTTCATGGCTACCAGTGGCAGGTTTGGGTAGAGATGCATGCCCTACTGTCCAGGTGCTTCCCAGGACAACAGGTGGCTGAACCCACCAGCTGAGTTCACACAGAAGTGGGACCACTGGTCCAGAAACTCTAGCAGGCGTTGCCTGCCTGGCTATCAGGTGTCTGCAAACTTGCGTCCAACAGGCTACATAGTAAATATTTTAGGCTTAGAGGAACAATCCCCAGCCTTTTTGGCACCAGGGACCAGTTTCAGTTTCATGGAAGATAATTTTTCCTGAATTCTGCAGGCAGGCACAACCCCATGTCTCCCTGGGAAGTGCATGGACACCACATTACAGCCAATCTGGCAAGGGTAAGTTGTGTGCCCTGCCATCTGGGTGTTTCCTGGAACAGGAGTCTGCAGTCTCCAGCTGAGTTCTCACAGAAGTGAGACCACTAAGCTGGAAGGTCTAGCAGGCATTACCTGCCTGGCTTCTAGTGGCAGGAGTGGATGAAGCCACCCACCCCTGCCATCCAGGCATTTCCCAGGACCACAGGAGGCTGCCTCCTCCAGCTGAGTTCATGCAGAAGTGGGACCACTGGGCCAGAAGCTCTAGCAAGTGCTGTATGTCTGGCTACCAGCTGCAGGGGTGGGTGGAGTTACATGCCCAGCTGTCCAAGTGTTTCTCAGGACAACAAGAGGCTGCACTCTCCAGCTGTGTCCACACAGAGGTGGGGTCGCTAGGCCGGAAGCTCTAGTGGGCATTGCCTGCCTGGCTACCAGTGGCAGGGGTGGGTGGGGTCACACATCCTACCATTTGGGTATTTCCCAGGACAACAGGAAGCTGCACCTTCCAGATGAGTTCATACAGAAGTGAGATTACTGAGCTGGAAGCTCTAGCAAGCTTTATACTCCTGGCTACCAGTAGTAGGGGCAGGTGGGGTCATGCACCCTACTGTCTGGATGCTTCCCAGGACAACAGGAGGCTGTGCCCCCCTGCTGAGTTCACACAAAAGTGGACCTATTGGGCCAGAAGTTCTAGCAAGCATTGCCAGCCTGGCTACCAATGGTGGGGGTGGGTGGTTCAGGCTTCAGCCAAGTTCAGGCTGAAGCAAGACTGCTGGGCTGGAAGTCACCAGCCCTGTTTGCTGAGGAGGGATGAAGCAATCTTACTGTTCCCAGGAACTACAACTGCAGCCTCTGTTGGGGCTATGGCACCAGTTCTGGTCTTTTCCAGGGATCAAGGCCTGTAAAGGTCCCCATGGACTTGAGAGTTGCCCTGCAAAATGTCCAGATGCTTTCTGCCTCAGTCTAGAAGCATCGGGGAAGGGAGTTGCTGGGGGCCCAGGGAGATTCTTCCATTTCTTGTCTAGCACAGGTGCCTGTGGAGACCGTGAATCTTCCAATCTTCCTGGGGCCTCTCACTCACTCACCTTTTCCCACGTCAGAGAGGTTCTCCTGGCACCACACTGAGCCCAGACAGGCTGGTGCTCAGCTTCACTTCTCTCTTCTGTGTCCCCTTGCTGCTTGGATGGATCCCAACATGGTTTCTCAGATGATCAGCCTAGAGGGTCAGCATTCACTAGCCATTTTTGTTTCTTCTCCATGAGAGCAGTGTACATGAGCTGCTTCTAGTCCACCATCTTGACCCCTTTCCAATTTTTTTTAGCCATTGTAAATGGAATCGTTTTCTTGATTTCTTTCTCAGATAGTTTGCTGTTGGAGTATAGAAACACTACTGATTTTTGTATGTTGATTTTGTATCCTGCCACTTTACCAAATTCATTTATTGGTTCTATTAGTTTATTGGTAGAATCTTTAGCGTATTCTATATGTAAGATCATGTCTTATATATAGAATACTCTAAAGGGACAATTTGACTTCCTTTTTTCCATTTTGGATGTCCCTTATTTCCTTCCTCTTTCCTGATTGCTCTGGCTAGGACTTCCAGTACAATATTCAATAGAAGTGGTAAAAGTGGGGATGCTTATCTAGTTCCAGATCTCTGAGGATAAGCTTTTAACTTTTCCATGTTAAATGTGGGGTTAGCCATTAGTTTGTCATATGTGGCCTCTATTTTGTTGAGGTATGTTCATTCTAGACCTAATCTGTTGAGGATTTTTTAATCATGAAAGGATGTTGATTTTTATCAAATGCTTTTTCTATGTCTGTTGAAATGATCATATGGTTTTTTCCTTGATTCTGTTAATGTAATGTATTACATTTATTGATTTGTATATTTTGAGCCATTCTTGCATCCTTTTGATGAGTCCCACTTGATCATAGTAAATAATCTTTTTAACATGCTGCTGGATTCAGTTTGCTAGTATGTTGCTGAGGATTATTGCATCCATATTAATCAAGGATATTCCCCTATAATTTTCTTTGGTTATTGTTGTGTCCTCATCTGGTTTTGGTATCAAGGTAATACTGGCCTCCAATAATGAGTTTGGAAGAATTCTCTCCCCTTCAGTTTTCTAAAATAGTTTGAGAAGGTCCATTATTAGTTCTTTTTTAAATGTTTGGTAAAATTAGCAGTGAAGTCACCAGGTTCAGAGCTTTCCTTTGATAAGAGACCTTTATTACCAATTTAATGTTGTTTTCTTGTTATTCATCTGTTCAGATTTTTCTATCTCTTTGTGATTCAATCTTGATAGGTTGTATGTGTCCAGAAATTATTCATTTCTTCTAGTTTTTTTTAACTTTTTGGCAGGTAGGTATTTACAACAGTCTCATGTGATCCTTTGTATTTCTGTGGTATCAGCTGTAATTTATCCTTTTTCATCTCTTTATTTATTTGAGTATTTTTCCATTTTTCTTAGTCTAACCAAAGGTTTGTCAATTTTGTTTACCTTTTTAAAAAACTAACTCTGCTTCACTGATCTTCTGTAATTTGTTTATTTATGCTCTGATCTTTTTTTTTAATCCACTAACTTTTGGTTTAGTTTGTTCTTGTTTTTCAGTTCCTTGAGGTGCAAGATTAGCTTTCTGAATTGAGGTCTTTCTACTGTTTTGATGTAGGCATTTATTGCGTAAATTTCCCTCTTAAAAGTGCTTTTGCTATATTCCACAGATTTTTGGGATATGTGATTCCATTTTCATTTGTCTCAAGAAATTTATTTAATTTTTTTAAAAATTCATGTATTGACCCATTACTTTTTCAGAAGTGTGTTGTTTAATTTCCACATATTTTTACAGTTTCCAACTTTCCTCCTGTTATTGATTTCTAGTTTTGTTCTATTGTGGTAGGAAAAAATACTGGTATGATTTCAATTTTTTTAATGTTTAAGACTTGTTTTATGGCCTAACATATGTTCTATTCCAGAGAATGTTCCATGTACTATTAAAAAGAATGAGTATTCTGCAACTCTTGTGTGGAATGTTCTGAAAATGTCTTTGGTTTAGAGTGTGGCTTACCTTGACGATTCTTTGTTGATTTTCTGTGTGGATGATATGCACATTGCTAAAAGTGGGGTGTTGAAGTCCCCTGCTATTATCGTATTGCAGTCTATCTCTCCCTTTAAGTTTATTGAATATTTTCCTTATATATTTATGTATTCCAATGTTAGGTGCATGTATACTTATAATTTTTATATTATCTTTCTGTACTGACCTCTTTATATAATGGTCTTCTTTGTCCCTTTTTACAGTTTTTGGCATAAAGTCTATTTTATCTTATCTACATATAGCTACTCCTGCTCTTACTTGGTTTTCCTTTGCATAAAATCTATTTTCCCATCCCTTTGCTTTTGATCTATTTATGTCCTTCCAGGTGAAGGTGGGTTTCTTGTGAGGAGCATATAGTTGGGTCTTTGTTTTTTAATCCATTCAGCCATCTATGTCTTCTAATTGTAAAATTTAAATCTTTTACATTCAAGGTAATTATGGATAGGTAAGGGCTTTAGTACTGCCTTTTTGTTACTTGTTTTCTAATTGTTTTGTAGATCCCTTTTTTTTTAACCTTCTTCCTCTCATACTCTCTTCTTTTGTGATTAAGTGATTTTCTCCAGGAGCATGCTATGATTCCTTGCTTTGTAACTTTAGTGTCTCTATTATAGGTTTTCACTTTGTCATTACCATGTGGCTTACAATAAGCATCCTATAGTTATAACAAGTTATTTAAACTGATAATCTAACTGATCACAAAGGGAAAAAAAAGAAACAAAAAGAACTGCACACTTCAACTCCATTGTCTTCCAATATTTTGGATTTTTGATGTCACAATTTATATCTTTTATATTGCCTGTCTCTTAACAAATTATTTTAGTTATTATTTTTAATTGTTTTCTCTGTTAGTCTGCATACTAAGGATATAAATGATTTACACATCACAATTACAGTATTAAAGTATTCTGAACTTGTTTGTATACTTACTTTTGCCAGTAAGTTTCATACCTTCAGATGTTTTATTGTTACATGTTAGCATCCTTTTGTTTCCATTTGGAGAACTCCCTTTAGCATTTTTAGTAAGATAGGTCTGATGGTGACAAATTTCCTAAGCTTTTGTTTTTCTGTTCTGAAAAACAGTTTTGCTGGGTATGATATCCTTGTTTGACAGGTTTTTTCCTTCAGCATTCTGAGCATATCATCCCACTCTCTTGTAGTCTGCAAGGTGTATGCTAAGAAGTTTGCTGCCATATGTATTAGAATTCCTTTATATGTTATTTGTTTCTTTTCTCTTGCTGCTTTCAGAATCTTCTTTGTCTTTGACTGAAATAGTTTTGATATATGTCCCCACCAAATCTCATGTTAAAATGTAACCCCTAATGCTGGAGGTGGGAACTAGTAGCAGATATTTGAGTCATGGGGGCAGATCCCTCATAAATGGCTCACTGCCCTCTCTGTCATACTGAGTGAGTCTCACTCTATTAGGTCACATGAGAGCTCATGAGAGCTGATTTTTTTAAAGAGAATAGCACCTTCCTTCCACCATCTTCCTCCCTCTCTTGTCATGTGACATGCCTGCTCCCCCTTCCCCTGCTGCCATGATTAAAAGTTTCCTGAGCTCTTGACCAGAAACAGATATGGCACCACACTTCTCACACAGCCTGAAAAACCTCTTTTCTTCATAAATTACCCAATCTCAGGTGTTCCTTTATAGCAACGCAAAATAGACTAACACATTGACCTTTCAGAGTTTGATTATCCTATGCCTTAGGGTAGTCTTATTTGGGTTGTATCTGATTAGTGAACTTTAGTCTTCCTCTACCTGGATATGTATAACCTTTTGGATATAAATAGTTTAGAAAGTTTTCTGTTATCATTTCATTGAAGAAGCCTTCTACACCTTCGTGTTTCTCTGCTACTTCTTGAATTCCAATGATATGAATGTTTGCTTTTTTGAACATAGCCCGTAGATTCCATAATCTTTTTTCATCCCTTTTTATTATTTTGTCTTTTTTTTATGTATTTTTAAATAGCCTGTTTTTTGAGGTCACCCTTTCTTTCAATAGCTTGATCAATTCTGCTATTTATACTGTCTTTGAATTTTTATTTCATTCATTGTAGTTTTTACATCCAGAATTTGTTGTATTATTTAAATCTCTCTGTAAAATTTCTCTAATAAATTTCTGAATTGTTTATCTGTGTTTTCTTGAAGTTCACTGAGCTGCCTTATCACAGCTATTTTGAATTCGTTGTCTGACAGAGCACACATCTTACCCCTTTAAGGTCTGTCACTGGTGCCTTGTTTTGTCTGTTAAATGAGGTCATAATTCCCAGATTGTTCTTTATCCTTGCAGACATATGTTGATGCCTACGCTTTGAAGACTTAGGTATGTATTCCAGTCTTTGTAGTCTGCTTGTGTTTGTGCCCATCCTTCTTGAGTGGGCCTGCCCAACGATCTAAGCCGGTTGACCTTTTTCAGAGTCAGTGACTACTGGAACTATTTCAGCAGTAGAGGGCGCCCTAAGCTCAGATTCTCTATAAGTCTAGCTATAGCTTCAAGGTTGGTGCGGCACCTCGACCCAGATGAACTTGGGGAAGACTCAAGGAGGATACCCAGGTTGTGTAGGAAAGCTAACCAGGGACCCAATTCTGCAAGTCTGTCCCATGTGCCCAACAGGCACACATTTACCAGAAGTTTATTGTATAGGTGTGACAGTTCCTTGATTGCTGAGAGAGGGGCTGGAGCCAAGAATGAGCCCCCTCAGAATTCACCATGGGACAGAGGCTGACAGGCTTGCCCCATTGTCCCAGACTTGCATACTTCCCGGTGACTTCCTGCATGGGCAAGAGGGTTCCCCAATTGCAGCAAAAGGAGACATAGCTGATACTGTGCCCCCTCAGGATTTGCTGTGGAATGGTGGCTGGTGGGCTCCTCATAGAAGTTTAGACAGATAGGTAATGCCCCGTCTTTAAGATAAAGACAGCTTTCCTTCTGAGACCAGCTGAAGAGGGCTGGAGCTGAGATACAGGGTGACCTTCAGATCCACTGCTGAGATTGATATCAGCGGACAGACAAGCCTTCCTGCCAAGGCATTAATGTGCATGATTCCTCCCGGACTCCTTGGAAAAGAGTTTTGGTTGAAGGCTCAAGGCCAAATGGGCCCATGGCCAAGCTCTTTGGGGAATTAAGCTGTTTCTGGATTTGAACCTGGGAGCATGATTGTAGGGTCTGCTACCTTGGTGCTGGCATGCACTCTCAGAATGGCCTTCCTATGTCTTAGACTCCACTGAGGTTTCATAAGCTCCTATCTGAATTCCAAGGCTCCCTCTAAGAGATTGCGTTCTGTAAATGGGTACAGAATTTTTATTATTGTGGGGCAATATAAGTGGGTTATCTCTGATGCTGCCATCTTGCTGACATCATCAGCTCCAAGAAAACTTTTTAAAATCTGTTTTGTAGTATATGTATTTATTCTCCCCTCAATTCATCTTAAAGCCCTTTTCTAACAAGGAAGGAAGAAAAGGAAAAACAGGAGACAGCAAGAAAGGAAAGAAAGAGTTCCCCAAGCAAGAACATAGGGAAAAGAATTTTTGAAGAGATTTTACTGGTTTTTCCTGTTTTTTTTTTTTTTTATATATATATTTTCATTTACCATTTTGTAATTTTAACTTTGTGTTTTCTACTATTCATTTAATGTTTGGATAAGTAATAAACGTGTGTGGTTCAAAAATTAAATTTAAAAGTGTATATATGGAGTCTGCCTTTCAATCTAATTCTCACCCCATCCTTCCCCTGGCTGCTTTTAAAATTTATTTATTTTATTTATTGATTTTGTGTACTGCCATGGTTTTTTCATGGAAATGCAATCATATATGAAGATATGTTCTTGATTCTCTCCCTTTTCTAATAGAAGTCAAAATATAATACATACACTGCTTGCTCTTGCTTTTTTCACTTAAAAATAGATGCTGGAATGTTTTCCGTATCATTCCAGCATTTCCTCATCCTTTTACTCAGCTGCATTGTATTCCATTATAGATGTAGCATAATTTATTTGAGCAATTCTTTATTGATAAATCATACACAGGAAAATCTCTATACATAATCTATGTCATACACAGGAAATCTCTATACACAATCTATGTGAAGGGAGGTAAAATCCCTTCTGCTCTCAGCGTTCCCCTATGCCAGCTGGATGAGGGAATACGGATGAGGGAGTGTGGTTCTTAGCTGGATGAGGGAGTGTGGTTCCCTCCAGCCCTTTTCCCAGTCACATCACCCCAGCCCCAAGTGGGGTCACCAATTAAAATGTGATAAGAATGGGTGGATTAGGAAAATCCTGAAAACCTAGCCACCTTTGTCAACCATGGAGAACTTCCTCCCCGGTAGCCTAGCCAAATCTGAGATCTCCCAGATCTTGTACACACCTGAAGATGTGTTTCCTGATTCACAGTTGTAAAAGAAAAACACCTTTATAACATAGGACAGGCTAAGATTTTTACCTTTATAATAATTATTGTAAAAGATACATATTACTTTCTTGACATCTGTTGAAGTTAAGTAAAGGTTTCTATAACAGAAAAGATGTTTGGGTGAGGCTGACACTATATTTATTTCTGTAAAAACTCGTTCAAACCCATATTACTATTGAGGGGTGGGTAAGGGGGCTATGTTAAGACTGCATGTCATTGGCCACCCACTCCTCCGTCTGATTCAGGATTGGACGTCCAGCCCAAGGAGCACCAAGCTTTAACTGGCCAGGAATTTATACATGTTTCTCAATCAATAATTTATTCCAGAAGACACAGAGAACAGAAAGGTGTAGTGGGCACTTGAACTGAAAAGTGATGTACAACATGACTGAGGAAACATCTGCCCAGGAACAACATTTCTGAGAGTAAATTGAAGCAAAAGCCCTCTCCTTGATAGCAACCTAAGGCCAATCCTCCCTTCTGGATCAACTTCAAAGCCCTTCTTTAGCTAAGGATGTAAATGACTCGACTGCTCAAGGCAAAGAGCATTTGTACAGGCAGCAATGTCACAAATGATCATCAAACACAGTATTTGTTCTGCCTATCAAGATCCCAGCATAGTGAGGGCCTCTTAGATGCACCCTGTATCCCCCTTTTCACCCCCGAAAAGACTGGTCCTCCTCTGCCCTTCAACTGTCTCTCCTTTTTGCACTCCTTTAATTGCACTTGTTTTTGAAGCCCACAGAATTTATTATTCAGAAAACAACCTTCTCTGCAATATCAACCTTAATTAACTGTGTTCTTTTTCTATCGCCTCCCACCCTCCACTTTATGCATTTGAATTAAGGCACTCCAGAGCCCCTGGCCAGCACCCCTCCCCCATCACACACCCATCAGAGTCTTACCATCCAACCATGACCAGATAAGGGAAAATGGAATTTCTTGTCTCTGGCTGCCAATGTGAAAGGGTCAAGGTTACCAAGGAGAGACCTTCCAAAAAGAAGGAGAGAAAAAAGGAAGCCAAGCCTCCCTGGTTTCCATGGTAACAGAAGGTTGAATCATGGTGCATCCCCGAGAGCCTGGCCTGCTTAGCTCTGCTGACATCTTTCCACTTCATTAGCCTCTTTATCAAGTGACTCTGCATAGGACTAAGTGTATTTTGGTGTCAGGGTACACTGCAGATGATTCAAAAACAGGGTGACCTTTTCCACTGATCCCCAGTGCCTTCTGGGACCACAGACACTTACACCCCGCCTCCTGGGTCCTCTTAAAGGCTTGGCTTGCTCTTCACTCTTTCTAATCAAAACTCTGTCACCAAGAGGCCCGGAGGTGCCCTTACCCAGCAGCCCAGGAAGCCAGGACCCCAGCTGTCAGTGATGCACAGCACCCGAGCCAGGAGGAAGATTAATGACTTTACCCACAGAAAATGGATAAAACGGGCCCCAAAAAGACAATAAACGCAGGGCAGGCTGCGAGGAAGGCTCTGACAGTAACAAATACTGACTGACATCGCATTGTGTTCCCTTTCTAGATGACTCAGAGCTGCCAGTGGAAACATAGATTCATTTAATAAGCACTTCAGTGAGACAAAGGGACCTTTGGGGGTTAAGATTGATCTCCATCTCATGTGTGTGCACTCCAACGTACGTGTGTGTGAGAAGGAATGTCCGTACTCAGTATTGTCCCTTTGGAAATCCAAGGAGCATGCTGCAATTTCCCAATCTCGTCTCCATGCTTCAGCAAATTTGTCACTGGTAGAGTATCTCAGCCATGAAAATTCTCCTGCAACCAAGAGCCCAGGGCTGAAAGAATCAGTTAGGAGACTTAAAACACCTTTGATAAGTTTGACCTCTCCTTCAGGAACCCTGTACAGGTCTATGTCCAGGGGAGGAACTTCCTTCTCCTCTTGTACACAGGCTGCAATGCTTTTTACCCTAGAAGCATGCTGGGCCAAGTGGCAGACAAAGGAGATAGGAGCCAGGGAAATGAGACTGACAAGGAGTTTCTGGGAGAGCTGGGGCTGCCTTGGTTTTATTTTGTTTTCTTCCTTCCAAATTAATTCACAAATGCTGTGTTGCAGAGTCCAGGGAATCTGGTTCCCCTGTCCCAGTGCCAATACCAACAATTGTGTGATATTGAAGGTGTGACTTCCTCTCTCTGGGCCTCACATTGCCCATCAGAGGAATTAGAGGGCTGGATTGGGTCATGGCTAAGATTCCTTCCAGGTCTCTCCAGAGCAGGGGTCAGCCCTAACTGCCTTGTCTCTTACACCCATACCCCAGTACTGCCTCCCTCCTAAATCTTTTTTTAAATCCCATTTACTCCACACTATACCCACCCTCAATGCCCTGGCTCTGAACCCGGTCAGAGCTTCATTATCTCCTGCTAGACTAGTACCATGACCTCCTACTGGACCCACAGAATTGCTCTCTTCCCATTCATTCTGCAGAGCAGCAGTTCTGAAAGTGTGGCCCCAGGCCAGCAGCATCCGTATCACCTGGGAGCTTGTTAGAAACGCAAATTATTGGGCCCCACCCCAAATCAAACATTTTGTGAGAGGGCCCAAAGATCTGATTCTCCCAGATCCTTAGTCTGGACTCCTCCGGGCCTCTCCAGGTCCCCATCTCACCACTCCCTTCCTTGGAAAATATTTACTCTCCAGTAACCCCAAACTTGTTATTTCCAAATACACCATGCTGTGTCATACCTCTGGCCCCACATAAGTCATTCCTTCTAGCTGGAACAGTCCTATGACCAATCTTCACTTTGTAGGGCTAAGTGCTTCTCAACCCTGTCAACTGAATAACTTTTGACATCCTTCCAAAGGCACCCCTACAGATAATAGCCCTCCAAAAAGACTTCCCTGGCTTCTCCCACCTCTAAAACTATGTACTCCTATGATTCCTTGTGTATGCCTCCAAAATAGCACATGCCACTTTGCATAGTAGGCAGGATTCTGTGATGTCCCAAAGATTTTCCATACACCCCCTCCCAGTGTACATAATTTCATAATTATGCGCTGCATAATTTCTGGGCCAATGATAATGATAGAGGCAGGAGGCAGAGAAATTCTAGGCAGACTGGGGACAGGTCTCCAGTGAAACCCCACCTTTGAGCCGAAAAGCCTGAAACCCACGGCCCAAAGTGAGAACTTCTATCCCTGTTTGCCGGCTCTCTCCCAGTTGGTTCTTTCTGAATAATGTCTTTTTACCAGTCAAATGTTCCCTTTTCCAAAACTACCTATGGCCCACCTCGCCCCACATGCTGTGCCTATAAAGACCCCAGAATCAGTCAGTAAAGGAGAGAGAAGCAGCTTGACTGGAGAGAGGTGACTTGACTTCAGAGGGACAACTGGACTTCAGAGGAGAGACAGCTTAACTTCAGAGAGATTGCTTAACTACAGGGAAGAGCTGACTAGAGACAGCTGGACTTTAGGGGAAGATTATCTGCCCGTCTTGTGCCCTCTCCAGCTCCCCTCTCTGCTGAGAGCCATTTCCCATTGCTTAATAAAATTATCCACCTTCACCATCCTTCAAGTGTCTGGGTGACCTCATTCTTCTTGGATGCCAGACAATCAGGACCTACCAAGTGTGGGTACCCAAAAAAGGCTGTCACACTGGCCCTCTGCCCTCACTAATGGAGGGCAGCCACTCCATGCAACAAGGCAAGGGGCCCACTGAGCTGATAACACACCACTGTCCACAGACAGCAGAGCTAAGAGAGCATTGTAACACATCCCCTGGGGCTTCGGGGGTTGCAGGCTCCCCCAGCGGGGCACCGACATCCCTTGAGGCCCACATAGAACCTGCTCCTGCTGGCGCCTTAAAGCACCCAATCAGATCCCGCATTCACTCACTCACATGCTCCCTCCTGCAAGAAGTTGAGCCCAGTAAGCCAAGTAAACAGGGCACCCCCGTTGCAAGTCTGACAAAGGGGTCAAGAAAAATCCTTCATCAATTATAATGGATTATAGTCCTGTAATTACATTATGTTATATAGTATATGCTATTTGGTTGACCTTAAAATAGGAAGATTAATCAGGTGGTCTTGACCTAATCACAAGAGTGCTTTAAAAACAGTGCTTTCAAAACAGTACTTTCTCCAGCTGGTTGCAAAAATAAAAGTCAGAGAGATTCAACATGAGGAAGATTCTCAGCTGCTGAGATGGAGGGACCCTTGGGCAAAGATCTAAGAGCAGCCTCAAGGGGCTGAGAACTGTCTCTGGCTGACAGCTAACAAGGAAATGGGGACTTTAGTCCTATGACCTTGAGGAACTGGATTCTGCCAACAAGGATGAGCTTGGAAGTAGATTATTCCACAGCCTCCAAACAAGAAGTCAGTCCAGCCAATACCTCCATTTCAGCCTTCTGATGCCCTGAACTTGATATACCATAATGGGTTTCTGACCTACAGAAATGTGAGCTAATAAATCAGTATTGTTTTAAGCCACTAAATTTGTGGTGACTTTTTGCACAGCAACGGAAAACTAATACACCTTATATTGTAATTCTCTATTTGCATAGCAACTCCCTCACTGACTGAGCTACTTAAAGATACTGCTGGCTGGGCATGGTGGCTCACACCTGTAATCCCAGCACTTTGGGAGGCCAAGGTGGGCCGATCACCTGAGGTCAGGAGTTCGAGACCAGCCTGGCCAACGTGGTGAAACCCTGTCTCTACTAATAATATAAAAATTAGCCGGGCATGGTTGCACACACCTGTAATCCAGCTACTTGGGAGGCTGAGGCAGGAGAATCCACTTGAACCACGAGGCGGAGGTTGCAGTGAGCCAAGATCACGCCATTGCACTCCAGCCTGGGTGACAAGAGGGAAACTCAGTCTCAAAATAAAAATAAATAAATAAATAAATAGAGACCGCTTCATTAATTCTTGCATCACCAGCAACTTTCTGGGGCACGCCCAGAGGAGGTTCATAGTAAATGCTTACTGGGTGAATAGATAGATAGACAGGTGGATAGATGGATGGATGGATGGATGGATGGATGGATGGATGGATTGGATGGATGGATGGATGGATGAATCATGGAGCATGTGATACCATTGTTCCAGCAGTTGCTTTAAATATGGGGGGAAATGTAACATAAAAAGGGGATAGAGTATATAAATAAACAATAAAAACCAGGATGAGACAGTGATTTTTTTGTCCCATCATTGATTTTTGCAGCATAGAGGACTTTTGCTGGTTAACACTGAGTGTCAACTTGATTGGATTGAAGGATACAAAGTAGTGATCCTAGGTGTGTCTGTGAGGGTGTTGCCAAAGGAGATTAACATTCGAATCAGTGGGTGGGAAAGGCAGACCCACCCTTAATCTGGGTGGGCACAATCTAATCAGCTGCCAGAGTGGCTACAATATAAGCAGGCAGAAAAATGTGAAAAGAGAGACTGGCCTAGCCTCCCAGCCTGCACCTTTCTCCCGTGCCGGATGCTTCCTGTCCTCGAACATCAGACTCCAAGTTCTTCAGTTTTGGAGCTTTGACTGGCTCTCCTTGCTCCTCAGCCTGCAGACGGACTATTGTGGGATATTGTGATCATATGAGTTAGTACTTAATAAACTCCTCTTTATATATATGACTATTCCACCAGTTCTGTCCCTCTAGAGAACCCTGACTAATACAGGCCTCTTTATCTGTTAGGAGTTTGTCCTGCATTTATCTCTTACAGCTCAACATCTTATAGCATTAAGCTAAAGACACGTGCCCTTGTCAAGCAAGTGAGACCTGTTGCATATCACCAGGAGCGGCAGTATCAAAATGTCAACACACTGCATGGTTTGTAGATGTCAAGATTACCAAGAAAGACACAACTCCCAGAGGCACTGGTTGGAACAGCATCTTAGAGAAAAGACAGAGCAAGGTCAGCTTCAATAGTGACCATTGGTCTCCCATGGCCAGTAAGCCAGCCCTGGAGCTGATGCAGGGAGATTGTCTGCATGCACTCCTCTTGTATTAAAGGCAAAGGACTGTGTTGTGAACAGATATAGCAGTGGGATTGCCAGGTGTGGTGCCACATGATGCATATACTTAAGCAAAACAAAAAAGTTAATATCAAATCCAGAACAGGGAAAGATACTCCTAAACAGGGCAATCAGTCTAGCATAGGCTGTGACGGCTTTTTATCGCTATATAAGAAAATGTTCCAGGTCTGACGACACACTCATATGCAACCATGCAAGGATCAATGAGGCTGCATGTGACTGCCTTTTCCAGCCCCGATATGGACATCTATTATTGCTGTATCTAACTCCTCCTTCTCTTTGAGTCAATGTTGCCCTGTGTGTAATGCTGGTAGGGTTCAGTACCCAGCCTCTTACCTCAGAAGTCCAAAGGTTGGGGGTTCTGCCTGTATGTATTCCCTGGAAATTCAGACAGATAGACCCCTTATCCAGAAGCTAGAGTGAGTGGTATGAAGACTCTGGGATAGTCAGGTTTATTCCTGGCAGCCATAATGGTATCTAATTCCTGGTGTCTAATGACAGGTCAAGCGCTACCCTAGAGAAGCAAAGGATGCTTCCTGGCCCAGTTGTCCTAAGAGGGTTCTTAACTCAAGCTCTCAATTTTT
Source organism: Homo sapiens (assembly GCF_000001405.40). Taxonomy (NCBI): domain Eukaryota; kingdom Metazoa; phylum Chordata; class Mammalia; order Primates; family Hominidae; genus Homo; species Homo sapiens. The sequence goes on from NC_000003.12 coordinate 135,745,489, forward strand.
GTCCATATTTCGTACTGATTCTTCAGCATCTCATTGAATCACTGAAACCTCAATAGATTTCTTTTCTGCTTAAAATACAAAGAGTTGGTTTCTGTTGTTTGCAACCAAGAACCCTGACTGATACATACTCTGATCATACTGAACTGACAGCCAAGTGTTTTTCCTACTTCTAAAAGTCTCCAGAGACTCTATAAGCGCCCTCAGTTACCTGTTGTACCAGTCAAGGTTCTTAGGTGTGGACAAAAGAACACTCCCTAGCTGATTTAAGAAGAAAATGAAATTATTAAAAAGTGTTGCTAGTTCTCTGGAGTGTCTCCGGGAAGCCCTACAGCCAGGAACAGTGGATCAATCACAGTATCCTCCAGATTTTTTTCATGGGGTCCCCATCAGCATCCCCACTGACACAGAAACCACAGGTCCCACCCACAGCACTGAGCACTGTGTGTTTCCACAATCAACTCTGTGATTGCTGCATCTAGATGCTAAATATCTATGTCCCTTCTCTCACCAGAATAAATTCCTCTGGACACCTGCTTCCTAGCATCACTGGCTTCCTAACTGAAGCCAGACACAGGTGCCTCTGGTCAGGAACTTAGGCTTGCATTCTATACAAGGGAAGCTTGGAAAGCCCATTTCTGGCTTTCTACTTGAGGCACAGACTCAGTAAATGAGAAATTCCCCAAACTTAGAAAGGGTGTACAAGAGTGCTGGGCACCCAAGTGGCTTGACTGATATCCTGTTCATTGCAAGTAGCTTGACATCTGTTACAGTGTGAGAAATGCCTGGCATCCAAGAAATCCTTCCTAGAAGCTAACAAAGCACCTGCCTTCTGCAGTGCTCCAATTTAACCAGTCCTCTGTGTGTCATCTTCAGTGAAATCCTACAACAGCCTGCCACTGTCTTCCAAATGTTTGAACACTTACGTTCAATCCCCCTTAACTTTCATGTTATTCTGGTCAAGAAGCAAGAATATTTTCTCCTTCTCTTTTCCTTATGACTCCTTGGAGTTTTAGTTGCCTCTAAAGCCAGTCTCTCAACTATTCAGACCTCTCTTCAATTGCTCTAAAAGTCCCACTCTTGTACTGTTCTCTACCAAATTACATAACTGTTTTCATTTTCTCTCTTCATGCTATATCCCCAGTTCATATCCTTAACTACCTTCCCCAGTGAACAGCATCCCACATTGCCCAGGCTTATCCAACTCTGGTAGGTCATGCTGCCTCATGGTCAAATCACAAAGAAATTTCACTGTGACCTGGCATTATAAGCTGTTCAGAGCTAAAAACACAGCAGCCCCTCCACCCCACTGCATAGCAATAGTACATAGCCAACTAAAAGGTCTCTGGAATAAGAGGGGCTCAGAGAGAATGAAAGTGGGCACACTACCGCCATAGAAGGAAACTGTCCTCCAAAGACTTACACTAGCTGCATGACCTCAGGAAAGATACTTTACCTCTCTGAGGTTCAGACTCCTCATCTGAAATATTGAGATAATAATAATATTTGCCTCATAGAATTGTTGAGAGGGTTAAAGGACATGACGAATCTACATTGCATATGGTTAAGTGCTCACAGATGGCACCTCATAGAGATGACTTGGAGACCCAAAGAGATCAAGGATATAAAAACACTGTAAACTAGACAAGCCCCACAAAATTTCAGGTTGTTATTAACATCATTGCAATTAATATTATTTTATAAACTGAATAAAAATAAATGGTTACACCCTTGATAAATTAAATTCACTTTCTGGCAGGGTGCTAGTGTGTTTCCATATTGCCCTAAAAAATGAGGAGTGAAAAAGCATCCAATATAGACAAGCCCGGAATGGTTGAGCTACAGAAACTCTCAGAGTTGGTTTTCAACTCTTGCAATTTACAGAGGTAGGGACTGAGGGGATAATACCTTGCCCAAAATGGTCAGTGGCAGACCACAGATCAGTGCTCCCGCCCCTGTAAACATCACCTTGGCAGAACAAGGCTTTCACGCCGGCCTTCATGGACCAGATGGTGCCCTCCCGCACCCGCCCACACACCATAGCAAGGCTCCTAAAGGGGCACTCAATGTCCAAACCACCCAGAAAAGCAAGTCTTACAGAAGCCAGAGTTAGTGAATCCTTAAACATCATTTTAAGAGCAAGGAAATGTCCACACCAATAGTGCCTCCCGGACTCTAAGTCTAACCTGCCTTGTATTAATCTCTCTAAGAAAGGTGAAAATGGGAATAACAGTTTGAGAGTGAACTTTGGAACTGCTATTATCATCAACACCATACTGAGAACTAGCCTAACAGATCCCTAAGAGCCACGGTGAGAGTTTGTAAGAGGAGTGGGGATAAAGCAGAGTTAAATATACATTGACAAGAAGAGCAGAAAAATCCTGCAAAGATCCTGATATGATAAGAGATTATTCCATATCAAAGTCCAGGGTGGGGGCCACAGGGGATGTATGAGGCTCCCTGGAGGGAAAAGTTTATGAGTTAAAGAGTGGGCTTAGCCAGCCGGGCATGGTGGCTCACGCCTGTAATCCCAGCACTTTGGGAGGCCGAGGCGGGCAGATCATGAGGTCAGGAGATAGAGACCATCCTGGCTAACATGGTGAAACCCCATCTCTACTAAAAAAATTACAAAAAATTAGCCAGGCCTGGTGGCAGGCACCTGTAGTCCCAGCTACTCGGGAGGCTGAGGCAGGAATGGCGTGAACCCTGGAAGCAGAGCTTGCAGTGAGCTGAGATCGCACCAGTGCACTCCAGCCTGGGGGACAGAGCCAGACTCCGTCTCAGAAAAAAAAGAGTGGGCATAGCCTCCCTCCTTCCAGATTCAGCCCAGCAGCCCCTCCTCTGGAAATCTTCCTGGGGTCCCCAAGATTGAAGGAGACATATGACCTCAAAGAGGTCATAGCATTTTGAGCCTCCCTGCCATGGTACTTCCATCTCACCAGCTGTGAGCTCTGGTAGTACAAAAGTAGGTCCAAAAGTAGGTCTTAATCGCTCACCAGCATGCAGCAGAGGACCTGGCAAAGTCTACCGGTTGGATCTATGAAGCGCACCTCAAGTTGAGGCAAGCTGCCTTAATACATTTACAAGCCAGACTTGGAGTAAGTCCCTTTAAGCCAAAGCTATTTCTCCTGAGATCTGGAACTCTATTGATTCTCAAAATTCCTTTAAATTCATAGAAGTCAGATGGAATTGAGCAGCTGCAAGGAGATAATACAAGAAGAACCTCTCCGGCTAGCCCAGGAGTTCAACACCCAGGAGCTGCATCTTCAAAAATTCTGAAGAGGATGGACAGGAACATGGCAACTTGGGTGAAGAAGGGCTGGGGAGCTAATCATAGAGGTGGCTTTGCATAGCTGGCACTCAGTTTTAAATTGGATTACATGTTTCAGGCCGACTTTTTAAAAACAGAATTTTATTTAAATGCTTTTATTCATACTTTATATAAGAATAAGAAACTTTCAGTGGTCCCTATCAAAGAATATGTAAGTATACATAAAGAATGCATATGTTGGGGTTGGGGGAGTCTGAGAAGCCTCTGAAGTTAAAGGGAAGGCTGTGCCCTTGTGTTCCCACTACAGACCTGCCAGTTTTGAGGACACCCAACCTGAGCCCAAGTGCATTTCTCCTGCTTGCTGCCTTTCTCTTGTGTCACAAAATGAATCTTCCAATTCTACCATGGAAATCCATGGCTTTCACCAAGAACTCACAGCAGGGCCCAAATGATGGAAAACTGAAGCAGAAAGAAAACACATCCCATCCAAATATAGGCCTTTATGTGGGCCTTACTGTCTGCAACACCAATTCAGAAAGCTGCTATCGATTTTCCATGGAAAAGCAGACTAAGGAACTGGAAAGCTCGTGGTGGAGTCAGGCCAGAGGGAAGCTAATATCTCATCTCTCTGTATTATCTTTTTCCACAGTTCAAAAATCAATTAGTGATGAATTTCTCTGGAAACTACTTAGACAATGTTATTTCATTAAAGATCTGTGCAAGCACCATCAGATTTGCTTTCCAGGTGTGAATTAGAAAATTAGCCTCATCCTTTTAATAATTTCCTCCTTGGTAACATTACATCACTCTACACAATGTCTAGTGCCAGCTGAGTTGGAGTTGATGGGAAGCACATAATTCTTTTTTCCTTCCAGTAATACAAATGAAAGCAGGGAGGATGGAAATTGTGGCACTTCCTGCAATGGGAGCAGGAGACAAAATAGAGGAAAATCCAGGAGAGACCAGGAAGAGGAACTTCAGAAGACACATCTGCAATGGCTACTGCCAGTAAATAACAAAGGAAAGGAGTAGAAGATGATCAGAAGATTACAGTGCCTATGAAAGGGGCTGAGAGAGGCTCAGGCCAGCCTGTTGCCACAGCAGTGTGCTGCCTCTGGGAGACTTTCTAGAGTTGCTTTTTTTTTTTTTTTTTTTTTTTGAGACGGACTCTCTCTCTGTCGCCCAGGCTGGAGTGCAGTGGCTCACTCGGCTCACTGCAAGCTCTGCCTCCCGAGTTCACACCATTCTCTGGCCTCAGCCTCCTGAGTAGCTGGGACTACAGGCACCTGCCACCACGCCCTGCTAATTTTTTTTTTTTTTTTTTTTTTTGTATTTTTAGTAGAGACAGGGTTTCACCGTGTCAGCCAGCATGGTCTTGATCTCCTGACCTCATGATCCACCCGCCTCAGCCTCCCAAAGTGCTGGGATTACAGGCATGAGCCACCACGCCCTGCCGAGACTTTCTAGAGTTGTATAGCCCCAGACCTAATCCCCTTGGTCAGCCTGTGCCACAGGTAGTAGGCTACAGAGGCGTGTGCTGTTCTGTGAGTGAGGAGGGAAGTTACTGTGGTAGTCACAGTACCTGGCCTGGCACCGCAGCAAGCAACTGCTTTATTTCCTGCCTCCCTCAACAGAGGGAGATGAACCCTCATTAATTCAGACTAATTTGCTGGAAGGCCAACCTAATAGACAGTAGTAAGATGCTCTTAAAGGATTCCATTTTATCACTTTCATTTACACATAGTAAAAGGAACTAAGTCTGCCTTTGATGAATAGATAAAAATAATCAGGAGTTAGCTCATTAAAGCACAATTTAAAAATAAATTAACTAACATTTTATTGATTGAATAAAATTATATTAAAGCTACACTGTGACAGGCAGAGAAAACAACCAGGTCGACATGCCTGTCCTCAAGGATCATGCAATCTGGGTAGAAGAGCCAGGTCAGGAAGAGGAAGTAAATGATTGCAACAGGGTAGAATTTATGTTATTAGAGGTCAGCTAAGAGAAGGGTAGTACAGTGAAGGGGTAAGGGGCACCTTATCCAGAAGGAGCAAGCTTAGCAGCCAGGGGAAACTTTTTTGAAGTGTTCCTGGGAATGGGTATTGAAGAACAATTAGAAGTTAACTAGGTTGGGAGGAGGTAAGGGGAAAGGGAGAGGTAATGGGGAAGGAGGGACGAGGACCACATGGCCATTCCAGGCATTCATGTAGTAGTGTATGGTTTGCAAATCACGTAGTTTACCCACGTTTCTCATTTTAACTTCATAACAGCCATGTGAGGAAGATGCTGTTATTTTATTCTATTGTAGATGAAAACAGAGCCCATGTGACTCCCCTACCTCAGCTGGTAAAGATAGGAGCCAAGGGATGGAATCAAGGCTCCTGGACCCTAAAACAGTACCCTGCTAGGAATCTAATAAAAACTACAGACTCCCTTCTCAGAAAAAAAAAAAATGCATATATGCTCACACACAGAATAACATTTCACATAGAAGTCAATATTCAGAAGCCCGGAAAAGTGGGATCAGCCCAAGGATTCTAGTTAAAATACCATCCTCTGAACAGAGCTAGTGTGTACTTACACTGCAATCATCCTACATTGTAGACTTCTAGATTGCTCTAAGGATTCTATCTTTAATTGGGTAAATGGTCATTCCTCTTCTAAATCTGTTTACCCTAGTGCTAGTGAGCTTCATATCCAGGGATCAAGCATGGGTTGTTCAGCCCTACATCTCAGCAATCTCAGATTGTACACTAACTGTGTCTTGCCCAAAATGGTTTCTGTCTGCTGAGGCCCTGGGGATCCAGAGTTACAGGCTCACATTTTGCGGGGAGAGTCTGGGTGGGAGAGCAGGTAGGTAGTCAGGGTTGATGAGGCTGGGAAACTCAGCAGAGAAAAGCAGGCAGGCATCAGAGAAAAGAAATCCTCTGGTTCTTTCTCCCCATCTCCAGGTCTTACAATAGCATAAGCAGTTCCCAAGTTATTCTCCCAAGCTCTGAGGCTCTGCTAGGAATAATTCTCCCTGCCCCTGGCAGCAAACCCTCCTTTTCTCCAGACTGCAGGGTTGTGTCTTCCTGTTTACCCGCTATGCACAGTGTGGCTCAGTGCCTGGCCCACAGTAGGTGCTTAATAAATATGTATTGAAATGATGTATGGATATGCCATATCTGCCCATCACAGATTCAAGATCATCTCTGGAAGTTGCAAAGAAGAAAAGGAATTGAAAAACATCTCTCCTCCCCTTGCAGTTTTCACATCATCATAGCACATTTTCAGAGGTTTCTCTCCCTTACCTGGGTATCCACAGACACGATGATCTCAAAGGCTTGTTCATGCACCAGCTACCTTGCCGCAGGCCATCCCTCTGCCCACAGCTGGTGAGGTCTCTGTGGGTCACAACCAGGCTCCCAGGAGGCTGAAAGCCCCTCCTTGTGTCTCCTGGTTAGCAAGCAGCCAGCCTGCCCCGCCCACAGTCCTCCTCCCCTCCCATAAGGATACCAACTGGGAAAATGCAGAATTTAAATGATCCCACAGGAAGAAAATCAACATCTCTTAGAGACCAAATTTTAGGACCAGAGTAGAAACTGAACATTCTGGAAGCGATAATTGGTCTCATTTATCTAAATTTAGAAGGTCTAGAAAGGGAAAGAGTAACTATTAAGACATGTTATTTAGAAGAAGATAAGCCTTTAATCAAAGAGATGAGTCAAACCCAAACTCCAACCAAAATCCTGCTCAAGTCAGGGGTTTGAAATCTAAGTTCCTTTGGGGATAAAAGTCAGATTTTATTTAACTTGAAAATGAATAAGAACGTTTACAGAAAAAATAAACTCCACCAACAAAAATAGGTCAACTGATAACTAAAAAACACCAAAAGTCATTAGTTGCAAATCAGAAATATTTTGAACAAAAACGATGCCAATGAGCTGAGAGACAGCTGAGCTCTTTGAGTTCACGGTGCTTTGAAATCACCTAGGACACGGGAGCAGATCTGGTGAATAGGCGCCCACTGTCTTGCACTCTGATATCAGCCCCATCCTAGGTATCCCCGGATGGCCTGGATCATGCAGCTTATCCTCCCCAGCCTCAGTCTCCTGAACAGCAAAGTGGGATTGAAAACTCCTCACTTCTTTCATCTTCAGTTCAGTTTCCTTTAACAAACCTTTCCTGAATGCCTGCCCTGTGCCTGGGGCTGTCCTAGGTAATGTCAATACAAAAATGAATAAGACATTGTCCCTGTCATTCTGGAAACCCACTAGCAATGTGTAAGGGTGATGGTAGAGAGCTGTCCAGGGTCCTAAAGCCTGGGGCTTGGGGGAAGTGGCACCTAGGATACATCTAAGGCTAAGTGGGAGCTTGCAGGTGAAGAAGGGAGGACATTCCACGCAGAAGGAACCTTGAGGGAAGCACAGAGAAGCAGGAGGTCATCTAGTGTGACGGAGGAGCACAGGGGATTGGGTCCTGTCAGAGCCCAAGAGCAGGAGAGGCAGGACGGGGCAGCCCATGAGGCTTCACAGCTGGGGAGGCCCCAGGCTGGAAGTTGTGAGAGCTGAGTTAAGCACTTCATTGCTATCCTGTGGGTGAAGAAGCGCCATCTTAGGGTTTCCAATATAAAAATGACAGCTGTTTTGGCATTTTGGAACAATCCTTTTTCAACAAAAAGGTATTAGGAAGACAAAATAAAATACCAAAGAGAAAAAGAGCAAATGTAAAAACAATAAAAAGCCATCATGAAATTGACTGCATAAGTGACTTCACTTAAGAATAAGGATCCCTGTTAAGAGTGGCCCCAGCCAGCCGGTGTGCTATAGGCCTGAACTCAGGAAGAAGCTGAGGTCCTCTCAGCACCCGTCTCGGTGGGTTGACGTCTGTCCTCAGCCTGACTTGCAGCCCTTGCAGGCTCCTGCTGAGATTTCCTTTACTGGGTCTGTAAGCTATCTCTGGTCTGATGCATGCACCTTCATACCAAGTGGACCCTTTGGTAATCTGTACCTGGTACAGTCCACTGGGTGAACTCAGTGCTCTCCATCAATGCTTTGCTGATCTTCATAAAGTCCGAAAGGTAACATCCCTCGAGTCTTGTTAAAGACGCCTGAACTGGGAGGGTCCCAGGTACTTATAAAAAGTCCAGATTCAAAGGCTGGGCACGGTGGCTCACGCCTGTAATCCCAGCACTTTGGGAGGCCGAGGCGGGCGGATCACGAGGTCAGGAGATCGAGACCATCCTGGCTAACATGGTGAAACCCCATCTCTACTAAAAAAATTACAAAAAATTAGCCAGGCCTGGTGGCAGGCACCTGTAGTCCCAGCTACTCGGGAGGCTGAGGCAGGAGAATGGCGTGAACCCGGGAGGCGGAGCTTGCAGTGAGCCGAGATAGCGCCACTGCACTCCAGCCTGGGTGACAGACCGAGATTCTGACTCAAAAAAAAAAAAATCCAGATTCTGGCCCAGCATGGGTGCATCTGCTCGTACACATAAGATGAGTCTCAAATAGGGACTGCCTAACCACCTGCTATAATGAAATTCTACGTGTTGTGTTAGTCATTATTTCTAACTGTTGAGCTTCTGGAAATTCTACATCTTTCCAGATAAAAGATTTAGAGCTAAAAATGATAAATCAGTCACAAAAAAATAGCCTTCAAATGCTATAAAATCTCTCTTGGTGTCTCTATCTATCTTTATTTTCCTTCATAATACTTATCACAGTCTGATGATATATACCTGTATGTTTGTTGATTGTCTCTTTCTCAAAACTGTATAAGAAGAAAAAGATTCTGTCTATTTATTGCAATACCCTCAGAGCCTAGAACAGTATCTGGTCAAAGTAAAGTCTCAATAAATACATGTGGAATAAATAAATGAGTGACAGTAAGACACCTATAGGTCCTTATACTGTGCACTAGCAGCCTTGATTTTTTTTTTTTTAACTGTTCACTACCTCACCAAATGAGGAATTGGTACCGATTGGGGGGAGAAGCACGAATGACTGACAGGTTTTATTGTATTCATTCATTAGCTCAGAAAAACAGTTTTTGAGAACCCACAATATGCCAGGCATGTAAAGCAGCTTCAAAACTGGTATACGGGTAAAAAAATAGATACTCAGTTTCAAACAAGGGAAGGGAGTATTGGGAAATCTGTAGCCTTCAAAATAGGAGGTCCAGGTCTCATGCATCCTGGAATTTGAGGGAATTTCACCAAAATTACTTATTCACCATAATAGCAGATGTGGGAGAGAAAGATGAAAGCTATCGATTGCCATAAATAGCTCTCCAAATCCTTTCTTTCATAACATCAATCATTTCAAAATAACCAAAAAATTAGGAGAAAGTCCCTAGTCAGTACAGAGGATAGAGTGACTTTTAAAGAACTAAAATGCCAGGCAGAACTGAGAGCTTTCAGCCTGAATACCAAATAGAAAGGTGCAAGAACACTATTGATGGAATGCATGCAGCTATAAGAAAAGCATTTGATATAGTGGTATAAAGTGTTACACTCAAAATTAATTCAAATTGACTTAGTAAGGAGTGCTGCCACATAAATTTAAAATTTGCTCAAAGTCTGCAAACAAAGGGTGAAGACAAATGGAAATGTATTGGGTTGGGGGAGGCAGGGTGCATGGGGGTCATCTTTATTAATGATCTGAAAAAGGGAGAGTAAACAGCATGTTAATGAAACTTGCAAATGACACTAATTTGGGAGGTGTTGCTCTGATCACTGTGGACAGAGAGGGAATGTAAATGAACCTTAAGTGGTAATAAATATGAAGAGGAAATAACACAATGAGATTCAAGTCAGAAAATGCAAACCATGCCCAATGCAGTGACTCGCCCACTCCCACACCAGAGCTCTTTGCCCCTTATGTTTGCAGCATGGTGCTGGGGAGGAAAAGAATATAATGCTAACTCAAAAAGGTTTAATCTAACAAAATATTTCTTGCTTGTGCAATTTTTTTCACCAGCCCTTTAAAATTCCACAAAAGGCTTTCCCTGGATTCAGAGCAAGAGTAGTGCTCTTAGACGATGAGGCTCCATAAATTACAGTGCAGGAGAGGCTGTTAAAAGAAAACAATCAAATAATGAGGGGAACAGAGAGATTGATTTATAAGAAATGACCCAAAGGGGTAGACATTTGTTAATTGATGGCTAAGTGGTAACATGATAATGACCTGCTGAGATCTCTCCATGACAAATAACCAAGGGAAGGAAATATTTAGTATCAGATGAGGAACTTCTTCATTCTCTCTGGCAGACAGTGCCTCTCCCTGGGGGCTGCTATTGCACTGAGTTTTTACCAGCCCAGTTCTGATGGACTTCACCTCTGGGCAGTCCAAGTGCTGGCCCTCTTCACCCTCCATAGTAAAACAATAGAAGAGACGCTTTCTAAACACCCTCACTTCTTATCCCATGTGTGCTGCTAGTCACACCCTCCTCACTTTTGCTCCTGACCTGATGAATGGCATCAGTTCAGGGGAAAGAAAGAATTCCAGCAGGACACAGACACACTGGGAGTGGACACCAACTCCAGCAAAAGGACAGGGGTGGGAGGTGAGAGGCCTCAAGCTGCCATCCTCTTCTCAAACAAGCCTCCTCCCACAGCAAGAAAATGAATAGCTCTATGCAAATAGATAATTGTATGCAAATATGAGTTTTGATATGGTTTTTATTTCCCAGCAGGTTCAGCCACCCAAATTTATGGCTTCCAGCCGGAGATCTCTCTGGGCTGTGCCAGTGACAGATTGTGGATGGAAACTGTGCCAGATAATGTCTTGAGCTTCGTTCAATTCAGAACCCTAGGAAATCAAAGTGAAAGGAAGCTTAGAGGCTGTTTGTCCCACTTCTTTGTGTTACATTTGAGGACTTAGAACTTAATAAAAGTTTGTTGAATGTATATTTCCCTGAAGAGAGGCTGCCCAGGATCGAATGGCATTGTCTTACTAGTAACACTAGCAGTTTAACAGAGACCTTGGCTTGTTAGTCTCTGAGGCCCAAGCAATGGTCTTCCCTCTAACCCAGCTACCTCAAGAAAACTGGGAACATTGGGACCTTATGCCACAGAAGGGAGGAAGCTTTTCCAATGACTGAAGCGGACATCTCAAACCTAGGATTTCTGGATAATTCCTAGATGGGTCTAGAATGTGGGCAGTCTTGGCAATTTTTTCATATGCCAACAATGGCACCCATAAGGCAAGCACCATGGCCTTCTCCACCCCTTTCTCAACTTTCCCAGGCCCCTGGCTGTGCTCCTCTGTCACCGTGCCTCTCCTTGGCCTCATATCCCCAGGGTTCTGAAGCATATTCAGAGAATACAGGCAGACAGTTACCACTCCTCATGCTTGGGCTAGCACCACAGAACATTCAAAGCATGTACCACCTTATTAGGTTATCTCAACCACCCTGATAAGAAAGCAAGGCAATTGTTAATAAGCATCTCCATTTATTCAATAAGCATTTACTGAGCACCTGCTATGTGCCAGACACTACTGGAGATACAGCAATGAGCAAAATGAGCAAAGCCCCCAATATCATTCCATGTGGAGAGAGGTGAGGCAACCAGAAAACAAACAAGTACACACAAAAAAATAAGATGGCTTCAGGTGATAGTAAGTGCAATTAAAATAAATAAAATATGATAATGAAGTAAAAATAATTGGGGGATAGGAAAAGGGCAGTTGTTTTAAAGGGAGGTCAGGGAAGCCTTTCTGTGGAGGCATATCTAGCAGCAACTCGTAATAAGAAGGAACCAGCCATGCACAGATCAGAAGATGGAATGTTCTGAGAGATGGCAAGCACAAAGACCCTGGGGCCAGAATAAAGTCACGCTGTTTGAAAAACAGAAATTCCAGTGGCTGGTAGGTCATGAAGGAGATTGGCCTAGAGAAGGTAAAGCCTGGAAGTGGGCGGAAGCCAGATCATGCAGGAGCAAGTAGAAGAACATGGCAAGCAGTTTGAGTGTTGTTCTGAGGGCTGAAAGAAGGAACCTTTACTTCCGCCTTTCATTTTAAATGGATGATTCCCTAAATCTCAGAGGGGTTCCTTAGTGCCTCAAAACATCACTCACCAAAGCAATGGGAGCAGCCAGAACCCAAGCCCAGGAACTGTGACTAAGGTTCTTACCTGAAATTTTTTTTTTTTTTTTTTTGAGACTGAGTCTTGCTCTGTCTCCCAGGCTGGAGTGCAGTGGCGCAATCTTGGCTCACTGCGACCTCCACCTCCTGGGTTCAAGCGATTCCCCTGCCTCAGTCTCCTGAGTAGCTGGGACTACATGCACTCGCCACCACGACTGGCTAAATTTTTTTTTTATTTTAGTAGAGACGGGTTTTCACCATGTTGGCCAGGATGGTCTCGATCTCCTGACATTGTGATCTGCCCGCCTCGGCCTCCCAAAGTGCTAGGATTACAAGCGTGAGCCACCGCGCCTGGCAGGGGAGATATCATAATCCCTTAAATAATTTCTAATGAGCACCTACGAAAGCAAGAAAACTTGGTCCTGTGTCAACATTCTCCCACCCCTTTCCCAGATCCTCTGACAGGGCCAGGCAGCAAGAGGGCAGCTTCTGCACACAGGTCCATAGCCCTCAAAAAATGGCTGCCTCAAAACCAGGACTGCACCCTTCCCAGTTCCCATTAAAATGAAATTAAATGAGGGGCAGTTGGAAACGCATATCACTGTCTAAGGAGGGGCCAAGAACTGCCTAGATAAATTTTTGTTAAGTTCTAAAAGAAGTCAATGGCTGCCTTGCAGGCACCCCATGCAATTTTTTCATGTCATCACACCCTGGCAGGATGGTCAAACATGGCCATCTCACACTGGATGAGGGATGCGGGAAATAAGGAAGAAGGGGGATTCTGTTGGTCCAGAGAAGCCTGTCTCACTAAGACTCTGTCCCCAGGCTGGCAAGACCCTGCAAACCAAACCATGGAGACCAGCATCTACCACGGTTTATCGCTGTCTAACCCACCCTTCATCCTTCATGCTGTGGTAACGTCAGAGACACACATGTCAGGCCACAGTGAGTGCAGAAAAGCCAACAGAGCCATTACCCCTGTCTCAGGATGCTGCCCAGTACAAACTCCCACTCTCCAGCCCTCAACTCCCTGCTCATCCCTGCCTGGCTCCCAGATGCTCTGACTCACTATCATTTGCGACCCTCCTCCTCGTCAGTCTCATTCAGAGTCCCTTCACTAACTTCCAAATCTTAGCCCAGAGACTCAATTCTCTCTCCTAATTCTAGACAAAAGAGCTTCCATCCAGGGCCCTAGATTCAGGTTGGTGGGCTCTCTTAGCCTTCGCACCAGCATCAACAGTCCCCTTCACTGTCTGCCTTGAGTTTGGCTCTCACTGGGTTCTCTCTGCACAGCCAGGCCTCAACTCATCAGGTCTGTCAGTACCTGATGCTCCAAAAGCCCCAGAGGCCTGGGCTGTTGACATGGCTTAGGTGATCAGATCCCACAGGGCTCCTCACAGGTCAGGGTTCTCTAACAGCTCTCATTGGTGTCTGAATCCAAATAAGAGCCCAAAGCTGTGTAGAGTCAGAACCACCAGTGCCATTGTAAACTTCCAAGTTCACACTGGCTTTGTACTTTCAGACAGCAGTCAAGAGTTAATGGTGAATCTCAGGATTCTTTAAAAATCTGTTCCAGGATTTTGATTGGATCTGTAAGAAATTGAGAGAAGTCTGAGTTCTAGACTGGGTGTTGCCTAAAGTCAGAAATCCCTTCTCACTGCCACTATTCTGGGTCTTCATATCTCCTTTAGGATCCTCCAGGAAGTTACTAGCATATCAGGGATAGTGTTTCTCTATTCCAGAGTTCCCAAACAATAGCCATCCTCTATGGCAAGCTCTGGGGCTTCAGAAAATTCACGACAGACCCTAATGATTGTCCTGAGGAGCCAGCAGTGAAGCGGAAACCTTTATGGTCAGAAGTCTCAGTTCAGAAGTGCACTGATCCCACAGGGAAATCTGTGCCCATATTAGAAGTCCAGCTTCTGGAAGTGCAGTCCTCTAGCCAAGCCAGTGAGGGCCGTGGAAGTGGTGGCTGGAGTAGCATACAACAGCCCTCTCTGGGGCATGGAGGGACAATGACCTTGAGCTCTGAGTACTCTATGAGTCACAGGTAGGTAGTGACTCTATGAGTCTCAGCCCTGGAAGTGAAGATGGGTTGAGTACCACAGAGCTCCCAACCTCATCTGCCTCACCAACCCCTGGCTTGGCCCCAGATCCCTAACATGAGGCTAAGATTTCATTAGAAGCTACACATCAAGTGCTACGGCCCCTCCTTCAATGTGCCCATGGTCACTGTGATAGTTAATTTTATGTGTCAACTTAACTGGATCACAGGCTGCCCAGATAACTGATTAAACACTACTTCTAGGTGTGTCTGTGAAGGTATTTCCAGTGAGATGAGCATTTGACTCAATGGACTAAATAAAGTAGATTGTCTTCCCCAATGTGAGTGGCCACCCTCCAATCCACTGATGGCCTGAATAGAACAAAAGGCAGAGGAAAGAGGATTCACCCCTTTTTCTGCTTTACTGCTTGAGCTGGAACATCTCTCATCTTCTCCTATACTCGGATTGGAATTTATGCCATTGGTTCCCCTGGTTCTCAGGCTTTCAGACTCGAACTAAATTATACTACCAGCTTTTCTGGGTCTCCAGCTTACAGATGGTAGAACATGGGACTTCTCAGCCTCCATAATTGCATGAGTTAATTTCTTATAATAAATCTTCTTTCTTTCATGGATATATGTGTATACACACACACACACACACACACACACCCCCAATAGGAAATCTATAGATACGGATAAATCTATATAGAGATATATAGATGTAGATGTATATTAGTTCTGTTTCTCTGGAGAACCCTGACTACTACAGTCACCTCACCAGCAAGAGCCACAGGATCGAGTCAGTTCCTGGCAGTGGCATTAGGCCCTGTCACAGGGCTTAGCCCTACAAGGGCCCTAAATAAATGCCTAGTGAATAACTGGATAGTTGGAATGGCCATTTGTCCATCATCTTTTGTTCCTTATCTTCTTGTCCCTAGTGGGATGCCCCTGAGGTCAGAGGTATCAGTCATCAGGGACAGTCACACCACAAGAATTCCATGAGGCCTTCACGATTGAATAATACTGGTTGCAGGGGAAAGCCAGGGGACTTGTGTTCTGATCCCGGTACTGTCAAATTCCCTGTTTGAGCCTTGGCAAGTCTGTCCCTCTCTTAGCCTCTGGCTTCTCACCTCTAAATTGGAGAAGGTGCTGAGAGAAGACACTGTTTCTACAATTCCTGGTATACTTGCAGGTGTGCCTCTTCTGTCTGGTCCTTTCTCAGACCTCCCCCTTTTGGAAATTGAACACCTGTTTCCATGCCCTGTCTCAGGGCTCATCACTGACTATGAGTTGACAAGAGGAAACTGGCCACAGAAGCTAAGCTGAGACCTTTTGGGGGATGCAGAGACCTTTGGGATTGATAGGCCCTCCAGCATGGCACTTACAAATAGAATTTCTCATGTCTCCCAGTGTTGACTGATCAGAACAACTCTCAGACAATCTCATTCTCACCCCCCAATCCCCAGCTTCCTAAACTATGAGCAGGAAAGGGCTTTGAACTATATGATGGGGTCAGTAGCACTTGCCTCATAGAATCATTGTGACAATTAAGTGAGACACTGTAAGCAAAGCATTTTGCACGTTGTGAGCACTCAACAAACATTACCTCTTATTATTTCCTTTCCAGTTTCATTTCCAGGACACACTTTCTGCAATTCCCTTCTCAGTTCTTGGTCCTCTTTTCTTGTGTGCTATACTATCATGATGACAATGTCTCCCCCATGGGGCCCTTAGACTTCAGGTCAAGGTCAACTCTGGTTTCTCTCTGTGTCCTCGGAGTCACCATGGGACCTGGCACCAGGTAGTCTTAGCAAGTGAAAGAGATGCTCTTTCTTGAGACTGCCTTGCTTCCTACCTGCTTCCCATTTATCACACCAGAGGAAGGTAGAGGTACCAGGAGGAAGGAAATGACATCTTGGTTGTACATCTTCAGTAGGTGAGACACTGTGCTAGATTCTTGCTCCATGCTGGGGTGAAGGGACTTGTGACCAATGACTTCATTATAGCCGCAGACCTCAAGAAGCTTAAAGTATGCATTTCAACTGAAGCCGATGAATGGAAAACAAATACCCTCATGGCAGGCACAAACCTCAGTCCACAAATTTGGGGGTATAAGAAATCTTACTCTATTTTCTACAGTTTAACTTATTTCTAACTTTTCCAACAGGTTAATCAAATAGGTTGGGGTTTGCTGCAAGGAACAAATTAACCCTGAAATCTCTGTGATATAACGTTGGCTTATTTCTAATTCACGCAGGTCGGCTGGAAAGCTGTGCCTTCTACAGTCATTCAGGGACCCCAGGATATGAAAGACTCTCCTCTGTCCTCTCAATATGGTGACAGAAGTAAGAAGCTGGAAGGTCACAGAAGACCTTTATCTGCCTTAGCATGGTGATTCGTGTCACTTCCATGCATAGCTCATTGATCAGAACTAGTCACTTGTCAAGCCTTAAATGCAAGAGGCTTGGAGTCTTCTTATGTGCTCAGGAGGAAAAACGAAACAGGATGTGGTCTCTCCAACACTAACTAAACCTCTGTTTCCCACTCCCATAGGTTGTAACACATTTCTAAGTTCTTACCCTGTGCCAAGATATTGAAGAGGGGGATTCCCACCTGTATACATGAGTTACCAGTGAGATGTCTGCTGTCCCTTTCCATGTGGCCCCTTCATAACTCACATCTCTCTATTTCTGTTCCAGTCTTGGTATACGAGCCTGTTCCTTAAAAGTGGTGGGTGATCCCATCTGTACCACGCAGCTGGCTTCACTGAGAGTGACCTCACTGCCTCCCAGTGGCATAGCCAGGAAGTTGGGCTCAGCTCTTTGTTATTCTGGGCTCTTCAACCTCTTCTCCTCCCATTCCCCAGTCTGAGGGAATAAGTTCTAGGGTGAGGTTGAGGGTGGAGTTGGGGAAGCCTATCCCCTTGTGTTGTTTCAAGAGGCTTTTTATCTACCCTCTCCCTTTGAAAAACAGGTTTCTTAAAATAAAAAACAAAAAAAGACCTAGAAGGGAATTGTTTTGCTGACAACATCTGCCTTTTACCCTATTATATACCTTCCTTGAGGCAATGAGCACAGAGCTTGTATTAATAGGAAGAAAGAATAGGGGAAAATGCAAAAACGAAAAAAGACATAAATTAGAGTTGCAAAGTCTTACCCAGACACACACACAAATAGCACCTTCCTGGGCTTGGAAAGGAGGAAGTACTCTGCAGGTTAGGCACAATTTCAGGAGGGGACAAGCATGTGTCTATCTGCCCCAGCGGCCAGAGGGGCATTTCAGCATGGTAATTCCAAGGCAGTCTTAGACCCTCAAATAATGGGAGGCTTGGAGCTCTCCATCATCAATGAATAGAACCTAAAACACACAACTGACCTCATAAGCATGGGGCTGGGAACAGGCAGTCAGGTTCTCCCAAGAGCATCACCAGCAATGGAAATTGCTACACAGAGATATCAGGGTGTGGGCTCTGTTTCCGTGCTCAAAAAGGACAATGTTTTAGCTGAGACACACCGCATTGGACACACCAAAGGAGGGGATTGATGAGGAGTATCTAGGACACACGAGGTAGGGCACAGAGTCAGGGTAAGAGGAGCCCCCGTCAGAAAACTGTGGGAGGCTTTGGTCCCATACTCCCATCACAGGTGCCCAAATGTATCTTCTAGAGGAAGAGAAGTCTTCCTGCCCACCATGGCCCATGGCTGCCCATCAGAGAGCCCTTTTTTGGTACTGAATCCTTCCTTCATGCCTGGAAAAGGGATAACTAAATGTATAGCCACTGAGATATTTCAGCTAAATCTAGTCTGTTATCCTCAAAGGGATTCGATTTCTTTAAGATTCACTTTGGATGGCTTAAATTCCCATACCTATTTTATTGTTGACATGAGGCACTGGGTGTAGTGGTGGCTTTTAATGTTTCTTTGTTTATTTTAAGCTCACCACTGGCTTTCATGCGGATTTAAATTGAATCACTCTGCCCAGCAGTGAGCTTCTTTATTGTTTAAAAGCTGATCACATCTCTTTCTGAAAAGCACAGCGTACTTGTTACCCTTGCTACAAAGCAGCCACAATTTACTGAGCTGAAAATCAATATGTGATTGAATCCAACATGTGCTCTTCTCTGGAATTCTTACAGCCTTTCAACTGATGGTCCCACATCACTGTCCCACCCAGGCATTTACCTTCAAAATCTGGAGAGAAAAGAATCCATTTTCCAATGAATGAAAAAAAAAAACACTAAAAGAATGATTTCAAACACCAAAGAGAGATTCAGTATTATTTGGGAGCTGAGCAGACAATCCTTGGGCAAGGAAATAAATGACAAATTTTAAACTAAACCAGAGGTCTAGTCTACAATGTTCAGCTAGCTAGAAGGAGTCACTGTCTGGAACCTAGTATGAATTTGCTTTTAAGATGTATTATCTTTTACATATATTTTAAAATACATGACCTGGAAGATTTGGCACCCCTTCTATGAAGACATTCTTCTAGAACCCACCTGGCTTAGAAAGTACAGCTGCTAAGAAATGCTGCTTTCCTTTGGTCATGAATTTCAGAGAAGAGAAGAAGAAATAAGGCTATCATTGCCTGGTGCCCCCGGGAAAAGGAGCGAGCCCCAAAGTCAGGCAAATTTGCCCATCCTCAGTCCCACTTTCACTGAATGGAAGGCTCTGCAACAGAAGAACAGGGCTAGGGAGATGCCAGATTTGACTTTTCCTGTTTTATTAAAGTGGGTTACTAAGCCTAGGAAAGGTCTAAAGGAAAAGGTTTTGCTCCATCTCCCTCTGTGTGGGATGGGAGCCCTCCCCTGAGAAGTCAGCTAGACAGAATGGAAAGTCTATTTAAAGGACACTGAACCAATGCGCCTCCTTTCTGGCTAATAAAAGAACCCAAAGACAAGACAAAAATGCATGAGCAAAGTTCCTGAAGACTTTTGAATGTGGATGTTAAGGTCAGGAGAGTGGAGAAAGACAGAGGAAGAAGAAATTTACTCAGGTTGGAAAACATGGTTAAAGGCCACAAAAAGGCCAATGTGTTTAGTACATAACATGATGAAAGTGCATACATTGAAGTTGTCTGATTCCTGCTTGGTGCATGGTGTTTCATACCAAGTATGCCTACTATAACTGTTGCTTAATTTATAGTTTTTCACTCCAAACCAAAAAGTAGCTCTAGCTAGAGTAAGTATACCTGAAATGTAGTAATCAAGGCTTGAAGAAGACATTAAGACCTTTACTGTCTGGAGAGAGACCATCTGATATGGTTTGGCTGTGTCCCCACCCAAATCTCATCTTGAATTGTAGCTCTCCACATGTCATGGGAAGGACCCAGTGGGAAGTTATTGAATCATGAGGGAGGGTTTTTCCCCCTTGCTGTTCCTGTGATGGTGAACAAGTCTCAAGAGATCTGATGGTTTTATAAAAGGGCAGTTGCCCTGCACACGTTCTCTTGCTTGCCACCATGTAAGATGTGCCTTTTGCTCCTCCTTTGCCTTCCACCATGATTGTGAGGCCTCCCCAGCCATGTGGAAATGTGAATCCATTAAGCTTCTTTCCTTTATAAATTACCCAGTTTCAGTTATGTCTTTATTAGCTGCATAAGAACAGACTAATACACCATCATATAGTGGTAACTATTTTTTTTTTCTGTTGCTCAGCCTGGAGTGCAGTGGCATAATCAGAGCTCACTGCAGCCTCGACTTCCCAGGCTCAAGCAATCCTCCCACCTCAGCCTCCCAAGTAGTTGGGACTACAGGCAGGTGCTACCATGCTTGGTTAAGTTTTTTTGTGTGTGTTTTTGTGGGTTTTTTGTTTTGTTTTGTTTTGTTTTGTTTTTGTAGAGACAGAGTCTCTCTATGTTGCCCAGGCTGGTCTCAAATTTGTGGGCTCAAGTGATCCTTCTTCCTCGGCCTCCCAAAGTGCTGGGATTACAGGTGTGAGACACCACACCCAGCCTGTGGTAACTATTTTAAATTGCCTACAGGTCACCCAAGTTCAATAGATGAAGCAGGGACAGATAATTGTGGTCACTGTAAGCCACAGAGATGAGTTAGATGTGAAGGGGAAGAAACAAGGAGAGGAACCATTGGGAGTTTTCAGATGGATGAAATCTGTGTAAGAGAAAATATTGTTCTGTCAAGTAAAAAGCCAACTAAGACCCTTCAGGTCTCAAATACTACAGCTGACCCCAGGGCTGGAAGGGAACTCTCATCCTCGGTGACACAAACACTATGAAGGGCTTATGTTTATAATGGCAGATTGAGCAAACACTGAAAACCTCTCTTCCTTATCTAAATGCATAGAAATGATAGAAAATATATATTTAAAAACACAATGCTATGGTTAAAACCTAGGAAAGTATATATCCACAAGCCAACTTTTAAGAGTATTCCTAAACCAGAGAACAAGATAGCAGCCCATAGGACATATGCAGATACAAGATTAGAGGTGAGTCATCACAGGCATGGCTCCTGTGTGGAGTCAGAGACTAGACTCAAGTGAAAAAGAGACAGAATCATGTGTCACAAAGCCATCCCCATGAACAAGGAAAAAATTGCCCTCGTGGGTGGAGGCCCATCGTAAGTGGCCCTAGAGTGCTCTGGACAAGATCAATCCCCAAAAAAAAGTCAGAGTTGAGAAAACAATACAACCTTTCTACCTAGAGGCTGTCACGACTTGGAATATACGAAAGAGAAATTATCCACAAAGACTAACTTACAACCTAAAGTTACTACGTATATGAGGAGTTCCAACTACATGACATACAAATGGGAAAACTCAAGAGATTTAAACTCTTAGGTCTAAGGAAATAAATATAATAAAGCATCTCATATATTTAAAGTCCTTAAAAAGATTTTTAAATATCATTTATGAAAAAGAACAAGGATATTATGAAATAAGAGCAGGTACTAATAAAACAAGTTGTAAAAAATATAGCTACTTAAATAAAAACTTAATGAATAACTTAATGCTTCCAGCCAAAATGGAGTAGCAGGGATTGGATATACCTTCTGGCATGAAACAACTAAAAACTAGACAAAATATATTAAACGACAGTTTTTAAGACATTGTATATCAGACAACAAAAGTCAGTTATCTCTGTTAGACAGTAAACAAACAAGGGGGGCCTCATGAGTACCCAAACTTATGGTGAACACATGCAGACCACCATGCAAGGAAGAAGAACACAGGCAGAGCCCAGGAGACTCCTTGAGATAAGGACACAGAGTTGGATTCAGGGAGACCAAGTCAGTGAGAGTATCAGAGAACTCACAATACCAGAGAGGAAAGAGCAGCAAGAAAGGGAACCCCAAGGATAGGTAGAAGGTCCTCCATGTGCGTTCATCAGACTGCTAATCAGCAAATGCATGTGAGAAAACTACCTGAAGCCGGGGAAGGAGCCTTCCAAGAACATTAGAAGGGCCAGTGTTTGTTGGTCATGCAGGGCCAGGAATAGTGCCTGTTCCTACCAGCCAGACTGCTGTGAATAAATTTGAACCTTAAAGAGTCAGTCCTTCAAGATAGATCCTGAGTGGCTAACTGGGCCTAAATTTAAAATAGAACCAAGTGGCTATTTACTGACCAGGGGTCACACATGTACTCTGAGTTCTCTGAAAATCGGCACCTTTTTATCTTTGGAACTTTCAGAGCTCACCTGAACCATTCAATCAGAGCTCACCTGCTTTGGCCAATCAGGGTTCAGCTCTATTGACAAATTGGGGCTGAGTTGTTTCAGCCAATGAGAACTCAGCTGTATCAACCAATCAAAACTAGGAAAGTTTCCATCTTACATTTGCATAAGTGGACCAAATTGGGAATCTGGGTAGGAACTCTTGCTATAAAACCTGAGCCTTCTCTTTGTTCTATGGAACCCACCTTCATTTTGCACCAGAGGCTACATTTCCCTGGTTTGCAAACTGTTCAATGGAATAAAGTCTCTTTTCTCCAAGTTGCTTTTCAGAGAACTTTTGTCACACTGGAAAACTTTCTAATTAATGAACTATTTGGTAGAATATTCAGAAAGGTTTTTCTTCAGTACTGGAGAAAATTTGTTCTAGATTAAATATTGTCCTGGTCTTGTCCAACAAATCTGAAAGCAAAAATGATCAAACTGCTTCCAAGTAGTTTAACTGCATCTCAGACAAAGCTAAGAATAGTTACAAACATATTAAAATATCAAACACCCAAAAAGGTAAAATTTACTCCAATAAAAAAATAAACAAGCATGCAAAGAAGCAGGAAAATACAACTAATAATAATGAGGAAAAACAATCAATTGAAACAGAATTTGCTTCGAGAGACATTAAAAACAGTTGTTACAATTGTATTCCATATGTTTAAAAGGCTAAAGAAAAGATTGATCATGGAAGATATTTCAAAACCCAAATCAAATCCAGAGATGAAAAAAATCAAAACCTGAGATGTAAAATAATGATAATAAGAAATCTGGATGGGTTTAATGGTAGATTAGATGTAACAAAAGATTAGTGAAATTGAAGATATAACAATATAAAATGATCCAAAATTATGCCCACAAGAAAACCTAGCTATATTAATAGTCATGTTAAATATTAATGAGCTGAATCCTCAAACGAAATTTTGCAAAGATTATCAGATCAAAGTATCAAAATTCAACAATAACTGCTTATAAGAAACCCCCCACTTTAAATATAAACATACATAATACCAGTCAAGAGAAAACTGGAATGACAATATCATAGAACATATTTTAGAGCAAATAACATTAACAGAGATAAAGTCATTTTATAATGATAAAGAGGCCAATTCATCAAGAAAAAATAATAAGCCTAAATATTTATGCACCTGATAACATAGCTTCAAAATATAGAAAGAGTGATAAAACCAAAGAGAAATAGACAAATCTAGAATATAAGTTGAAAATGTTAATAACTGTTTCTCAATAATTGATAGAGGAAGTAGACAGAAAATCTGTAAGGATAGAGACAACTTGAACATTATCAACAAACTTAACCTAAATGACATTTATAGAACTCTCCAACCAATAGCAAAGTATGTACTTTTTGAGTGTACACATGATAGACCATATTATAAGTCATAAGACGAGCCTCAATACTCATTCTGTTGCCTGGACTAGAGTACAATGGCACAATCATGACTCACTGCAGCCTCAAACTCCTAGGCTCAAGCAATCCTTTCACCTGAGCATCCCAAGTAGCTGGGACTACAGGCATACACCACCAAACCTGTTTTTTGTTTTTGTTTTTGTTTTTACTTTTGTAGAGTCAGGGTCTTGCTATGTTGCCTAAGCTGGTCTCAAACTCCTGACCTCATGCAATCATCCCGCTTCAGCCTCCCAAAGTGTTTGGGTTACAGGCATGAGCCACCATGCCTGGCCAAGCCTCAATGCATTTAAAAAGATTAAAGTCATAAGAAGCATGTTGTCTGAACACAGTGGAATTAAGTTCAAAGTCTTTGTGTCATTGGATCAGGTAAAGATTTCTTAGGTGCATGCCCAGAAAAATAGTGTGGCCTGGAGTCGAGAGCTAGCATGAGAGCGCAGAAAAAAAAATGCTCACCAAAGATCATCGTGATAACTGGTAACAAATGGGTAGAAGAGGACCTCTAAAAGATACCTCCAAGATTTCAAAGCTGGAAAGCTAGAAGTACAGCATTATGCGTAGGGGCAGAAAAATTGTGATAGAAACAAGTTTGAGAACAAAGATAATATCTTCTGTTTGGGTCAGGTTGAGTCCGAGTAAATATGAAACCTCTAATAGGAAGCACAACAGACTGCAAGAGGTATGCAACTAGAGACTCAGGGGGTCCAGAATTTTAGGTAAGTTATTAGTGTGGTTTAAGCTATAGGAATAAGGGATGCTCTGGGGGAAAGACAATAGGAAGAGAGAAGTTGACCAGGGACAAAGTTGTCCAAGCACATTTGAGCTCAAAGAAGAAATTGCCAGGAAGTAGGAGACATGAACAGATGGTATTACTGCAAAAGCCAAGGAGACAGGCAAGAATTTCAAGAAGGAAAGGCTGATCAGTGTGTGGGTCACTATCAAATAATACAGGTTAAGGAAATAAAGATAGAAAAAGCTATTGGCTTTTTGACTTTAGTCAGCTCGGACTGCTAAAACAAAATACCATAGACTGGGTGGCTTAAACAATAGGCATTTATTTTACATTTCTGGAGGCTAGAAAGTCCAAGATCAGGGTGCCAGAATGGCTGGATTCTTGGTAATGCCGCTCTTCCTGGTTTGCAGATGGCCACCTTCTCACTGTATCCTAATGATGGAGAGAGGAAACTCTGGTGTCTCGTTCTCTTTTTTTTAAAGGCACTAGTCTCATCAATTACCTCCCAAAGACCCTGTTTCCTAATACCATTTTATTGGGGCTTTAACATATGAATTTGAAGGAGTGGGGACAGTGACACAAACATTCAGATTATAACAGAACCAGAGTCCAGTAGTGTCCTTTCATGAAATCGCTCTCAGTAGAGTGGTGAGGAGAACTCTAAAATGCAGAGAGCTAGTGCAGAGGGAATGGAGCCACAGATGTGGGCCATCCATCCTGGAGGTATGGTATTGCATGGGAAACCTTTGCATGCCAAACACACCAAGCACCTCAACATTCCTTCAATCCATCAGGCCCTTTCACACCTCACTCTCTTCCTGCTCCCTGGAATCTTGTGGGAAAAACTTGTTCTTTTCCTGCTCAGTAAATTTTTCCCCTTCTGGGAACAAAACCTCTTTTCTGTTACCCTACTTTCATCCTTCTGGACAGAGTAGGTACTCAGGAGTAGGCACATAACTATGTGTAGAGTCAAATGGAAGATGCATTTAAATGCTGAAGAGGGCACAGGGTCTCTCTCCTTGTGAAATTGGGAGTAGAGGTAAAACAGAGAAGAAGGTGAAAATGAAGAGAGAGAAAAAGAGAGAGAAGAAAACAGAGATACTTTTAAGAGAAAAATAGATCCTCAACAACATTATGTGAACCCCTTATTCCAGCCATGTCTGAAATCATGCCCTCTTCTTTATGACATGAGTTAATACAGTTCTTCTTTTCCTTGAGTTAGTTTGATTTTATTTTCTATCACTTGCAACTGAAAAAGTCCCAGCAAATAAATGTCCCCTACCCTTTCCTCTCCCACTTTCTGTACCTAGAAATTTCTTACCTATCATTCAAGTCTCAAGTGTAATGTTACTTTCTCTGTGATGCCCTGGGGTATGATGGTAAACTCGCTCTAAAAAACACAAGCCCTGTTTTGTTAGTGTTTTCTAATCTGTGTTATCCCAGCACACACACTGTGTGACATCATCATTGGTTACGTTTTTGTCCTGCTGCTCAATTGTGAGCTCCTCAAAGATAGGAACTGTGTCTTCTTCATCATCTTCCCAGAGTTAGACTTGTAGAAGGTGTCAGTAAATACTTATAAGATGAGGCTAGATAGTTATAGCAGCAATGAAGCCAGGTGAATAAGGTAAAAGAGGCCTGTGCACATTTGAAGGCAGAAAAGTTGCTAATGGAGAGAAAAATACTGGGAAATATTTAAAACTCTGGCAAGGGAAGAAAGCAAGGTGTTTCAGGGGCTAGAAGAGACAGTAGTAACAGGCAAGATGGACAATTTGGAAGGAAATGATGAGAATCTGGGTGTGGAAACAGAAATGTGTCAAGATGAGGAGGGGATAAATCAGAAGAGCGTTCTCCTTGTTTCAGGGAAGTCAGAGACAAAGAGAGAGGGCAGAGAGGGGCTGAGAGTGGGACCAGACAATCAGGTCCAGAAGAGGTGCAGGGATTCAAGACAGGACAGAGCAAAGCTTCAGCGCAGCTGAGGCTGAACAACTTCCATTTCAGTCATTCCCATGTGTACAGTTCTGCACTGTGTTCAACTTCACAATTTCCAGCAATGACCTACAAACCATACTTAAAGCTGCAATTATTCTCTGAGAATAAGAGGCTAGGCAGTTATCCATCCCTTCCCCCAAACACATCGCATTCTCCTGATTTACTTTTCCAAGGCCGTGCCTGACAGTGCTTCTGGAGCAACTACACAGGACAGCCATGCCCAGCTAGTAAGAGCAGCAGGGGAGAATTAAACTCAGCCAACTGCAGCCAGCAGGGAGTTATACCACGTTGCCCTGACAACTAATGGGCAGAGCTAGTGAGAGATAGATGGAGATGGCTGAGGTCAATGGGTAATAAAATTCTAGTTAAAGGCTGATTTTTCTCTCCTTCATTTCTGCTGATATAAACATGAGGAAAAAGAAAAGATAATTGGGAGGCAGATTTGTCCAGTGCCCATAGGAGCTGCAGATTCTAAGCATAAGACCCTGGGTTGAATTGAGGATAAAACTAGGAAATACCTAGATCCTCAAAGATCCTGCTCAGGAATGGCTGCCCTCAAAACACAAACCAAAGGCATTGAGAAGGAAGTACCTAAGTAAGTCTCTTTCATTGAGTGTCTACTGTGTATAGAACATGGCCCTAGGAGATGTTAACAAGAAGTCTCAAGAGACATTATAGGCCCCCGAGGTGCAGCTTAAATCTTATCTCTGACATTTACTGCCCAAGTGACCCTGGGCCAGATACCAGATACCAGACCTATTTGAGTCTGAGTTATATAACGGATGTATCAGTTCTTGTCTCACAGGATTATTGGTTGGCCAAGGAGATAATGAAAGTAAAGGAGGTAGCATAGTTGTCTCATGCATAAAGCACAGAATGAATGGCAGCCCAAAATAATAGATGACATCACTGAGCCCCTACCCTATGTATATTAAGCTGTTCTTGCATTGCTATAAAGAAATGCTGGAAACTTGGTATCTATAAAGAAAAGAGGTTTAGTTGGCTCACAGTTCTGCATGCCTTGTGGAAAGCATAGTGCTGGCATCTGCTTGGCTTCTACGGCGGCTTCAGGAAGCTTACAATTATGGTGGAAGGCAAAGAGGGAGCAGGCATGTCACATGGCGAAAGCAGAAGGAAGTCAGAGAGAGAGTGGGCGAGCAGATGCCACACACTTTTAAATGATCAGATCTCATGTGAACTCAGAGCCAGAGCTCACTTAACGCCAAGGGGATGGCCCAAGCCATTCATGAGGGATCCACCCCCATGATCCAAACACTTCCCACCAGGTCCCACTTCCAACATTGGGGATTACATTTCAACATAAGATTTGGGTAGAGACAAATACCCAAACTATATCACTCTGCTAGCACTATTTTCAATGCTTTACACATTTTCTTAAAATAATCCTATGGGACAGCAACTGCTACATACCCATTTTACAGATAAGTAAACTAACGCAGAGAAAAGGTAATATTCCAGCTCAAAATCACATAGGTAGTAAGTGGCAGAGCCAGGGCTTGCACCCAGGCAATCTGGCTTCAAACCTGGGCTGTACGACATCAACAACACAGAGAAGTCATCAAAAATGGAGGTGCAAAAAGAATACTGACATATTATTTACATATCTTTGCATACACATATATAAAATAGTTCTAGAAGGAAACTATTTAAAAATTATAATGTTGTTTGCCTCTGGGAAAGAGAAAGGCAAAGAAGGGAGAATTTCTACTGTATATTTCCTGTGAATTTTGAACCATGAGAAGGGGTTGCCTATTTTAAAAATGAATGAATTAAATTAAAATTTAAAAATAGAGGAGCAGGGCAGGAGAAGTCACTCTGAATATATTTATTTCTGCAAACATTCATTATATGTGAAAAAACAGGTTCCCATTCTCTACTCCCCAACATGACTGTGGAGGAAACAGGCCCATGAACAGGTGACTAGGGAACATGGTGATATACATCCATACAGGTGAATATAATGTGCTGCATAGCCCCTGAGGAGGACTTTAAAAATTCTGCACAGAGAGAGGAAGTCTGGAAGGCTTCACAAAGGAAGGACTTCTAAACTGAGATCTTTCCAGAACTCATGATCTTAAGTCAAGTCATACGTGCCCATGGGAAGTTACTTAACCTCTTTTTAAGCCTCAATGTTTTCTGCAAACATTCACTGCATGTGAAAGAATAGCTGGGTGAAGAAGCTGGGATTTGAAGCCAGACTTCACCAGAAGTCACTGCCCTCAGTCATCTTAATCCTCTGGTGGCACCTCTAAAGAGACAGGAAAGATGGGGTCATGAAGGCAGATGTGGTCCCTGCTGAGGATCTAAGCAGAAGATGAGCTGTGGCCAGGCATGTTGAGTGGGAGGTGGAAGGACATCAGGTGGGGAATCAGTCCAGTCCCAGAGTCCCCACTGTGTGATGTCCTCAGCCGGTTTCTCTGGGATTTAATTTCTACCACTCCAGAGCAAGAAGGTAAAAGAGCTGCTTTCTAAACACTCTCACTACTTATCCTGTGGGAATTTTTTTTCTGGTTGCCTAATAGATTTTATGACTTAAGCCTGATATAATTTGGCCTCAGAAAACTCATCTGACCCTAGGCCCTCATCCTCAACTTTGAAGCTGCCCCTCATACCTTCCCTGAGAAGCAGCTACTGCATGCAAAGACCTGCACTAGCTACCGAAGAAATAAGCCTGGCCTCTGCTGTGATGGGGAGGAGGGGTTGCAAGTTTAAATGAGAAAAAATAATCCATAGAAAATGCCTAGATCACACAGATATATGTGAAGCCAGTCCAAGCAGCATGCACAAGGCTGAAGCCAAAGCCTCATCTGTCCTTTCCAGAACACTTTGGTGGTGTCTAAAGAGAATCTCCAAGTTGGGTTTTAAAGGTGAGAACCTAGGTTTGGCAAGAGTAAGTGGAAGAACATCACAGGTGGAAATGGGAATGAAAGAGTTAATGGCCCCAGACTGGGCTGGAATGGAGAGTCTGTGCAGGTGAGGAGTGCTAAAGAATCTTGAGGACACGGGCCTGGGAATAGGCAGATGAAGCGATGGAATGAATGCAGGACTGACAAGCTTCTGGCTCAAAATAAAAAGGTAATGGATAATTATGAAAGGGAGTAGCTTGATAAGAATTGCCTAGACAGAAGATTATTTAAGAGCTGTTTATGTCTTAAACGGATGACAATCATAGTGTCTAAGCCAAAACCCAAATCACAGTCTACTCACAGAAATCTACTCTGATTTCTAATTTAAAATCAGAACACATGGTGAACACACCATATACTTCCATATCTGTCCAATATTCCTCTACATTAGCATTTTCAAAAGTAGTATTTGCATAATATTCATTCCAGAGAATGAAAATAGGTGTTGCAATGAAAAAAAAAAAACTTCAGGCCAATATCCCTGATGAACATAGACACAAATATCCTCAACAAAATCTAGCAAATCAAATCCAGCAGCGCATCAAAAAAGCTAATCCACCATGATCAAGCAGGCTGTATTCCTGGGATGCAAGGTTGGTTCAACATATACAAATCAATAAATGTGATTCATCACATAAACAGAACTAAACACAAAAACCACATGATTATCTCAATAGACACAGAAAAGTCTTTTGATAAAATTCAATATCACTTCAGCATAAAAACCCTGAACAAACTAGGAATTCAAAGAACATACCTCAAGATAGTAAAAGCCATCTATGACAAACCCACAGCCAACATCATACTGAACAGGCAAAACCTGGAAGCATTCCCCTTGAGAACTGGAACACGACAAGGATGCCCACTCTCACTACTCCTATTCAACATACTACTGGAAGTCCTATCCAGAACAATCAGGCAAAAGGAAGAAATAAAAAGCATCCAAACGGGAAGAGAGGAAGCTGAACTATCTCTCTTCACAAACGATATGATTCTATACCTAGAAAATCCCATAGTCTCTGCCCAAAGGCTCCTAGAACTGATAAACAACTTCAGTGAAGTTTCAGGATACAAAATCAATGTACAAAAATCAGTAGCATTTCTATACACCAGTGCCATCCAAGCTAAGAGTCAAATCAATAATGCAATCCCATTCACAATAGCCACAGAAAGAATAAAATGCCTAGAAATATAGCTAACCAGGGAGATGAAAGAGCTCTGCAACAGGAATTACAAAACACTGCTGAAAGAAATCAGAGATGACACAAACAAATGGAAAAACATTCCATGCTCATGGACAGGAAGAATCAATATTGTTAAAATAACCATACTGCCCAAAGCAATTTATAGATTCAATGCAATGTTATTTTTCACAGAATTAGAAAAAAAACTATTCTAAAATACATAAGGAACCAAAAAAGAGCCCAAATGGCCAAAGCAATCCTAAGCAAAAAGAACAAAGTCAGAGGCATCACACTACCCGACTTCAAACTATACTACAAGGCTCCAGTAACCAAAACAGCATAGTACTGGTACAAAAACAGACACATAGACCAATGAAACAGGATTAAAAACCCATAAATAAAGCCACACAGTTAACAACCATCTGATTTTCAACAAAGTTGACAATAACAAGCAATGGGGAAAGGACTTCCTATTCAATAAATGGTGCTGGGATAACTGGCTAACCATATGCAAAAGATTGAAACTGGACACTTTCCTTTCACCATATATAAAAATCAACCCAAGATGGATTAAAGGCCGAAATGTAAAACCTAAAATGATAAAAATCCTAGAAGAATACAAAGGAAATACCATTCTGAACATAGGCCTTGGCAAAGATTTCATGACAAAGACTCCAAAAGCAATTGCAACAAAAAGAAAAAGTGACAAGTGGGACCTAATTAAAGAGCTCTGCACAGAAAAAGAAACTATCAATAGAGTAAATAGACAACCTAAAGAAGGGGAGAAAATGTTTGCAAACTATGAACCTGACAAAGTCTGATACCTACAATCTATAAGGAACTTAAACAAATCAACAAGCAAAAAAACAAACAATTGCTTTAAAAAATGGGAAAAGGACATGAACAGACACTTCTCAAAAGAAGACACACATGTGACCCACAAGCATATTTAAAAAATGCTCCACAGCAATAATTATTAGAGAAATGTAAATCAAAACCACAATGAGATATCATCTCATACCAGTTAGAATGGCTATTATCAAAAAGTCAAAAAATAACAGATGTTGGTGGGGTTCTGGAGAAAAGGGAATGCTTATATACTGCTGGTAGAATGTAAATTAGTTCAGCCACTGTGGAAAGCAATTTGGAGATTTCTCAAAGAACTTAAAACAGAACTGTTTCAACCCAGCAATCCCATTACTGGGTATATACCCAAAGGAATATGAGTCATTCCACCATAAAGGCACATGAATGCGTATGCATATCACAACACTTCAAAATAGCAAAGTCATGGAATCAAGCTAGATGCCCATCAACAGGGGACTGGATAAAGGAAATGTGGTACATACAAGAATACTATGCAGCCATAAAAAAGAATGAAATAATGTTCTTTGCAACAATATGGATGCAGCTGCAGGCCATTTTCCTAAGCAAATTAACTCAGGAACAGTAAACCAAATACTGTGTGTGCTCACTTATAAGTAGGTGCCAAACATTAAGTACACATGGACACAAAGAGGGGGACAATAAACACCAAGGCTTACTTGAGGGTAGAGGTGGGGAGGAGGAGTAAAATTAAAAAACTACCCCAATCAGGTACTATGCTCACTATCTAAGTGACAAAATCAGTTTTACACCAAACCCCAGCAACACGCTATTCACCCATGTAACAAACCTGCACATGTAACCCCTGAACCTAAAATAAAAGTTGGAAGGAAAAAAAAAGAAAAATAGGTGTTACCAAAAAAATCCAAGTTAAAAAATAATAATAGCTAACTACAAGCCAAACACAAGTGATCCACAAACATCCTTTTACTTAATCCTCTCAAAAATCTATGAGGTAGGTGCCATAAACATCCCCATTGTGCAGGTGAGAAACTGAAACACAGGCCTCATTAGTAACTTGCCCAAGTTCACTGTGAAGTGGCACAAGTTTATTCCAGGCAATCTGGATCCCAAACCCATGCTCCTAACCCTCAGGCTACATTACTTATCATAATTCAGAAACACAGGCTAAACAAACTTCAACATTTTCCCTTCCCATAGGACTTCTCAGAGACTTTCAGTCATTCTTCCTCCCTCCTTCCCACTTCAGCTGTGACGTAAAACAGGTTAGGAAAGCCTTGGTGAGGCTGGGGATGTGAGGGACCCCACAAGGTACTGAGAAGAGCAGCAGGAGACATAACCTTTCCCCATCCCCTACCCCCAGCCCCTCCAGTACAGGCAGCTTTATGGTGAACACTGGGAATCAGAGAGGGAGAAGAGAGATGACTGCGGAGAGAGAAGGGCCGCTAGGGCAATCTGGGCCCACAGGAAGGGGTAGGAGATGGGGGCAGCCGGAGGTCCCATTATTTCTCTAGTGTACCTCCTCTCCTTGTGACCAGAATAAGGCATTGTTCCTTTGGTTTCTGGATCATGGGGGTCAGTCCCAGGAGTCCCAGATCCAAGGGCCCTGGGAAGGAACCAGAGTGATGGCAGGGTGGGCAAGGGCAGAAGCTCTTTACTACTCAGTATAGAAAGATGTCACTATTTTAACAACCAGCCCTGGTTTCCTTCACATTTCACGTATATTCAGCTCTTCAACATTTCCAAAGCCCATTCACCCTTGATCTCATTTGACTGATATAGGGTAACTCTGGGATCTCAGCAGGACAGACATCATCATCCTCATTTTGTATATTAGGAGCCTGGGACTCAACAAGTGAGTACAAGAACTGATTCTAGAAAGGAAGTCTGAATCTGGTACTCACAGTATTGCCGCAATACTGAGGTTCCATCCAGCCTCAAGATTTGTCCTCAGCTGGAGCGTGATCACCTTACAGGAAG
Organism: Homo sapiens; assembly: GCF_000001405.40. Classification (NCBI taxonomy): domain Eukaryota; kingdom Metazoa; phylum Chordata; class Mammalia; order Primates; family Hominidae; genus Homo; species Homo sapiens. Next base: position 135,778,638 of record NC_000003.12, read on the forward strand.
CAGTGGGCTCAAAGGGTGTACAGTTTTGCTATCCAGCCTTGCCACTTCCCAATTTTGGGACCTAAGCAGGTCTCTCCTCTGAGAAGTCACTCCTCTGAACCAGCGCCTCATCTGTGTGCACTGGTACCCACCTCACAAGGAGGTTGTGAAGACTGAAGAGACAATGTCAGAACATCCCCCAGTACAGGACCTGACATACACAGGAGGTAACCAAGCATGGCACTATTCCCTCTCTGAGCCAGCCTACCTTCCTCCAATCTCTGCCCACCTTCAGATCTCATAGTATGAGTCTTAAACAACTGTCCTTCACGAGAAGTTTATTTTTAAAATAGCAGGTGAGAAAGCCAACCACAGACTGGGCCAAGATTGAAGGCCAAGTTCACACAACTAGAAAGCCCTATTTTGACAGGAAGAGGTAGGTGCTGTGTCTGACTACTCAGCACCTACTTCCCCCTCCAGCACCAGCATCCCAAAGGTCCTTTGGGAACTAGTCCTCTCTCTGGGCTGCTCGAACTCACTCCCAAAGCTTAGAGATAAGCATGTGACCTGAGCAGCCAATCAAAGCTTTTTATCCTACAGGCCACAGTGATTGGCTCAGAGATGGACACATGACCTAAACCTAGCCAGTGAGATTCCATTTGGGGTTTTTGTTGAAACTACAGGTAAAAAGTTGTTTTCCTTCCACTGGGCTTGAAGCTGGGAGGGTATAAACATGGGTATATGTGCCAGGACCATCACATGAACAGAGCATGCCTGTGATCCAACAACAAGAATGGCAGAGCTGAGAGACAGAAAAGACAGCATGCCAAAAATGTTGTCTGAGTCCCCAAATGCAGCCATACCTGACTCTGAGTTAAGTGTGTGCTAAAACTTAACCTAAGTAGTCCATGTCTACTTAACTTGGTTAAATAAATTCCATAATCCCACATAGCCAAAACTAAATGGAATGTAGGTTTAACACTGAGTAGTGTATATATGGATGAAGGGCAGTATCTAACCACAGGTAAGAAAAGAAAGAAGAATAGTAGAAACCTAAAGCTGGAAACTTTCTGATATGCCCAGTACCCTACCTGAACTTATACACACGAACACACACATCACACACTACCCCCAGCACATCCCACACACATACCCATGTTCCACATAAACACACACACACACACACACCCACATACACAGTTCTGGCCTGGGAGCCCACATTAATCAGACGTTGCTTGGCCTTTCCAGCTGATCCTGCCCCTGGTCTCATTGCTCCCGTCCGCAGCCCAGCACTGCAAGCAGGCCACACTGTACCATCCCCTCTTCCCCTGTCTTGCTCCCACTAAAATTCTCTCCCCTCACCCGCTGCCTGCCATGCCTCCTCCTCTCTCAGCCCCACAGAACAGCTCTCCTACCTCAAAAAGCTGTCCCTGACTCATTTCACTCCATCCCTGCCAAGTTCCCGTCACCACTTGGCTATTTTGCACTTCCACAGAAGGAATAATTTGCACTTGCACCCTGTATGGGTTTATACATGTTTGAACATTTTTTTGTAGGCAGCATATTGAGGAGGTAAGGAGGATCATGGCAGACCAGGCTGGGTTCAAATCCAAAGGCATGTTCACACACTGTGGGACCCATGCTCTGACCCTTGGGGCCCTCATCGGTGGATAAGAGGATTTGACCTCTAGCTACCCTCCCTCCCTGTGAGCCCCTCATGAGGAATAAGAAAGAGAAGGTGTGGAAGCTCTTGTTCAACAGAAAAAGGCTGTTCATGTCAGTTGTGAAGATCAGAGTGTGTTTGGCAATGTGGCAATATTGTACCATCCTTGGGCCTCTCCTCTAAGCCCCTCTCCTTGTTCTTCTCTCTAGGCAGTTTCCTCAGTTTGGTGTATTAAATTGCCTGTCAGGAAGCTGCCCAGATAGTAGCTGGCTCAAGCAACCACAGTGTGTGAGCCTTGAGGGCCCAGGGAGTTACTGACTCTCAGGCCACCAGGCAGTTTTGGGAGGCTGAATTTCCCATTCACAGTCTATTTGGGTGGGCCACATGGAGCATGGAATACACACAGGAGTGGAAAGAGATGCCTCCACCCTCTGCCCCTCATCTTGCTAGCTCTCCATTAAGAAATCAAGAATTGCCAATCTGAATAGAGCATGCGTCCTGCATGATTTCGGTCTGGAGAGAGGTGGTCGTGTTAGCTAGCCAGGGAGATAAAGACACCAAAAACCCATTGCAAGTATTGCAGAAGTGATCAGCAGGTGCTCTCCCATGAGACAGTGACCAGAGGAGTGTCCTTTCTCTTCCTTTCTGGGGAAGAAGCAAACCATCCACAGGAAGGATGCATCTGATAGACACTGTGGGCTGAAGGAAGGGGATATTGGTTCTCAAATGTGTCTACACTTGTATCCACTTTCTCACCAGTTGCTCTAGTTTTTCATTCAATGAACAAATGTTGGCACCTGCTCTGTGCCAGGCATTGTACTAGGAGCTAGGGATGCAAAAATCAAGTAAGACCCAGTTCTCTGCTCAAAGGACGCCCACATATAGTTAGGGAGGCAGATAATTAAATCAACAACTGTGAAGTGGTGTGATGAGTATTGTGACAGAAAGTAGGAACATGGTAGGAGGACCTGTCCTTAGCCTGAGGATCCATGGCAGGTTTGGGGGATGGAGGCAATGTTTGAACTGAGCCAGAAGTTGGAGGTGGCAAAGGGTAGGGTGGAAAGAGATTAAAAAATAAATAAAAAGTGACACCTTCCCTGAGGGAATTCTAATCTTGCTGAGTAGGAGCAATGAGATGAGGAAGAGGAAGAGGGCTCAAGAAGTATTGCAGAGACAGGGAGGGATGAGAGAGCAAACTTAATGAAGATTGGCAAGTAAGTTGTAATGCCTGGAGCAAAAGGTCCCATAAGAGAGAGGAGCCAAGGATGCCAGCAGCCCTGTCATGCTGGGCCTGTGTGCTGAGCTAAGGAGTTTGGGCTTTATTCTGAAAACTGCAGGCAGCTCCTGAAGGCGGGAGGTGACATGATCAGATATAAAATGTTCAAGTAGTGATTGTTGAGAATCGGGAACACTAATTCTTTGCCAAAGAGGAAGGCTGAGCAGGATGAAGTAAGTCCTCAAGGCATTAATAGTCTAGTGGAAAAGACACCAGGGAGAGCTCTCTTTCCTGATTTACCTCCTGTGTCTGAAGCCTCTTCTTCTCTTTCTTTTTTTCCTCTACTGACTTCATAAATGTTTATTTTCTCGGATTCTATCCTGGACCTTCTTCTGGGCTCTCCTCACTCAATGGTTCTCAAAGTCCTGGCTAGCGACCAGCAGCATTAGCATCATCCAGGAACTTGTTAGAAATGCACATTCTTGAGCCCCACACAGACCTACTGAATTAGAAACCTTGGTGGTGAGACCTAGCTACCTGTAGTTCAACAAGCCCTCCAGGTGATTCTAACGCACACTCAAGTTCAAGGACGACTGATTTACATCAATCCTGGCTACATGTTACAATCACCTGGGAAACTGTTTTGACCTATATATATGCGTGCCTTGGTCTCACCACAGACCAATTAAATTAGAATCTCAGTGCAGGGCCCAGGGACCAGAGATTCAGATATGCACCCAGGGTTGAGACAAAAACCACTGGCCTAGAGCAACGCTTCTCTGACTTTAACATGCCCATAAATGCCCTGGGGGTGTTTTTAAAATTCAGATTGTGACTGGTGAGAACAAGATTCTGCTTTTCTAACTAGGTGATGTCAATGCTGCTGGTCTATAGACTTCATTTTCAGTAATGAGGGTCTACCTTCCCAGTTTCCTTGGACTCTCAGCTTCATCTACCAATTGTGTGTTAGTAACACTACCCAGACCTAGTCCCCACCTCTCTTGAGCTCCTAACCTGTAAGAAATACTTCCAGTTGGAGAACCCACTCACACCTCAAATTCAACACTCTCTAATTCACCTCATCCTATCCACCCTCTCTCAGATTTCTACTCACCTTGGATGCTTACTAGCTCATTAAGCCAGTCTGTTCACCCAAACCAGGATAGACCATGTCCTGAAGCCAAAACAGGACAGAGTTTTAAGAAGATATTCCCCTAAATGGTCAACCCAAATCCCGAGGCTCTTGGGCCATCCCCTTACCTGAGAACTCTAGCCCCTTGCAAAGAATACCCTCCCCTCATATTTGTGAGATTTCCGAGAGAGGCTTTGGGTGAGCCCTTGGGGGCTCTGCCACTACTCTGAATGATGACAAAACAAAAGGTCATTGGATACGAGAGTAAAAGGGTCCCAGGGAACTTTAGGGGAAGAGACATTGGAGTATTGGGAATTTCTTGAACTTAACCTTCCTGGTATTAAGGCTAGCATGTTTGCATATACGAATGTGAGCTCAGGCTCCCAGCCTCTGCAGGGTTTCTGAGGATGGGCTACAGGTGGCCCAGCCCCTGCCAGCTCTGAGAGAGAAGCAATGTGGGCTGAACAGCCAATGTACCTGACCTCAGTCCCACTGAGTCCCCAGCACCTCCAGCCACTCTCCATGCAACAGTTTAGAGGCCATGTTCTCGTGGCACCCTTCTCTGGGGCTTCAAAAACTCAAACATCAGTTTTTGAGGACAATCCTGATTTACTCCTTCTGTCCCAACATTATTATCAACAGTGACTGGCACCAGACATGGAGATGTGCTACTCAGATACTGGTATCTGAGTCTCCATCCCTATTAAAACATGGTGGCAAGAACAAAGCTTAGTACTTGACTTCCCAGATGTAGGAGAAGGGATGCACAGGGAGGATCCTCATTTCCTGTGATCTGAATGACATCTCGCTAATGCAGCCTAAAATTGTATCCCCTCATTCTCACCTCATGTCATCTCTGATGGATCTCATTACCAGAAAACTGCATTCAGGCAAGGTCTCCTCCAGCTGGCACTTGTACAATTGATGCTTTTGAACCTAAATGTAGAAATTTACATATGTCTCTGTTAACTTTCATCTTTTTGGTTCAGCCCCCATTCTAGTCTATCAAAATCACTTTGAACCTCTATTGTATCTTCAGTTGCAGAATTTTCCTTTCCAACTTTCTATTATCTACAGATTCAATAAGCATGTCTGAGTTATGCTGTGTTCAAGGAACTCTGGACTCAGGAGTCAGGGAGATAGGCACTAGTCGTAACCTTCTATGTGACTATTGGAAAGTTATATAACTTCTCTGGATCTCAGTGACATGACCTCTAGAAATCCTGCTAGCTCAAAATTCCACAAGTTCAGGCCCTGCAAGCAAACCTCTTGGTTTAAAACCCAGCTCTACCACTTACATGATGTATGACCTTGAATAAGCCACATAACCTCCCTGTGCCTGTTTCCTCATTGTAAAATGAGTGATATTATAATACCAGTATAATCAAATAAGCATATAATATTACATATAAGCTTATATTATAAATGTTCTATATTGTATATTATTTCTAAGTATATGTATTATATGTAAGTATATAATTATAGTAAGTATATATGTGTAATTTATAATAACTATGATAATAGTATCTGCCTTTTGAAGTCATTAGAATTAAATGAATGAATTTATATAAAATGCTCAGCTCATGCCTGGCATATAAATAAGCGGTCAATGAATGTTGGCTATATTAGTCAAGACAAGCAACTGGTTAAAGAAAAGAATTAACAGAATAGGAGCAAGACAGAATAAGACTAAATCCAAGCCTGAATTCTATAAAAGTCTTCTGAAATATGGTGACCAGATGTCCTAGTTTTTGAGGACAATCCTGATTTACTCCTTCTGTCCCAACATTATTATCAACAGTGACTGGCGCCAGACACAGAGATGTGCTACTCAGATACTCACTCAAGGAAGGACTTGCTGGCCTCCTGCAAGGAATGTGGTTACCTACAGCTGTTGCATCCCCCAAGACCACTTTAGCTTTTGAGCCAGTCATCCTGGCCAATGACTGAGCAAGTTAGTACAAGGACCCAGACATTTCCACCCAATAAAGTCTTCTTCTAATAGTCAGCATTGGCTCCAGAGCTCCCCACTGGACTGAAAAGACTCTGGCAGGTCTGCCTTGTGCTTTCACAGCACCCCACCACCACCTCATTCTACTTCCTCCTTCACTTTTCTTTCACTTCCTCTCCAATAAACCTTTTGCCCTCTTGTCTCATGTCTGCTTCGCAAAGGACTCAGCTGACTCATCTCCTTCTACTCTCAAAAATGAACCCATGTACATGATGTTAGATGTTCACCCTATCTAGAGACCTTTAACATTGCCCCCACCCCTACTTCAACATCAGGACTCTCACAATGACATAATATGTGAAACACACATTTTTTCCTCTGAATCATGGAGATAATGTGTGACTGCAAGGTCTCTGATATGCTCAAGCCAGGCTTACACAGGTATGACCTCTCCCCTGATCTGTCTACCTGGAAGATTATAATAGAAGCTCTGACCAACATATGAAGTTAATTTGACAAAACTTAGTAACCTGTGGTGAGTTCTAATGATCGCAACATCTTTCCTAAGTTTTCATAAACCAGGTGTTTAATACTCCATTATAGGGATTTTTCTGGCATCAAATCTGTGGCCTTAGTTCACATCTCCCAGTTCTTTCTGCAGGGCATATATAGTTTGTTCTCCTGGCTGGAGGCTCTCACCCTTCCTTACCCCTCTCAGTCCTCAGTGCTACCTTCATACCTTCATCTTTATGGTCCTATCATTGCCAGCCTGTAGGGAGAACTGCATAGCTCCAGGCCACTGGATTCACAGTCCAGCTCTGCAGCTCTTCCTTGGCCAGAAGTGGGCCTCCTCTTGAATCTTCTCTGCCTCCTTTCCCCTGGGCCCCTGTGCCCCACTCCTCCATCCTGTCCTCACAGTCTTCCCCCACCTTCCAAGCTCCCCTGCTCTCCTGCTAGTCCAGCCTACTCTCGGGGTCTAAATCAAGCTCCATGCCCCTCATGAGGCCTCCCCCAGCCCCACGACAACCACAGTGACTAAATACAACTGACCTAGTCCAGCAAACACAACCAAGCTTCACCTGCAGGCCATGCAACCCGCTGGGCAGCTCTGCCACCCCTGGCTGTTTCCTGAACTCCCAGTAAGCTCCTGTCAGTGTGAGGCCCTGCCCACTTAAGGCAGCTGGCCCCAGTGGAGTAATGGACCAGGGGACAGAGTGGGGAGGTGGAGGCATCCCCACCTCCTGAACTCCCTGTAAGCTCCTTTTCTTGATGACAGGTGGTTCTGCTGTGCTGGTGGCTCTTCCAAGGCCCATGGCTTCCCTTGTCCATATCCTGGTACTGACCAATAATGTCCTCCAGTCCCACCACATCCAGAGCCCAGAGAGATGGCCTGGCACCTCACTGCCTCCCTGCTGGAAGGTGCTAAGCCTTGGCAGGTCCTTTCAGGGAGAACATAAAGAAGAGGTAGAGGGCTAGAAAGTCAAATGCCCACTTCTTGCTGTGGTGAAATTACCTCATGAACAGAGCAGGTAGGGTTCAAACAACCCTGTTCCTTTTTTGGCAGGCATGGGTAGTTTTCTCTTGCTTACTTGCTACAGACTTGCTTACTTTGCCATCTACAAAGAGTAAATAAATTCTTTCTAGCCTTTTCTCGTTCACTCACTTATTGTGTAATATGTTCGGTGCTGGCCGGGTTTGGTGGTTCACACCTGTAATTCCAGCACTTTGGGAGGACAAGGTGAATGGGTCACCTGAGGTTAGGAGTTCGAGACCAGCCTGGCCAATATGGTGAAACTCCGTCTCTACTAAAAATACAAAAATTAGCTGGGCATGGTGGCAGGCGCCTATAATCCCAGCTACTCAGGAGGCTGAGGCAGGAGAATCGCTTGAACTTGGGAGGTGGAGGTTACAATGAGCCAAGATCTTGCCACTGCACTCCAGCATGAGCAACAGAGCAAGACTCTGTCTCAAAAAAAGAAAAATGTTCACTAACCACTGTGTGCCAGGTAAAGTCGGGCATCTTAGCCTCAGGCTTCAGGGCCCAGAATCTAATTACTCTGTTAGCCTCTGAAAGCATCTTAGTGTCACTCCCTCCTTCCTTCAAATCTTAAATCACCTACTAGTAAGCACATCATGAGACTCTCTATCAGTAGATCCTGAGAAAATCGTTCTTCAGGAGAGAGTAACGATAGCTCAATAATAATATTCATTCATTCGTTTATTTATTGGGCACACAAATATTTATTGGGTACTTATTACGTGCCAGGCACTGTGCCAATCAAAACAAACTTTAGCCCTGCATAGTTTAATGTCTGAGAGAGACATTAAACAAATTGGCCCACTAGTAAGCTTATCATCACAAACGGAGGAAAGTGCTTGGAAGAAAAGAAAAGGTTGTGAAAGACAGAGGATACCAGGATTGGCTTGTCAGGAAGGTCTCAAAGCTGAGCCCTGAGGGACAAGCAGGGTTGATTGGGAGAGGATGGAGGGCCTCTCACCCCCTACTTGCTCTCTTCCTCCACTCCTGGCATGCCCTCTTCTTCCACCATGCTCAGGACCCAAAACAGAGAGCCTCTTCCAACCACTGCCTTGAGTGCTCTCTCCTCTCTTCAAAGTGCTGATCTCAGCCCAGGGGCAGATGATTACCCCCAAGGTGAGTTTTGTGGCATTCTCTGACTTCCTAAGAGCCAGTTCATCATAGCATATGCAGAAGTATGCTATCAAGCTCAGGAGAGGGCGGGTAGGTAGCAACGGCCCTACCCCCAGCAACCAGGGACTGCTGTACCACTGCAGGAGCAGAGAGCTTCCAGACAGGGGCTTTGGAATGGCTACATTAAGAATGATTGTGGCAATAAAGTTCTATTAGCCATCTGGAGCAATCGCATGCTCTCCAGGGCCAGGCGCTTGGTTGCTGATGGCTGCCAACAGATGTGGGCAGAAAGAGGCTCCCAGGGATGGGGATGGCTGACTGTCTGGAATGGAGGTCAGTTAGAGGGGGACTCCAGCAGTGGCACCCAGCTAAAGCACTCTGCATGAATTCTGTTTCCATTTTAGATATGATCCTTAAGACATGTGAGGGATATTAACATTTAAACAGATTGCCTTTCCATGAGCAAATCTAAAAGATACATATGAGGTATCAGGGATTAACAGGAAAGCTCCCTCCTCCCCAGGCTGACTCTTCCACGAGGGTTACGTCATTTGGAGTCAAGCAAATTCATGTTCAAACTCTGCATTTAATTGGTTGTGTGACCTTGGGACTTGCATAAAATCTCTGAGCCTCATTTTCTCTCTTATAAAATGAATACAATAACTCCTATCTTTACCGGCTTCTGGGAAGATGAAATCAAATGGAGGAAGTAGAGCACCTCACCCTACCCATGCCCTGTCAAGGCTCCAGCTGTGGTCTTGGCCAGGGGTGAACAGGAATGTAGTTGGGGCTGACTAATGAAGGAGAAGCCCTGGTGTCCCCCTCCCAATTCAGGTACTTCCGTCCCACAGCAAAGACCCAGTTATTCTTTGGCCCATGCACTTCTCAAGAAAGTATGTTGTACTTCCATCCCCCATCTTGTGAGAGCAAATTAACAGGAGCACAAACACAGGTGTCACTATGATTTATGGAGTAATTAATAAACAATTAAGGTGTCTTGGAGCACAATCGCACATTTTATTTCAGCAGCCCTGCATGGCGATAGCTTGGCTTGCCCACAGTCAGTGTTGCGGACAGCACCTGGCCCATAGTTGTGGGTGATCTAGAAGGATGTGTGGCTTTTATGTAAAGCCAGCATGGGGGGTAGGCACTGCCTGAGAGGCGTAAAGTCAAATGCACTGTTGTCAAAAGCAGCCAGCCCTAAGCCTGCACTTCACTGTGTTAGGTCTCTGCATGGGCTCTGCACCACCCTGGGGGTGGAGAAGCTCCTCTGGAAGATCTGCTCACAGGCTGCTGGTGAGGCACACAGACCCCCTTGTTGCTACCTGTCACTGCTGTAAGCACACTCCCGAGGCTGGTGTGCAGACCTGTTTCTAACCAGGGCCACCTGCCTGTGTCCTGCACAGGAAGAGACACTATTGGTCCCCTCCTTTCCTGGGGATAGCAACTTACCCCAGAAACAAGCTTCCCCCTGTAGCCAACAAGACTCCTTCCTTTTGCCCCCACCCAAGCCAGTATACCAGGTTCCCTCCCCTTGGAGGCACTGCCACAGGACGCTGTGGGCATCCTCCCATCTGCCTCTCCCCACATTACATCAAGTTCCATCTCTAAGCCTTGTCTACATACCTCCTAAACATGGCTCCAACCTGCCCACTCTACCCCCACCCCCACCACTCCTCTGCCCTCCTCTTCAGCCTATGGTGAACCTCTCTCCTGGTCCCTCTGTGTACCACACTGGACACAAATACTGTCCCTGCTAGGCCAACTCAACTCTTCCTGTCTCCTCTGATGTGTTGGGGCACCGCCTCATGACCCATCCACCCCTACCCTCACTGACCACCCAACCTAGCCCCTCCTTCCACTAGTCCCAGTTGACATTCTCACTGCTCACTCCTTTCCCCAACCCAAATTCAAACCCATTGGAGAGAATCCAGTTTTCTGGTCTCTTTTTCCAAGAAGACTTCCCCCGTCAATCTCTTCCACCCTGATCACCCTAAAGCCTGCAAACAGGGTCAGCAAGCACTATGCCTGGTTTTTGTTTTTTTGCTTGCTGTACTTGTTTGTGGAGTAGGATGGCATAGAGGGCAAAAGTGCAGCTCCCAGGATCAGGCAAACCTGGGTTCAAGTCCTGGCTCTGCCACTTGCTGGCTGTGTGACCTTAAGCAAGTTATTTAAACTCTCTGCAGTGTAATTTCCTCATCTATAAAATGGGGATCATTATTTTGAAGAATAAGTGAGCTAAAGTGCTTAGCATAGTGGCTGATATGTGATAAATGCTCAATGAAACTTAGTTCTTATTATCACACACACACAATCTTTATAATTAGATTTCAAATGCCACAAAGGCAAGTACCAATTCAAATCTGTTTTAAAATGGGAGAAAGACAAGCTGGTGCTCAGAAACCACTCCTTCTCTAGTTCCCACACTGGCCCTGACCCCATCTTTCACTTCAAGCTTTCTTTTTTTCCCTTCCCATTGAAACTCCAGTATTAAGAATCTATCTATAGCTGACATCCCAAGCTCCCCGAAAACTGTAGTTAGTTCTCTGTGGCTCCAGGTTGAGGTGAGAATACAGGTAAAATACAGGATGCTTATGCACTAATTAGGAATACACACACACACACACTTTTTTGTTTACCTGAAATTCCAATTTTTATTTATTTTTTATTATTATACTTTAAGTTCTAGGGTACATGTGCACAACATGCAGGTTTGTTACATATGTATACATGTGCCATGTTGGTTTGCTGCACCCATTAACTCGTCTTTACATTAGGTATTTCTCCTAATGCTATCCCTCCCCCTGCCCCCCACCCCATGACAGGCCCCCATGTGTGATGTTCCTCGCCTTGTGTCCAGGTGTTCTCAATGTTCAATTCCCACCTATGAGTGAGAACATGTGGTGTTTGGTTTTCTGTCCTTGTGATAGTTTGCTCAGAATGATGGTTTCCAGCTTCATCCATGTCCCTGCAAAGGACATGAACTCATCCTTTTTTATGGCTGCATAGTATTCCGTGGTATATATGTACCACATTTTCTTAATCCAGTCTATCACTGATGGACATTTGGGTTGGTTCCAAGTTTTTGCTATTGTGAATAGTGCCGCAATAAACATACTTGTGCATGTGTCTTTATAGTAGCATGATTTATAATCCTTTGGGTATATACCCAGTAATGGGATCTCTGGGTAAAATGGTATTTCCAGTTCTGGATCCTTGAGGAATTGCCACACTGTCTTCCACAATGGTTGAACTAGTTTACAGTCCCACCAACAGTGTAAAAGCGTTCCTATTTCTCTACATCCTCTCTAGCATCTGTTGTTTCCTGCCTTTTTAATGATTCCCATTCTAACTGGCATGAGATGGTATCTCATTGTGGTTTTGATTTGCATTTCTCTGATGGCCCGTGATGATGTGCATTTTTTCACATGTCTGGTGGCTGCCTAAATGTCTTCTTTTGAGAAGTATCTGTTCATATCCTTTGCCCACTTTTTGATGGGGTTATTTGGTTTTTTCTTGTAAATTTGTTGAGTTCTTTGTAGATTCTGGATATTAGCCCTTTGTCAGACGGATAGATTGCAAAAATTTTCTCCCATTTCCAATTTTTAACTGGGTATCCTGTATTTTGATTTGCTAAGCCTGGCAACCTTAGGGGGAAAGTGCTCAGGAAGGAACGTCTGGTCTTCCAGCACTATGTCTTGTTTCTCCCACTGGGAAATTCCACTACAACCAAATTTGTTTGTCTGTGGCCCCCTCACACAAGGCTGAGATTATGTTTGTTATAGTCAACTCAGTTCTTCAGTAAACATTTCTAAATGCAAACAAGCATCAAAACCTTCTGAGCCCACCTACCGGTTTAACAGACTTCCTGACTTTCTCTCCATTCCCTACTATTAGGATGCCCTGTCCTTATCACACGGGAACACACACACTCACAAAGGGAAAAATCAATATGATTGATGGGGGGCTACAGTCATTTTTACCATCCCTTCTAATTTTTGACCCTGCATGTGGAATGTGGGTAGAATCTTCACTGGTGCTTTGTATGTCCAAAAACTCTCTGAGAGATAATCATTCCCTTTTCTTTCAATATTGGTAAATATTGTTCCACAGTCTTCCAGTTTCCAGTTCCACAAATAAATGTAAAAGCCTTTTTTGTAAATGTCTCATTTTTTTCTATCCACAGTCTGTAAAATTTTCTTTTTCTCTGGAGCTCAGCAACGCCTCCTATGCCTGGGGTGCATCTGTTTGCAACAATCCTGGAACTCTCACTGAGCCCTTCCTTACTACAGACCATGTCTTTCTTCAGTCAGAAAATGTTTCATCTATCATTTCTTTAGCTATTATCTCTCCTTCTACCCTTCTATAACCCCTGGCTTTTTTCATATTAGATTTCTTGGTTATATTTCTTAGCGTTTTGCTCATAAGCACCATATCTTTGTATTTTGCATTTTCACTTAGTTGGTGAGCTATGTCTCCCATATGATCATCCAGAATGCTAATTTGGTTCCCAGCAGTGACCAGTCCCTTTTACAGTTTGCCTATGAAATTTTTTTTTTTTTTTTTTGAGATGGAGTTTCGCTCCTGTTGCCCAGGCTTGAGTGCAATGGTGCGATCTCGGTTCACTGCAGCTTCTGCCTCCTGGGATCAAGCAATTCTCCTGCCTCAGCCTCCCAGGTAGCCGGGATTACAGACATGTGCCGCCATGCCCAACTAATTTTGTATTTTTAGTAGAGACAGGGTTTCTCCATGTTGGTCAGGCTGGTCTCGAACTCCCGACCTCAGGTAATCTGCCTGCCTCGGCCTCCCTAAGTGCTGGGATTACAGGTGTGCGCCACTGTGCCCAGCTGAAATTTTTTAAATTAAGAAATCATTTTTCGTTGTTTAAGAAAATTCATGTTGTTCTCTGGTTTTCCTTGAGAGCTCTTACTTCCAGTCTAATAAAGCTCTCTTCTGCCACATCGTTTTGTTCTACCTCAGTACAAGCTACCTATTCTCATTGTTTACTAAATTCCCTTAAGTGGATAATGAGTTTTCTTTTTCTACTCATGATTATATGTTCCCTGGGCACTCGCACTGTTTGGGCTGTTTAGGGTGTCTCAAACCAGAAGGCGTCAGAAAGATGGTGGATTTGTGCCTCCTGGTGGGCTGGCAGTGAATAAGCTGTCCAACAATTACAAGCGCCCTCTCTGCAGGGGTCAAGAAAGCAGCTCTGTCCCACATTCCCTGACATAGGACAGTGTGGCAGTCCTCTTCTACCTGGCACCACTGGTCAGCAGGCTCAGGCAGTGTTTCCAGGGACCACACGCATCCGGCAACAGGTGCAACAGCTCTCTGAGGGTCCCTCTGGCCCTCTTAGCAGCTGGGCCTCTCAGGGAGTTGTGAAATCTCCCTTCTTCACCCCAGTCTTTGAGAATGGAGAGCCTTCTCTACCTTACTCACTCCATCCTCACCTGAACCAAACTCCCAGCATCACATCTGCCTTCAGGCTCACCAGCAGGCCCACCCACAACTGCTTGACTCCACCAAGGGAATCATGATGGAAAAAGCCTGGAGCACAGGGCTGGGGGCTATCCTCAGGGAACCAGCTTCCCTCATCTTCCACTGCAAATATTACTGTTCTAAACCTCCTCATCACAAAAGCATAGTTCCTCTGGAATAGCTGTGTGAATAGCTAGCTCCTTTCAAGGCAGTATGGGAGAGCAGAAAATAATCTAAGCTTAGAAACTAAAGACTTGGGTGTGAGACCCAGCTCTGAGCATTTTGTAAATGTTAAAGTGTTGTGTCACCATGAGTTATCTCTGTAATCATATTACTGAACAAGACTAATTCCAGGCCTGAGTCCTGTACAGGGCCCTTACAGTGCTCTCCCAGGCAGCAGATATTTTTCTGCAGAGCACTCCATTCAAATTCTTTAGGGAGAGAGAACTATGATAAATCAAAGACAAAGTAACAATAGCAGAGCCAACACCATATTTTCATAGCATGTTTATGAGGACATCATATGGAACAGAGCTAAAGGGCTTACTGAAGTCAGGATATTTTACGTCTATTGCTTTTGCCTTATCTTCCAGACCTGTCATTCTGACCTGGAGGAAATTAAATTGGTCTGATGTGATTGGCTCCCTGCACAGTCATGTTGGTTTTCATCCAGTACCCTCTGGTTTTCTGGTATTTGCAAATTAATTATCGGATGATTTGTTGCAATATTTCTCACAGGATAATAGTGCCTGTCATAGCACATGACATTTATAATATGTTTTTTAGTTTCTTGGCAAAATGTGCTCAGTAAATGTAAATTATTATTGTTGGTCACTATCAAAGGTGTCGGATGATCAGGCATGAGAATGAGTGGACAGGTTGGGCTCTCTCTGAGCAGGATATGCCACTTACTAAGTACTCCCTCTAGGAAATGGAACTGCAGAAATTATCCTTATCATCATCTAATTTGCAAAACACAGCCACTTTTCCCTTCTTCCTTCCCTGTTCTCACTCACTCCTGTGGTCCACTAGGTAATGTACCTGTCTAGAGAATACTCCTTTTTTCAGAATGAAGACATCTTTTGAGCACATATGATCATTCGACCCAAGAAAGATGTCAGAAGTGTCTACCTTGCCCCAATACCTGTCAATTCAGAGATTCTGGAAGCCAAAGCTGGGGCTCCGAGTCCCAGATACAAATCACAAGCAGAAGTGTGTGTCACCATTTCAGGGTCTGTTATGAAAGAGAAAGATAGAAGTCAGGGGAATGGGGTCCTAGGCTCAATGCCCCACTGGCTGGCTGAAGCAGGTCTACACAAACTCTCAGGACTTCACCTGCCCAGTCAAGGGACTTGACTAGATGTCCTCAGAGGGTCCTTCCAGAGTGCAGTTCTATTTGATATTGAGTTCTTAGCACACAGACATGGCAGATGCACTCTTAGACCAAAGGAGAATCAGATTCTCTGACTATTGATTAGAAAGCCCAATGGCCATAACGTCTGGTGGGAAATCCCATGGACTTAGCCAAGGATGGTAGCAAGGATGAATCCCAGGAAAATTTTGAGCTAGGCAGTGGAGGTTTTTGGAGCTGCTACTCCCTGCCCTCTCAATTCTTTGTTGGTTCTCTCTCCCTCCTCCACCTTTAGGCCATTGGTGCCTTTATATTGTCCCCGATGGCCCATGAAATTCCCAACTTAGTATGTCTTCTCTAGGCCATGTTTACTGCTCACATATTTCAAAATCTACCTCCAGCCTTCAAACTTACCTATCCACTATCCCTATCGAAATATCTCCTTGGTTATTTAAACTCATCAGGAAAACAAAATTGGAAGTCATATATGTATGGCTAATAATGGCTCATTGCTTTACATTCTAACTGAGATCATGAGGACCTTACAAATGGAGGCCATTTGAGCTCTGTAGCAGAAGTGGTTTGGGAGCCTCTCTAAGCACTCAAAACTCAACAGATCAGTTGTAGATATCCTATTTTAATGCATAGCTCATCCTCTCATCAAAGGAAGAGAGCTGGGATGGCATTAAAAAGGTTCAAAACTGAAAACTTGCCACACTAAAAGTCAGAAAATGCCTGACTCCACTTTGCACCCTGGGTCCCATGTACTAAAGACAACATGAATGGATTAAGAATAAGTATCTCTCCCTCAAACAGGCATTTGATGCTCCAGGAAGCTTCAAGGTGGCATGATGAGCAGGAGGAGTCCTGGGTTCCACTTATGCACTTGGTGACTTTAGAAAAGGCTCTTCTCCACTCTGAGCCTGGCTTTTGTACTGAAAATAATAAAAGGTGATCAGGGGGTCTCTGAGGTCCCTTTTAACTCTTAAATATTGTGGTTATCATCTTTACTTATCTCCTCCAGCATGAAGACACTGTAATGTCTTTATCACCAAATGGATACAGGATTGGGCAGACACCTAGTTAGCATTCACCATTCCTGCTGGCTAGGGATGAAGGCTTTTATTCCAGATATCCCCTTGTGTTTTCTTTCAAAAGGATGCATCCTGGCCTTTAAGAGCTGGTTCTTGTCCAGAATCACTTCCAAGGAGCAGGCTGGCCTTCCTCCCCTAGCAGCACTTTGAAATGTAAAATAAAGGTTTGTTCAGTTGTTTTTCACCACCACCAACTTACATTTTGGAGGAATGGAGCCTAGCTGTTGCATCTGGAAATGTGCTGTGCATCCTAATGATTTCAATGTTCCCACCAGAGGAAGTGTCACCTTCATAACCCCAATTCAGCTAAAATTTGCAAGCTGATCAGATAGGAAGTTTTCCTTATGTACACAGCAGGAGGCTCAGTCTAAGCTCCAGAGCTTTCCTGTCTCAGACCCTATGGCCCACTGAGCTATAGCACAGTCCAACAAAACATCTGCCAGTCACACCACTCATGGCCCAAAAAATGCCACAATGAAGGAAGTGCCCGTGAGGTCTTCACAGAAAGGAACCTGCCAAATGGTTTCCAGAGGAGACAGAAATTCTTGATTCAAATGTAGCTCTGAGATTTACAAACTAGTCACTTAAGCTCCCTGTGCTTCAGTTTCCTTTTCTGTGAAACAGGTAATAACACCTGTCTTGCCTTTTGCAAGGATCAACTGAGGTGACAGATGTAAAAGAAAACACCTTGTAAACTACGGCTCTTTGGAGGAAAGTGGCAGCATAATTGTCAAAGAATTGTTTCAAAGTAGACCTGCCAAACTCTCACTCTCCAGAAATCTAACCCAGGGTCCAGAGTAGGTCCTGATCATATGTATTCTGAAAAGGTCCCCAGAAGATTCTGATACACTCCCCTGCTGTGTGCTGTGCAGAGGTAAGAGGTGATTGATAGGATGTGGGCTCCATTCCTAACCAATATCTGGGTTAGGATACTTATTATATCTAGAGAGAACCATGCAGAAAATGTGAGTATGGACCCAAGGAGTCATGAAGAGTTTTAAAGCTCAGGGACAGGATCCTGGCCCCCCAAACCCTGAGAGGTAGCTAGGTCATCTGTCCAACTGGGAACAAAGTAGAGTAGGGCACATTTTAAAAAAAATGAGTCAAGAATGGTATCTAAGGTGAGATGGCAACATGGATGTCCTAGGCTAGACTGAGGTACCAATGAACACAGGTAACTATCAGGGCCTTCTGGGATTTCTTCTCTGTTTCACTATCTTGTCCAAGGTTGATCAAATCAGGTATTGACATTCAAGGTCCTAAAACAAAAGTCTATTCACTAAAAGTCAATGGTCAGAACCAGGTGAATCTCTCTTTGTTCCTTCACCCTGGTCCTGGGGATGGGACTCCTGTAGTGCAGACATGGTAGGGACAGTGGATTAACCACTTCTTGGCTGGTCACAAATTTGAGGCTTGCTGCTGGGCTCCCAAGTTACTCCCCAGAGAAGGCATCAAAAACAGAGTCCTCCTGCCTGACTGGTCTCTGAATCTCCTTCCTGATGTCAGAGATGCCTGGGAGTCATCAGCCAGCCAATCCTAGATCAATGATGGCACTCAACCCATCACTGGCCTTGAGTCAAGGCCATGGACTCTTGACTCTTCGTTCACATTGACTAACAAATCTCAGCCTGCTCATGTTTTCCCATATTCACGTATACATGAACACAACACAAGACCCATGACAGTCACCTTGCATATCCTGGAGGGTCTTTGAACCTCTTCTTAGACAAAGGTCCTTCAAACACTTGAGTACCATTGATGGTGAACATATCACTAATGATGTTCAGCCAATGCTTACATGTAATATAACTTCTATGACAGTTTTTTTAATAGCCTTGGATCTTTGACATTTCTCTTATTTTAAGGTGGAGTCCA
This sequence comes from Homo sapiens, assembly GCF_000001405.40. Lineage (NCBI taxonomy): Eukaryota > Metazoa > Chordata > Mammalia > Primates > Hominidae > Homo > Homo sapiens. The sequence continues at coordinate 135,797,030 of NC_000003.12, forward strand.
TATTCCCTCTTCTTGAATCTGGACAAACTTATGACTGCTTTGACCAGTAGAGTATGGTAGAAGTGACACTGTATGACTCCCAAAGCTAGGTCAGAAAAAGCCACACAGCTTCCACTTGGAACCCTTGGAACACTCACTTTGGAGTAAGCTAGCCACCATGTCAAAAGTCTAATACCATAAGATTACCATGCTAGAGAGTTCACATGTGGGCACTCCAGTCAACAGCCCCAGCTGAGCTCCTAGGCAACAGGAAGCACCAAGTGCAGCTGTGTGAATGAGCCATCTTGCCTGTCTAGCCTTGTCAAGGACTTCAGATGATTCCAGCCCTAGTGAACTTCTGACAGTAGCCATGTCAGAGATCCCATGAAAGAACTGTCCATCCAAGACCTTCCCAAATTACTGTTCCAGAAAACTGTGAATAAGATAAAGTGGTTACTTAAGTTGATAAGTTTTGGGATAAGTTCTTACACAGCAAAAGTAAGTGAAAAATCTAATTCCAATTTTTTAAAATTACAGTGGTGGATATGGGGGGGGGCACTTGCTCAGATTATTTGATCCCTACATAGTCAGGCATTCTCATTCTCTGTGAATAGGAATAAAACTTGGTAAAAAATCTTCCTGGAAGCAATTTCGACAATACCGAGTTAGAGCTTTAAGCCATGCATGGCCTTTCACCTCTCAATTGCAATTCTAGGAATCCGCTCTAGTGAACTGATTACAGATATATACAAATAATTCTCTGTATCAGCTCCCAGGATACTGATGAGTGTTATCTGTAACATTAAAAGATTGGGAATAACCTAAATGTCCTACTGAGGCATTTGTTAAATAAACTATGATATAGTCACACAAGAAAACAATTTATACCCATTTCAAACCATATTTTTGAAGTATATTTGATGGCAAAATCTTCATGATCTATTGCTAAATAAAAATTGAGAATATAAATGGTATTTCCCTTATATTAGAAATACATATATAAAGAAGGAAAAGCTCAAATTATAAAAGTGGTAATGTCTAAATAGTACTATGGCTCAAAGTTTTTATTTCCTCCTATAGGTTTTTTTCCATGTTTTTTACATTTTCTATAACCAACACCCATTACTTTTATAACCAGTAAAAAGGATATTTTAAAGAGAAAGAAAAAAATGTGACACCCAAACCGCCAAGAATGTGAAAAGAGTCTGTGTTCCCAAGCATCAGCCACTTCTGGAGGGCTAAAAGGATCGTCAATCACAGCTACAGAGCCAAGGCAGAGTCCCCAGTGCCTCATAAGACTGTGAGAATCTAAACTTCCTAGTGGACAAGAAGCAAAGTGAGTTCTGCAGAGGAGGAGAAAGAGCACATGGAGCTTAGCTGGGAAACTGGAGGCCCAGAGAGTAAAGATCAGAAACCAAAAGTTAAAGTACAGTTTACTATAGAATCACAGGAGAGTAATCATTAAGTGTGTGCCCATATATGGGGGTAGGATGGAAGGAGTGTGAGCAGGAGCCATTGATTAGGAGCTCCTGGAATCTCCTTGAGGACTTGCATCAGCAAAATGCAAGCTCTAGGGCTGCACTATCCAATATGGTAACCACTAGCCACATGAGTTACCTAAATTTAAATTAATTAAAATCAAATAAAATTTAAAACTCAGTTCTGTGACATTAGCAACATTTCAAGTGGTTAATGGTTATCATATTGGACACAGCAGGACAGAACTTTTCCATCATTGCAGAAAATGTTCTGATGGACAGAGCTGCTCCAGGGAGTTGCTCAACTTGGATTCTTAGATTTCTGGAGAGCTAACAATGAATAGCGTAAAGATGGAAGTGGGAGTCAACAGACCAATTGAAACCCAACTCTCACATTTATCAGATGTGAGATCTTAGACCCATTGTTCAGGACTCTCTAAGTGTCAGTTTTCTTATCCATAAAATGAGAATAATAATACCTACCTTATAGGGAGGTGAAAAAGATTAAATAATTCAAAGAGTACAAACCACCAGATCAGAGCTTACATATGGTACGTGCTTAAAAATCACTTGCTGTTATACTAATGAGGATCCATGGGGTCTTTAAAAGCCAAGGGCAAATCAGAATACCCAAACCAAACAGACCCTACTCAGAACCCAAGAACCTTTGCACCCAGACTCAGCCTAAAAATAAAAGGCTCTTTAGCCTTTCTTAAGGTTCTTTTAAGGTCATCTGGCCTCATACCTCATGTAAGCCCAGGCTGATGAACATCTAAGGAAGCAGGTTGAAAGATGCCCAGGAGCTTGGTAGCCATCATTTTTCCCAGCAACAGAGCTTCTCAGTCCCACCCTCCAGATGAGAAAAATGGAGCTCAATGAGGTTATCAGCAGTGCAGCTGGGACTCAAGCCAGGTGTCAGGTGCCCCATGCATACCCTGTCACCTGCTAAAATGTCTTACCATGGTGGCATGCAGGAGACTTTCTGAATCACCGTCTAAACCCCTCCTTGGGCAGGAAAAGCCTGTCATGGGGGGATGAGAGGAGAATGGAAGCCTCATCTTGGGAAGGTGGGCAGCAGAACTCCTGCTATTCATCCAGATGCATGAAGAACTCAGTGCAAGCCAACAGGGGTTATACAGAGGACACAGAAAGCACTTCTGGACATCACTTAATGGGGAAAGAAAAAGAGAAACACAACACGCAGCTCATGGAAATGGACCGTATGTCTACTCCAATCAGGATTGAGCACTGACCTCCGGAAGGAGGAACAAGGAAGAATTGGCCTTCCAGGGGAGGGCAGCAGGTATAAACACAAGCAATGCTATTCCTGTTCAATTCTTACATAAAGCACAGTTACGGAGTGAAGGAGCCAATTTCGGCATGACAGGAGTAGGCATAAAAAGGATATGTGGAAACATACGCTTTTCCCCAGCATGGCATAACCACGTTATTACTAGATGAAGTGCTTGAATGGGTGCCGCGGCTAATTAACAGTGGCCCCCTTAAAAAGAGAACTCTGCTTATTTTTATGGATGCGCTGAGCACAACTAGCAGGATTTAAAATCAGGCTCTCCCTACTCATCTATTTTTCTCTATAACTTGACCACGTTTTCCCTGGGTTCCAGACAAATGAAATGCTTATTTAGAAACTGTGGCCATCTGCAGCTGGTACTGCCACGTTTGTTTCTGCTCCCTGCCTGAGGGTTGATGAGGTTCTGGGGCATGGAAAATTTCCTAGGATGCCTGGGCCTAGGAGCCCAGTTGTGTGAGAAGGGAGACTCTGGGAAGAGAGGTTGAGCTTGAGCAAAGGGGCCGGCTCCCAGCTTCTCCATCAGGAAATCCTGACAGCTGGTACACTGGCAGCCTCACCTGCCACTAGGGCACATCAGCCCATGCAGGGAAATGGCAAGCCTCTCTCCAGCACCATAGGCAGGGACTCTGCATGCTGGTGACTCTAAAAGCTCACGGTACCACTCCCATCTGCTCCCCACCTCACTGTCTCCATCCATACAGAGGAGAACGCCAATCTGTGCTACTTCTTCCTTGCTGCTTTAGTGCTTGCTCCGGGATGGTTTCCCTCCATTTACCCATGTGATTAGAAGAAATCAGGTGCATTACATTCCCCTCAATTAATAAAGTCGGCTCCAGGACCCCCCTGCCACTGTGCCTCCTTGCACACTCTCCTGATACCTGTTCCCCCTCCCCCAGCATTGGCAGCCACAGATCCGAGACCTGTCCACAGTGATGGCAGTTATAAACAGCTGGCAGAGAATGTGCAGCCTCAGCCTTGGATGATCCCTGTGGATGGCAGGCTCCTCATTAATGCTGTTCTCACAATGGTTTGACCTGCTGGGCTCCCTCCCCAAGCCCACCTCAGCCAACTTGATTTTCTTGGTTTCTAGTCACTTTTCTTCCCTCCCAGTTCTAGATTCTCTTTATGTATGATAACAATAAAACATTAACTCCCTTCCCCTCCTGACCTCTCCAAGTAACCACATCCTCAATTCTATTCCATAAGCATATGATGTGGGCCTACTTTGTGCCTGGCATTGTCTAGGCCATCCATCCTCCCACTTGGCTCCATCAGGGCCAGAACCCTGCCTGTGCTGTTCCTCATGTCTCCCAATATCTGGCAAAGGCTGGTACTTGACAAGTGTTCGTGGAACAGATGAATTGTCTGCTTAAGAGGAAACAGCCGTACAAACAACCAATAAAACACAATGTGATTGGTGCTATAAAAAAGGTGAATACAAAGTCCTTTGGGAACTCAGAATTAGAAAAGAGAGCAATTCATTGTGCCTGGGTAGAGGGCACCAATTTTGCAAAGGCATGACTGTGTAAGTGTGTGGTGAGGCTGAGGAGGTGACCAGATCTGCTGCCCATATTCTTGCTCAACAACAAAGTGACGAGGACACAGAGGGGCTGACAAGACAACTCTATGTGGGGGTCAATGAAGAAATCAGCTGGTCAAGCTGGTCCTGCTTCCTGATGAGCACTTCTCAGGAAGTCCAGTCTCTGAGCCTACTCTGTTGGGTTCCTGGGACAGGCTCTCAGGACACAAGGGGAACCAGACAAGTCCCTCTCCTCAAGGAGCTTGCTGCCAAATGAGGGAGAAAGACTGATGGGCAATTACAGTGTGAGAAGGATGTCTGATGCCCTGCCATCCCTGGGCACATGGGCTACATTGGATCCAACTGCTAAGAGCTCTGAGGTGGCAGGAATACCAGGCATGGGGGGGTGCACAGCACTCAAGACATTAGTTTGTTCTTAGAAGGACTGAAAAGGCCAGAGAAGGGATGGAAGACATGGCCAAGAAAAGCTCAGGTCTCACTGCCACCAGGGAACGGCCTCTGATGCTCTGGATAGGCTGGGCTCCCCAAACCTCAAACCAAAACTCGTCACTGAGGTGACCCACCTTCTGCATGAAGGCTGGCCCGTCTGCTGGGTACCAGGTGATCCCTTCTCACTCCCCTTCCCTTTCACCCAAAGTGAAAGGGTACCAGGTGATCCCTTTCATCCATTCCTTCTTCCCAGTCTTATCCCTCCTGGAAAAAAGAGGCAAAGTAGAAAGAGAAAAGAAAAAAACACATCGGGAGAAAAGATAGAGCAGCGAAGAAATGAGAGAGCAAAGAGAGATGGTAACATGATGAAGGCCACTTAGTTCTAAATCAGTGATAAACCTTGGTTTTTACAAGGGCACGGCTAGAGCCTCGTGCCAGGCAGGGTGTCAGAGCCCTGGCATTGGGAAGTGATCCAACTCGTGGCTTGGTAAAAAGAATTTACCAACAATAGTATAGGTTTGAAAAAGGAAAGTTTACTAGGAAGGAAGAACGCTGCAAAAGGGTGCAGCGGGTCGCCTCGGCAACAGAAGACAGAGCAAGCCGCAGTGGATTTTTCCTTGGAAGCATTTATGGACCTTAAGGCATGAGCTTAAGGGTAATTTGGATTATATTAGTCACGTAGGTCATGATAAATGACATTGTAGACATATTGGTGCCTTAATATCAGCAAAGGTTGCAGATTGAGTTTTAGCGTGGCATTCCAGAGATGTATAGAAATTCTAATTCTTATAAATTTTGGAGAGGGAAAGAAATCTAGAACCAGATGCCTGTTTTAGATAATAAGGAAGTCTAATTACTTCTAATTTCCCCAGGTAATGAGTTTCATCTCCGGATGGCCTGTTTGATAGTCACTAGGTGGTTTTTAGTTCCTTCTAAATTCCTCAGATGAGGCGTTTTTTCTCCGGGGCCTGTTCAATGGTCACTAGGTGATTTTGCTTTCCTCACCTAGTGATCTCTGCTCCAGGGCCAGGCTTGGAAAGAACCTGCCAAAGGGCCCTGGCAAAGACTAAGACCATTGTCCCAGGCTCTTGCCCTCAACACCACAGCCCTCCTTCCCAACACAGCTCATGCTCTGAACCCAGAGTATCAGCCAGCTAGGAGGGGGGCTGATTAACAGTGGCTGCTTTGGATTTCCCCCCGCATCAGGTGCCCATCCTGCACTAGAATTCTAGTGAGGTTACTGGTCTCACCTGACTCTGAAGAAGGGCATGGGAGGATTCAGAGGTCCAACAGTTTACTGGCTTCCCCCCTGATTCAGACGATTCTGCACTTCAAATTGCTTTGGTTCAAACTCCTTATGATTTTTCTGGGCTGCTGGGAGGAGAGTGTATTGATTCTGTGTTCTGATAAGGTCAGCAGTGATCAGCTCTGACAGTCAAGCGGATGGCCTGTCCCCTTCCCCCTCCGCTAGATGTGGCTCCACATGCAGAAGAGGAGGGAAAGAAACAAAGACGGGGGAGGAGGAGACAGCGTCCTTTGTCTTACTGGTTCTGAAAACCTCTTTAAGCCCCATCAGCAGAAGTGGGCTCGTCTCGGATTGCCGTCTAGGAGGAGAAGTATGGGCACACTTGATCTTTTCTGTGTGTAGCTTCATTTTCCTTTTCCTCTGTGTGTGGCTGCCCTGAAGCCTAATCTCATGGATGGTGACTCATTTTCCTCCAAAGAACCAATTAACTTCCATGTAACATCCACAGACTCACAATGACACTGATTAACGTTCAGAACCTGTAGGATTGCTCAGACTGAGATGGTTAGGCAGGCATAGAGAAGGCCCCTCTGAGGTTTCATACAGTTGATCTGAACTCGATGAGGAAAGTGCTTGGATCCTTCTCACTTTTCTGAGGCCATGGGAGGGCAGGCTGCCTGGATCTCCCTCCCCAGAAAGAGTTCACAGCTCCCCACAAGTGGCAGGCATGTTCCCAATCCAAACTTGCCAGCCAAGGGTTCATACTCCTTGGAGATTTCCCATATAGTATGTGAAACACTGTGTAAATGTATATGTGGATGTTTTCTAGAGAGGAGGGCCAGGACTTTCATCCAATTCTCCAAAAGATCCATGAGCCAAGGGAGGATAAGAATTATTGTTCCATAGAATTCTTTCAAAGGTCCTTTAAAAAGTGTCAGGCTCCCAAAACCACCTCTCAGCTGGCAGTGCCATGGGAGATGCCCTAAGATGTCAAGGCCTAGGACCAACAGTGATGTCTTAAGTCGACCTGGGTGAGTTAGTGCAATGCTACTGCCATAATGATCTAAAGGTCCCATCAAGAACAAGTGCCATGAAATGACCAGTGACTTGACAGGCCTGCTAACCAGTGGGAAGGAGCATGAGTACTGAACCCACAGCACAAGAAGCAGTGGTGCCCTGAGCTGACATCAGTTGGATACCAGCTACAAAACTCTGCTCAGATCCAAGTGCCACTGCATTTGAACCAACCTCAATATATTCAGAGCCCCTAACCAGTTTGGTTGAAGGGTCTGAGATCACAACATCAAACCCAACAGAAATCACAGCTGCTGCTGAGTGGGAACCTACTCTACAGAGCACAATGTTGGGCACTTCAGGCACAGGATCTCATTACATGCAACAGTCCTGTAAAGTGCATACATCTCCATTTTACAGGTGAAGAGTTTGAGATTCAGAGAAATGATGTGTTCACGATCACAAGACCAGTGTGTGGAGATATAGTTGAATTTGAGCTAATGTCTGTGACTCCAAACCCCATGCTTCAGGACCTTATTCCATAAAGGAATAAGGTCACAAGTGGGGAGCAGCTTAGAAAAGGGAACCCCTGGAAACATGACAACAGAGAATGAGATAAACTACTGCTACAAAGAGAAGATCTGGGAATAAGACGGGAAGTTACTAGAAGTCAGATTTATGTTATATAGAAGCTCGTTTGGGTTTTTTTTACCTAGCAACATTAAACAGTAATTCAAAATAACTGCCATACTCATAATCCCCTTCCAAGAAAAATTTCCCCACTGAAGCCCCTACTGAGAGAAGCCTTACACCATTTCCTGAGCAGAGATAACCATGGTTTTCTCTACAGGAGTCCTTTGCCACAACTGATTGGACCAAAAGTGAGTTCCTGATCCCAAGCAGATCCTGGTAGGAAAACCTCAGGGCTCACAGTGTGTTTGTTAAGGTACTGCTTGCTGCTATAGTAAACCCAAACATGTATGATGGCTTAGTTCCCACCTGACTCCAAACCCCAACCTTCAAAGCTGCCTGACCAACTCCAGAAGCCACTACCCACAATCTGTGTAAATGACACCCCTTAAGTCAGATACCAGGAGAGGTGTCACTGGCCCCACATGCCAGCATCTCCAAACCTTACCTCTTCCCATGTTAGGATCTCTGACACATGGAGTATTCTAATTGTTCTGGCTAAAGTTTAATATGGAGAAAAACTAAAGCACTGGGAGGTTAAAGGGCAACCTTAATCGCACAGAATGCAGTAAGTTCAATGGCATTTGGATTGACCTGCCTGTTTTCACCTAGCAAAGTAAAGCGCTGTCCATAGTTTCAAGGCCAATAGTGTTTCTATCTGTTTGTCTGTCTGCCTATTTGTCTTAACATCCTTTGACATAGTAATCAAAGTCCCTGATAAAAACAGAAAATTTACAACTGTTAAAATAGAGTCATTTGCTGAAAGCACTGGTCTTTTGCAAAAAAAAAAAAAATTCTTTATCTGTGATATATCTATTCTAACTTCCTGGCCCAAGACTATTTCCAAGAAGACTGTAACTCAGACCTTACCGTAAGGTCACTGACACATGACAGCCCTTAATGAATATTTGTTGAATGAATGAGTAAATGAATGAAGCCGAGCCTTTACACAATGTGTTCAAAACTGCCCTTGATGGAAGGAGAGGAAGAATTATCCAACGGAGGAAAATAAAACAAGAAAGAATCATGTAACTCTTGAGACTGAGCTAGAATTATCAGGTGGTCCACACCGATGGCCCTCACCAAGCTACGGGCATGTGCAGGTCCCCCAGCTAACCAAAGTCTCCCTCAAGCTGTTCCAGTGGCCAACCACCACCAGCACACTCTCACTCTGCCTAGACCCTGCCTTCCCTCCCTGCCCCAGGCAGCCAGAGCTATGTGGTCCTTCACTGCCAAAAGCATTTCTAGGAGCTGGCGTAGAGCCCTTACAAGCCTGTGGGTGGGGCAGTCTGTGAACAGGTATGGGCACAGCTTATCTTGGAGCCCCTCAGGTGAGCAAATACATCCTTGCTGACTGTAGCCACCAGGAGCCTGTCAGATTCTCATTTAGAAAATGTGTTCTGGGCCCAAAAATCAGCCCAAGGACCAGAAATGGCCAACAGGCACAAAGGTCTGCACTTCTGAGCTTCAGCTTCATCTATTTAAAATATCAACTCTGAGATGTCACCCCATTTCTTTCCAGACAGGATGCGTTATCCAGTCTACAAGATGTAGCAGATTAGGAAAGCCAGAAAGGATCGACATGTCCATTCCAAGCGGACTCCCTGGGGTAGCCGATCTAGAGACTGAAAACATTTCTCTTTCATTTATTGTTCAGCTTTTATTTAAAGGGAAAGGCCCCAAGTGAAATTGAGAGCATTTGGGTTGTTTTAAGGGCATCTTTCCTTTCTGTGACACCATGAGCCTGCTCTCCTGCTCTCCATTTTTCCAAGCTCCAGAGAGAAACTGCGCTTGCCAACACTTGAGTGATTTCACCTCCAGCGTTTCCATGGTGATGCACATTCCCGCACAGCCTGGAGAAAAGGTGCAGCTCCAAGTGAGGATGAATATGAACAAAGCCCAGCAGCCTTGCTGGGCCTGGGGGCTCTCTTGGAGGAGCTGGGCTGCATAGAGCCCTAGACCCAGATAGCCTCTGCCCTCAGGTATCCTGAAATGGCCTTTCCTTACCTAAGAGAGGACAGGCCTATTCCTGGAAACCTCAGTCGGCAGGGGCTCCAGGGACCAGGGAAGAGAAGAACAAGTTGTCCAGGAAACGTGCACAGAAAATCTCCAACAGAGCAAACTCCAAACAGCATGCTGTCCTGCACTATACAGGGTCTCCATGGCCCCTGGAGTCTGTGGGGCCCTGGCCTTTCCCCTGCCTTAGCTCAGACCAGGTCACCTGCAGCCTGCCATTGAATTGTCCAGCCTTGGCTGTAAAACAAAAGCAAAACAAAATAATTCCTCAAGAGGCTAAGGCTGACTTCTGCTACCTGGGGAGCACTGCAGCCTAAGGTAGGGCTTTGGGGTATTGACCTCCTCATTTGCCCTCCCTCAGACAATAATAGTAATAAAGCTACCATTTATTGAGCACTTGCTATGTGCCAAACATTGCACTAAATGTGTTATATACATTCTCCCACTTGATCTTCACAATAAAGCAACTCTATGCAGTAGGTGGTATTATTATCTCCATTTCACAGATAAAGAAGTTGGAGCTCAGAGAGGTTAATTAACTTCCTCCAAGGTCACCCAGCTACTTAGTGGTACAGCCAGGATTTGAATTTAAGCAGTTTCAACTTACAGCCTTAAATTGGGCATGTTCCCAGACCTCTATGTCTAGGGCTAGGCTTAATCCTAACCCCAAAATGAACAATGACACCCTGAATGTGATTTTCAGAATTCACATTTGTTCAGCCTTCCACAGTTAACAGTCATGGCTATAGCTTCCACTTCTTCAGCATCTTCCATGTGTTAAATATTTTTTATAGTTAATCTGGTCTACACAAAAGTCTTACAAGATAGGTGTCAATGTCCCATTTCATTTCATTTAAGGAAACTGAGGCCTCGAGAGATAAAGTTTGCCCAAAGTCAGAAGATAGTTATAAACCCATTTCCGGCTCCAAAGCCAGGGCTTCTACACCTGCTACACTTTTCCACTTAATCCACTTATCTCACTTAATCCATACCCATCAGGTCCTAGGCTGGGTGACCAGCTTTCCAGCTTTGGGGAAAATTCAGGCTCCTAAGCAGAATGGGGATGCTGAGGTCAAGACTACTCCCCTTTTACTGCTGCCTGCCTGGTCACATGGATGGCCCTAACATGCAAAGTCTCATTAAATTCTCACAATAATGCAGATCCTGTGATCATGCTCACTTAATCAGCAAGGAAACTGAGGCTCAGCATGGTTAATCTATCAGTCCACAAGGTCACACAGTGAATAAGTGGGAAAGCCAGGATAGGAACCCCAGGCAGCAACCCAGGCCAGCCTAATTCTGGAGACTGAGGCCATGTGACCTTTTATGCTTTGCTTTGCAGCAAGGGCCACATGCTGTGTAAGCTCTGAAACGGGAGTGATTCTGCCTGGGGCTTAAGGAGGAAGGCCAGTGGAGAAGGAGCCTATGGTGCAGAAAAGACTAGAGGCAACTACAGCAGGGATTCCTTATCAGAAGTCTATATGTTCCAATGGGTTAATGGATAAACCTCAGGATTCCACAGACCACCTGAAAGGATACCAAAAAATGTGTACCTCTGAGGAACTGTTCCTTTTTCCAGGGAGAATTACCATCATTTTCTCAGATTCTTAAAAGAGTTCCTGATCCTCCAAAATAGATTAAGGACCACTCACTGCCTTAAAGTGGTGCACTTGGTCCGAGGGGTGACTTATGGGAGAAAGCCGTCCCTTTGACTAGTGCAGTGTAGGAACCTGGCCTCACAAGGGATTGAGGTGAGCACACCAGGAAAGCAAACCTGCTCCAGTGAGCTCAAACCTTTCCAGTCGCGTCAGCAAGCTCAAACTTTTCCAGTCTGTCATCTAGACCTCTTCTTGACGAGGCATGCTGGCCTACTGGAAGTGGCAGGAGCTGCCAAGACAGGAGATGGAAAAGGAGAAGCATCACTCTTCTCAGACTAGGAAGTATCCTTTCTCCACTCCATTTTTTTTTCACCAGCACCTGCAACCTGAATAGCCCTTCCTTGGGCTCCCAGACTGCCTAAAAAGACCAGCGTTTCCTCTCAGCTTTCTCCATCTGGTTTTGCTGCATTTCAAGCGGCATACCTAATGCTCTGTGCTTTCAAGTCAGATTCATTCAGAAAGACTTATGCCTGGAGCACTTGGCATAGCACGTGACTAATCTGGATGATGCCCACTGTGAAGATGGACAAATTAAGGCCTTTCAGGGTGAAAGAGTCTGGGAAGATACAGCAGCAGCAGCAGCAGCAGCCACTGCTGCCTCCCCAGCAGAACTGATATCCAAGGCAGGGTCTTACCAATAACAGCATGGCAGACTGATGCCAGGTTCCCAGGAGTGTAGGGTCATAATGCTTATCTGAGAGAATCAAAGCATTTCCAAGATGATTCTGTTTGAAATGTGTTCTGTTCACTGCCTATGCACACATTTACGAACCCAGTTGGACTCAATGCCGTCATCCAATTAGCACATGCCAGCATCTAGCTCCCCAGGGCTAAGATGAAACAGGCAGAATGAGATCAAACTCTAGCCCCGTTACTTTAGGGTAGCTGTCCAGAGGCATCTGGAAGCTGTGGGAGGAGGCTAAATACACCTGCTGCAGGCAGCTGATAGTGCCACTGTAGCCCAGCAACTCCAGCAAAGGTGGGTACTTAATATTATTCCATCAGGACATCATTACTGTGCCCCTTCTCTGGGTCTGGCAGTGAGCCAGGCCCTGGAGAGTCAGAGATGAAAGACAATCTCTCTTCTGAGCAAGCTTACAGTCCGGCAGGAGATGCAGCCTGGTAAAAAGGCAATTATAACACAGTGAGATAAGGGCTGTGATAGAGTGAAGCATAGGGAACTATGACAGGAGAAGTGCCTAGCTCAGCTAGGGAAGTGTCAGGGAAGGCTTCCTGGAGGAGATGACACATGCACTGATTTTTTAAGACAAATCAGGGGCCAGCAAAGGAAGCCCCTTAGTGAGTAGGCAAGTTACTCAGTGTGTTCCGAGCAGAAGGACAGGAGAGTGCTGGAGTATAAAAGATGGAATTTGAGATGTGGATAACTTCTTAAGCTACTGATACACTTCAGCATGCATCATGGAGAGGTTGTTAAACAGATTGCTGGGCCCCAGAGCTCCTCATTCAGTAGGTCTAGGCTGGGGTCTAAGAATTTGCATTTCTAATGAGTTCACAGGTGATGCTGACACTGGTGGTCCAGGTGAATGGGAGAGTTCCCTGATTCCCCTCACAGGATGTGCAACAGGTGTGTGGCTCGCCTGTTCAGTCTCTCCGCTGCTCAAACCCCTGAGGGAAGGGGGAGCTCGCAGACAGACAGGTGCTGGAGCCCAAGTGGGCATGTGTTACAGTGTGCCCCTTTAGCCTTGCAGTCCAGGGACGACTGTTAACCCCACTCTCAGATTCTTGTCTGGCTTTCTGGACGAATCAGGTCACACGAACTGTTTGAAAGATCAGGGAAAGGTTAGCAGATTTATATTTTAAAATCACTCTAACAATGGGTTCAAGAATGGACTGAGTGGGGTGGGATTAGAAGCAGAAAGACTAGTCAGAAGGCAGTTGCCATGATCCAGGTCAAAACAAAGGCAGCTCCAGCAAGGATGGAGACAGTAGTCACATGAAAGATCTGGAGGGATCTGGATCTGGGGGTCGACTGTGGGTGACAGGGCAACAGAGGAATCAAGAACAGGACCAAGGTTTCAGGCACAGAGATTTAATTCACAGTTAGGTGTCACTCCCTTAGCAGAAAATGTGGGAGGATCATTTTTTTAGTCAAGCAACAAAGGCTTGGGATGATTACTTCTGTTTTGCATATGTGAAGGTTGAGGTGCTTGCAAGACATCCAAGTGGAGAGCTCAGCAAAGTAGAGACACACAGATCGAAGACTGGGGAGAGACACGATCTGAGAGAGAGATTTGGAAGTCACCATTGTGGCAAAGAGTGAATGACAGGTAGGAAAATAAGGTGATGACCCAAGAACAAAAGGTAAGGTGAAAAGAAAAGGGCACCTAGACCAAAGCCTTTGAAACACCATCATTTAAGACACTTGCAAAAAGTAACAGCAACAAAGGAGTACAAGGAATGTGTCATTTGGGTCCCCCAGGAAACAGACACTGAGACAGGAGAGCAAAAGGTTTACTGGGAAGCAACACCTGTGAAAGGAAAAAGACAGGAGGATTGGGCAGGGGGAGTGGTCAGACCATGATGCAGGCATGACAACGTCTCCATCACCCAATGGGGAACTCCGGAGCAGACACTCCTGTTAGAGGAATCCACATTGGAGAGAAATGACTGCGCCCTTCTACCACTGCATTGTTTAGTCATTGGATGGGGCTGCTTGAGAAGAGCAAGACCTTGGCCCAAAGATTGAGGAAATCCTATAGAAGCCTCAACTAGATGGGAAGTCCTTTCTCAACGGGGAATATAAGCATTGCATCCTCCCAACTGTCCCTCAGGAGTAAGTGGAAAAACACCATCAAGAGTTGCCAGAAAAGCCAAAGGAGGAGATATCAAGAAGGGAGTTGTGGACAATTTCCAAAGCCTCCTCGCAGAAGATGAATCACATGAATGTCCATTAGATTTGCCCCCGAGAGGAGTGAGATGAGTTTTGTCACCAAGGGGCATCTACAAGGGAAGCATGAAATCCCAGATTGGGAGGTGTCTGGGAGGTGGGCATGTAGAGATAGCGGGTGTAGACAATTCCTTCAAGAAGTTTTGCCGAAAAGAGAAAGAGGGTAGTGGCTAAAAGAATGCATAGAAGTGAAGAGAATTGGATGGAGCAGAACGAGAGGGGAAGAGGTTTGGGAACTGGGACAGCTGTTGGTCCCATCTCAATGGCTCTCCTTCCCACCTGGATCCACCTGGAGATCTGGGGGGAGGCAGACAGTTCGCTGGGTGGTGAGCAGGCATGGGAGTTGGGAGCAACATGGCACCCTGAGAGGGAAACAGCAAAATCCCATTCGGCAGAAAAGCTGAGACCACCTCCTCTGTCATTGATCCATGCTCAAGCCCTTCTGCTCACGCCCCCTCCTTCATTCCCTGGAGGTCTCACTGAGCCACACAATCATAAGTCATTGTTCTAATAGCTTTATTAGGGGAAAAAAGGCATTAAGATCCAGCTTAATGAAGCCAGGACTCAGAAGGCAGCAGGCAGCACACTCGTCATATCACTTCCCTCGGCCTCGTGGGAGTCCACCAGAAAATGCTGTCTTCAAGAGTGAGGCAATTAACCTCGGACAGAAGTAACGCAAGCCATAAATATATTGTGGGCTTATTTTCTTCCTTAAAGGCTTTATAATAAGAACAAGCGTCTCACAGTAACATGTCATCATGGGGCAAATAGAGTCAGGTTAGAGCGAGCGCCTGAAGCCTTCCTCCTCTCAAATCTCTGCCTTGATCAATAAAAGATCACAACGAGGCAGCTTGGAGCTTAATTATTTACTATTTCTGTGCTTTCGTATAAGAGAAATTTTCTAAAGAAATCAAACTGCCTGCTCAGTGCCATATGGAGTCAATATCCTGTGCTCTACGAGGTGTTAATGAATTAATTAATCAACTAATGGCAGTGAAGGTTCTTCGGAGACCATGGATGCTCAGCTCCCAAAGGGAACACTTTTCACTCATGTTGGTGATGATTTTAAATCATGCCTTCCTAAAAATCCTGGATAATGTCTTAGCCAAGCATTCATTAGATTGTACATATTTTCAGTGCCGAGTATGTTGAGAATGTTTTTCTATTTTGTTCTTCATGTCATTTCCACTTTATAAGGCCAATTCCCAATTATCTGTGAAAATGAGAGGAGAAAGTGACAAATGTCCGTGGAGAATGGAAACACCTCCCCTTAGCTAATCAGTTGCAACAACTTCCCTTGGTCAAGGCATTGTGTTTTGCCTTCCCCCTGACTTCTTTTTCCCCTTAGGTAGAAGCATCAGAGATGAGTAAATTTGGGAAAATCCAGAAAATTGAAGGAAAAGAAGCAGAAATCCAGGTCCAAAATATTTCATAAACTAAATTATGAATCCTTCATGTAATATTAATAATAACCAAGGGCAAAATAATCCGATGGCAAAAGGGTGGCTAGTCTAGAAACAGGAGATGAGGGCTGAGTGAAGTAGGTGAGATGAGGCATAAAGAAGGTTATGATGGCCCTTTCCTGGTGAGATGCCAACTGGGGAGAAATGGGGGGCAAAATCAGAAAGTTCATCATGTTTGTTTTAAAGTCACATTTTATTGAAAATTTACAAAGTTAAGTTCTGCTCCAAGTTGGAATTTGAACAATCACCAAGCCCTTTTATCAAGGCTGTGTCAGTGGCTGAACCATAAACAGGTGGTAAAAGCAGAAGAAATGTAATGAGTAGTATGTGCATTTCCAGCTCAGCTACCCAATGGGAGTTGGGGAGCCAATGAATTTGAAAGAGATGGACACAGGCTGTCTGGAAAACAACAGTATGGGGTTCATTCCAGGCCAACATATCACACTGATGCATTCTCTCTGTCGCACATGCACTCTCTCTCTTGCTCGCACACTTGCTCGCTGCTCTTACTCTCACTCTCTTACCCTCCCCCTTTTCTTAGGCTATTTAGGAGAAAACAAAAATTGGAAGGTCAAAGGGGGACTTTAGCTGCCAGGGCTGAGAGATGTGCTTTTGGCATTGCAAATGGAATTTGGAATGTATTTTTTCATAAAAATGTGGACGCAGATCGTGATTGAAACCCATCAGGAGGACAGGGTGAATGCGAAAACAGCCAACTCTGGGGCAGGAGAGACCACAGGGTCTAATTTTGCCATATATATGCTGTGTGTCCTTAGGCAAGTTACATAACCTGTCTGAGCTTTGGTTGCCTTTGACATAGAGATGTTGTGAAAATTAAATCACTGAGACAACACATATAAAGACTAGATTAATGAGTCTCAAACATAGTATATGCTCAGCAAGCATCTATTAGTGTGATTAGCTAATGACAAGGCTACAGAACATTATGGATTATGTGGGCAGTTGTGGTCCACACTTGGAACTCAACCATCATTGTTTCTATGAGAAAAAGCATTCTGAGTTCAAGAAACCCACTTTTTAAAAAAAGTTATACTTCCAAATTAATTTACAAATTGGGCACTGTCTGTTCTTGTTTTATAGCATCCTTTGCAGATCTAAAATCACTTGATACATTTAAGAACATAAAATGTATTATGTATAACTTGGTTGCTCATAAAATTATCATGTTTGATATATTTAGAGATGTGAGGACTAGGGAAGAAAAGAAATTCAGGAATATGTGGGGGATTTATTTTCCTGTTTTTCTAGTTTGAGGAAGAAAAAGTAAAAGGTTCTAGGAAATAACATTTCTTGAGGTCTGCCCATATGTTCAGTGACCTAACACCCCTCTCCCAGGCAAGCAGTATTAGCCCAGAGAAGAATCCTGCAGTGTGAGACACTATGCCCTTATCAGAGGGCCAGTCAGGTAGGCAAGTCAAAATGGACCATCATAAAGCACTCTGCCAAAGAGCCTGGGTCCTTGGCATTCCTCTGAAATGTCATGAATGCCTCTCTGCACTCTAAAGGAAGAGTGTGGAAGTGGCATTTATCAGTTCGCCACTTGAAAGGTGTTCCTTTGCAAGCCATCTAGGAGGATTCAAAGAAGGTTTGAAGAATTCCTGTCCTATACATATCCTCAGAGGGAAACACCATTGTGGGATCCAGATGGATGCTTGAGCTTGCAAGTGCCAACTATCTATGAATATCTATGAAGAAATAAGTCTTCAAAGGCTGGGCACAGTGACTCACTCCTGTAATCCTAGCACTTTGGGAGGCTGAAGTGGGAAGATCACTTGAAGTTGGGAGTTCAAGACCAGCCTGGCCAACATGGAAAAACACCATCTCTACTAAAAATGCAAAAATAATTAGCCAGGCTTGGTGGTGGGCTCCTGTAGTCCCAGCTACTTGGGAGGCTGAGGCAGGAGAATCACTTGGACCCAGGAGGCAGAGGTTGCAATGAGCCAAGATGGTGCCACTGCACTCCAGCCTGGGTGACAGAGTAAGACAAAGAAAAAGAAAGAAGGAAGGAAGGAAGGAAGGAAGGAAGGAAGGAAGGAAAGAAAGAAAGAAAGAAAGAAAGAAAGAAAGAAAGAAAGAAAGAAAGAAAGAAAGAAAGAAAGAAAGAAAGGGAATATAGAAAGGCAAGGTAAGAAAATTGGGAAAAGGGAGGTAAGGATGGTGACTGTATGTCACCACTTTGGAATCCTTTCAGCTGCATGTAATTCAAGACACAACTCAAAAAGGCTTAAACAAAAAGGGCACTGATTTCACAAAATATGAAGTTTGGAACTGAGGCATATTCAACATAATTCAGTGGCTCAGTCCTTTCATCCAGGACCCAGGTTCTTTCCATCTACCTTCTGGCTCTGCCATCCTCAGCATGTTGTCCTTTGTCTTCAGGCTTGAATTTTCATGGCGACAAGATAGCTGCAGCAGCTCCAAGCACCTCATTCTCACATAACACCCAAAGGCCTAGAGAGAACATCTTTTTCTGTGTCTCTTTTTAAGTACAGAAAACATTCCCAGAAGCACACTCCCTGACACAGACTTCACTTCTGTCTCATTTGCCTGAATTCCATCTTGTGTTTATTCCTAAAATAATCACTGACAAGGAGAATATAATTAACATGGTTGATTTGTACTAACAGAGATTTACCTCCCGGGACCAAGGAGAGACCCAGCACCCAACAGCTGGATACCTGAACAAAACTGGTTCTGTTAGTAAGCAAGGGGTATAACACCATACCCAAGTGATCCAAGCACATCAAGAATGCCAGGAAAAATGGGGTAAAGCAATATGGCCAAATAGAAGCCTTCACTGATTATACCCCCACCACCCTCCCAGGAACACCAAATGTAACAACTATCTACACCAAAAAAATACCTCCGTAAGAACCAAAACTCAAGTGAGCAATCACAGCACCTGGTTTCAACTTCTCTGAAAGAGGCACTGAAGCAGGTAGGAGAAACAGTCTTGAATTACGAATATTACCCCTCCCCTTTACCCTGGCAGCAGCCGCCTGGTGTAGAGAATCTGTGTGCTTTGGGGAGGGAGAATGCAGTGATCATGGGAGCCTGCATTGAATTCAATTCTGCCCTATCAGAGCAGAAAGCAAAACTGGGCTAAACTAAGCCAATGCCCACCCACAGAGGGAGCATTTAGACCATCCCTAGCCAGAGGAGAATCACCCATCCAGCAGTTGGAACTTGATTTTCAGCAAGCCTCACCACCCTGGGCTTTTAGTTCTCTGGGGTTCTAAATAAATTTGAAAGGCAGGCTAGACCACTAGGACTATAATTCCTAAGCAAGTCCTGGTGCTGTGCTGAGCTCAGAGCCAGTGGATGTGGGGGGCACAGAACCTAGTGAGACACCGGCCAAGATGACTAAGGTAGTATTTGTGCCACCTCTGCCCTGACCCCAGACAGTGCAGCTTGACGCAACAAAAGTGACTCCTTCCTTCCACTTGAGGACAGGAGAGGGAAGAGTAAAGAAGACTTTGTCTTGCATCTTGGATACCAGCTCAGCCACAGCAAGATAAGGCACTGGGCAGAGTCATGAGGTCTCCATTCCAGGCCCTAGCTCCTGGATGACATATCTAGATGCATCCTGGACCAGAAGGGAGCCCACTGCCTTGAAGGCAAAGACCCAGTCCTGGCAGAGTTAATCACCTGCTGACTAAAAGCCCATGGGCCCTGAAGAACCAGCAGCAATACCCAGGTAGTACATGCTGTGGACCTTGGGTGAGACTCTGAGATGTTCTTCAGATGAGATACAGCACATGCCCAGCTGTGGTGGTCATGGTGAGACACTCCTTCTTCTTGAGAAAAGCAGATAGAAAACTGAAAAGGACTTTGTCTTACACCTCTGGTACCAGCTCAGCCACAGTAGGGGAGAGTACCAAGTGGGCTCTTGGGGTCCCTCATTCCAGACCTTGGCTCTTAGACAGCATTTCTGGACTTGCCCTGGGCCAGCAGGGAGGTCACTGCCCTGAATGGTGAGTCCCTGGCCAAGCAGCATTCACCACAAGCTGACTGAAAAGCCCTTGGGCTTTAAATGAACATTGATGGTAGATGGGCAGTACCTCTCTATGGGTCTATGGTGGTAGTTACCATAGGATAGGTTCCTCTTCCTGTGGTAAGGGGAGGAAGAGTGGGAAGAATTTTGTCTCATGGTTTCAGCTCCAGGTCACCTACAGCAGAATATCTAAGGCTGATCTCTAAGGTTGTTTACTCTAGTCCCTGGCTCCTGGACAGCATCTCTGGACCTGCCTGGGGGAACCTGCTGCAGTGAAAGGAAGGACATAAGCCTGGCTGGGTTCACCACCTGATGATTGTAGAGCCCTAGGTCCTTGAGCAAACATAGGAGGTAGCCAGGTAGCAGTTATAGCAGGCTTTGGGTGAGACCCAATGCTGTGCTGGCTTCAGGTCTGACCCAGTGCAGTCCCAGTGATGGTGGCCACAAGGGTGCTTGTGTCACCCCACCCCCAGCTCCAGGTGGCTCAATACAGAGAGAGAAACTGTGTTTTAGAGAAAGTAAGGAAAAAAAGAAGAATCTCTGCCTGGCAATCCAGAGAATTCTTCCAGATCTTATCCAAGACCACCAACGCACTACCTCTACAAGTCTGAAAGAACCATGGCATTATTGGGTTTGGGGTGCCCCCTAATGTAGATATGACTTTGATCACAACATCCAAGTCCTTTTGAATACCTGGAAAGCCTTCCCAAGGAGGACAGGTACAAACAAGCCCAGATTGCAAAGACTACAATAAATACCTAACTCTTCAAGCCCAGACACCAACTATCCACAAGCATAAAGACCATCCAGGGAAACATGACAACACCAAATAAACTATATAAGGCACTAGGGACCAATCCCAGAGAAGCAGAGATATATGACCTTTCAGACATATAATTCAAAATAACTGTTTTGAGGAAACTCAAATACATTCCATATAACACAGAGAAGAAATTTAGAATTCTATCAGATAAATTTAACAAAGAGATTGAAATAATTTTTTAAAATCAAGCAGAAATTCTGGAGCTGAAAAAAATGAAATTGACATATGGAAGAATGCATCAGAATCTCTTACTAGCAGAACTCATCAAGCAGAAGAAAGAATTAGTGAGCTTGAAGATGCCTATTTGAAAATACACAGTCAGAGGAGCCAAAAGAAAACAGAATAAAAAACAGTGAAGTATGCCTACAAGATCTAGAAGATAGCTTCAAACAAACAAATCTAAGATGTATTGGTCTTAAAGAGGAGGTAGAGAAAGACATATGGGCAGAAATTTAGTCAAGGAGATAATAACAAGGAATTTCCCAAACCTGGGGAAAGATATCAATATCCAAGTACAAGAAGGTTATAGAACACCAACCAGATTTAATCCAAAGAAAGCTACCTCAAGACATTTAATAATCAAACTAATGAAGGTCAAGGATTTTTTAAAAGGATTCTAAAAGCAGCAAAAGAATCAAATGACATACAATAAAGCTCCAATACATCTGGCAGTAGACTTTTCAGTGGAAACCTTACAGGCCAGGAGAGAGTGGCGTAACATATTTAAAGTGCTGAAGGAAAAAAACTTTTTTCCTAGAATAGTATATCTGGCCAAAATTATTCTTCAGTTGTGAAGGAGAAATAGAATTTTCCAGACAAACAAAAGCTGAGGGATTTTATCAACACCAGAGCTGCCCTACAAGAAACGCTAAAGGAGTTTTTCAATCAGAAAGAAAAGGTTGTTACTGAGCCATAAGAAATTATCTTAAGGTACAAAACTCACTGGTAATGATAAGTACACAGAAAAACACATAATATTATAACACTGTAATTGTGGTGTGTATACTACTCTTAAGTAAAAAGACTAAATGATGAACCAATCAAAAATAATAACTACACACTTTTTGAGACATAGACAGTACAATAAAATATAATATAAATAGAAATGAGAATCTAAAAAGTGGGGGAACAAAGTTAAACTATAGAGTTTTTATTAGGGTTTATTTGTTTATGCAATCAGTGTTAAGTTGTCATCAGTTTAAAGTAATGGGTTATAGCATATTACTTGCAAGCCTCATGATAACCTCAAATCAAAAAACTTACAACAGATACACAAAAAATGAAAATCGATAAATTATACCACCAGAGAAAATCACCTTCACTAAAAAGAAGACTGGAAAGAAGGAAAGGAGGAAGAGAAGACCAGAAACCAAATAAGAAAATGGCAGGGGTAAGTTCTTACTTATCAATATCAAAATTGAATGTAAATCAACTAAACTCTTCAATGAAAAGACATAGAATGGCTGAATGGATTTTAAATAAAAAGACGCAATGATCTGCTGCCTACAAAAAACACCACTTCACCTATAGAAACACACATAGACTGAAAATAAAGGGATGGGAAAAGATATCCCCTGAAAATGTAAACCAAAAAAAAGCAGGAGTAGCTATACTTAGACAAAATAGATTTCAAGATAAAAACTGTAAGAAGAGACAAAGAAGGTCATTATATAAAGATAAAAGGATCAATTCAGCAAGAAGATATAACAATTGTAAATATATATGCACCCAATACTGGAGCACCCGTATATATAAAGCACATATTATTAGAGATAAAGAGAGAAATGGACCCCAATACAATAATAGCTGGAGACTTCAACACCCCACTTTAAGCACTGGACAGATCTTCCAGATGGAAAAATCAGCAAAGAAACCTCAGACATAATCTGCAGTATGGACCTGATAGATAATTACAGAACATTTTATCCAATAGCTGTAGAATGCACAATCTTCTGCTCAGTACATGGATCATTCTCAAGGATAGATCATAAATTATGTCACAAAACAAGTCTTAAAACATTCAAAAAATTAAAATATATCAAGCATCTTTCTCTGACCACAATGGAATAAAACTAGAAATCAATAAGAGGAATTTTGGAAACTATACAAACACATGGAAATTAAACAATATGCTCCTGAATGACCAGTGGGTCGATGAAGAAATTAAGAAAGAGATTACAAAATTTCTTGCAACAAATTATAATGGAAACACAACATACCAAAACTTATGGGATACAGCAAAAGAAAGCCTAAGAAGGAAGTTTATATCTGTAAATGCCTTCATCAAAAAAGAAGAAAAACTTCAAATAAATAACCTAACAATGCATCTTAAAGAACTTGAAAAGCAAGGTCAAAATTAATAAGAGAAAATCAAAACCAAAATTAATAGATGAAAAGAAATAATAAAGATCAGAGCAGAAATAAGTGAAACTGAAATGAAGAAAACAATGCAAAAGATTAATGAAACAAAAAGTTATTTTTTAAAAGATAAACAAAATTCACAAAACTTTAGCCAGACTAAGAAAAAAGAGAGAGAACACTCAAATAAATAAAATCAGAGATGCACCAATACTGTAGAAATTCAAAGGATCATTATTGGCTACTAGGAGCAACTATATGCCAATAAATTGGAAAATCTAGAAGAAATGAACAAATCCCTAGACACATACAACCTACCAAGATTGAACCATAAAGAAATCCAAACCCAAACAGACCAATAAAAAGTAATGAGATCAAAGCATAATAAAAAAGTCTCCTAGCAAAGAAAAACCCAAGACCCAATAGCTTCACTGCCAAATTCTACCGAACTTTTCAAGAAGAACTAATACCAGTCCTACTCAAACTATTCCAAAATATAGAGGCGGGAATACTTCCAAACTCATTCTACAAGGCCAGTATTACCCTGATACCAAAACCAGACAAAAACACATCAAAAAAACAAAACTACAGGCCAATATTCCTGATGAATATTGATGCAAAAATCCTCAACAAAACACTAGAAAACCAAACTCAACAACACCATGTGGGATTCATTATTGGATGCAAGGATAATTCAACATATGCAAATCAATCAACATAATATGTCATATCAACAGACTGAAGGACAAAAACCATATGATCATTTCAATTGATGTTGAAAAAGCATTTGATAAAATTCAACATCCCTTTATAATAAAAACCTTCAAAAAACTGGGAATAGAAGGAACATAACATAATAAAAACCATATACAACTAGTATCATGCTGAATGGGGAAAAACTGAAAGTCTTTCCCCTAAGGCCTGGAACACAACAAGGATGCCACTGTCACCACTGTTATTCAACATAGTACTGGAAGTCCTAGCTAGAGCAATCAGAGAAGAGAAAGATATAAAGGGCCTCCAAATTGAAAAGGAAGAAGTCAAATGATACCTGTTTGCAGATGATATGGTCTTATATTTGGAAAAACCTAGACTCTACAAACAAAAGAAAAACTATTAGAACTGATAAGCAAATTCAGGTCAGGTGCAGTGGCTCATGCCTGTAATCCCAGTACTTTGGGAGGCCAAGGCAGGAGGATCACCTGAGGTCAGGAGTTCGAGAACAGCCTGGTCAACATGGTGAAACCCTGTTTGTACTAAAAAAACAAACAAAAAAAAATTAGCCAGGCATGGTGGTGCATGCCTGCAGTCCCAGCTACTTGGAAGGGTGAGGCAGGAGAATCACTTGAACCTGGGAGGCAGAGGTTGCAATAAGCCATGATAGCACCAATGCACTCCAGCCTGGGCAACAGAGCAAGACTCCATCAAAAAAAAAAAAAAAAAAAAAAAAAAAAAAAAAAAAAAAAAAAACAGGAAACAAAAAAAACCCTGATAAATAAATTCAGTGAAGTTACAGGATACAAAATCAACATAAAAAAATCAGCAGTATTTCTATTGCCAACAGTGAACGATCTACAAAGAAACCAAGAAAGTAATCCAATTTACAAAGCTACAAATACCTAGGAATTAACTTACCCAAAGAAGTGAAAGAACTCTACATTGAAAGCTATAAAACATTGATGAAAATAATTGAAGAGAAAACCAAACACTGAAAGGATATTCCATGTTCGTAATTGGAAGAATCGATATTGTTAAAATTGTTTATATTCAATATTGTTAAAATCAGTATTGTTAAAATGTCCATACTACCCAAAGCAATCTACAGATACAATGCAATCCCTATCAAAACACCAATGGCATTCTTCAGAGAAATAGAAAAAAGCAGTCCTAAAATTTATATGAAACCACAAAGACCCAGAATAGCCAAACCTATCCTAAGCAAAAAGAACAAAACTAGATGAATCACATTATAATTCAAATTATTGTCCAGAGCTATAGTAACCAAAATAATATGGTACTGGCATAAAACAAACACATAGACCAATGGAACAGATAAAGAATCCAGAAACAAATCCATTCATCTGCATACTCATTTTTGACAAAGGTGCCAAGAACATACATTGGGGAAAGGATAGTCTCTTCAATAAATGGTGCTGGGAAAACTGGATATCCATATTCAGAAAAATGAAATTTAACCCCTAACTCTTGCCATATACAAAAATTAAATCAAATTGGAATAAAGACTTAAATCTAAGACCTTAAACTATGAAACTACTACAAGAAAACATCAGGGAAACTCTCCAGGACATTTATCTGGGCAAAAATTTATTGAGTGATACCCCACAAGCACAGGCAACCAAAGCAAAAGTGGACAAATGGGATCACATCAAGTTAATATGCTTCTTCATGGCCAGGTGCAGTGGTTCACGCCTGTAATCCCAGCACTTTGGGAGGCCAAGGCGGGTGGATCACGAGGTCAGGAGTTCGAGACCAGCCTGATCAACATGGTGAAACCCTGTCTCTACTAGAAATACAAAAATTGAGAAGACAGCCAAGATGGCCAAATAGGAACAGCTCTGGTCTACAGCTCCCAGCGTGAGCGACGCAGAAGATGGGTGATTTCTGCATTTCCATCTGAGCTTTGAAGAGAGCAGTGATCCTCCCAGCACGCAGCTGGAGATCTAAGAATGGGCAGGCTGCCTCCTCAAGTGGGTCCCTGACCCCTGACCCCCGAGCAGCCTAACTGGGAGGCACCCCTCAGTAGGGGCAGACTGACACCTCACACGGCCAGGTACTCCTCTGAGACAAAACTTCCAGAGGAACAATCAGACAGCAGCATTCACGGTTCACGAAAATCTGCTGTTCTGCAGCCACCGCTGCTAATACCCAGGCAAACAGGGTCTGGAGTGGACCTCTAGCAAACTCCAACAGACCTGCAGCTGAGGGTCCTGTCTGTTAGAAGGAAAACTAACAAACAGAAAGGACATCCACACCAAAAACCCATCTGTACATCACCATCATCAAAGACCAAAAGTAGATAAAACCACAAAGATGGGGGAAAAACAGAGCAGAAAAACTGGAAACTCTAAAAAGCAGAGTGCCTCTCCTCCTCCAAAGGAACGCAGTTCCCCACCAGCAACGGAACAAAGCTGGACGGAGAATGACTTTGACGACTTGAGAGAAGAAGGCTTCAGACGATCAAACTACTCCGAGCCACAGGAGGAAATTCAAACCAAAGGCAAAGAAGTTGAAAACTTTGAAAAAAATTTAGACGAATGTATAACTAGAATAACCAATACAGAGAAGTGCTTAAAGGAGCTGATGGAGCTGAAAGCCAAGGCTCCAGAACTACGTGAAGAATGCAGAAGCCTCAGGAGCCGATGCAATCAACTGGAAGAAAGGGTATCAGTGAAGGAAGATGATATGAATGAAATGAAGTGAGAAGGGAAGTTTAGAGAAAAAAGAATAAAAAGAAATGAACAAAGCCTCCAAGAAGTATGGGACTATGTGAAAAGACCAAATCTACGTCTGATTGGTGTACCTGAAAGTGATGGGGAGAATGGAACCAAGTTGGAAAACACTCTGCAGGATATTATCCAGGAGAACTTCCCCAATCTAGCAAGGCAGGCCAACATTCAGATTCAGGAAATACAGAGAACGCCACAAAGATACTCCTCGAGAAGAGCAACTCCAAGACACATAATTGTCAGATTCAACAAAGTTGAAATGAAGGAAAAAATGTTAAGGGCAGCCAGAGAGAAAGGTCGGGTTACCCACAAAGGGAAGCCCATCAGACTAACAGCGGATCTCTTGGCAGAAACTCTACAAGCTAGAAGAGAGTGGGGACCAGTATTCAACATTCTTAAAGAAAAGAATTTTCAACCCAGAATTTCATATCCAGCCAAACTAAGCTTCATAAGTGAAGGAGAAATAAAATCCTTTACAGACAAGCAAATGCTGAGAGATTTTGTCACCACCAGGCCTGCCCTAAAAGAGCTCCTGAAGGAAGCACTAAACATGGAAAGGAACAACTGGTACCAGCCGCTGCAAAATCATGCGAAAATGTAAAGACCATCGAGACTAGGAAGAAACTGCATCAACTAACGAGCAAAATAACCAGCTAACATCATAATGACAGGATCAAATTCACACATAACAATATTAACTTTAAATGTAAATGGACTAAATGTTCCAATTAAAAGACACAGACTGCCAAATTGGATAAAGAGTCAAGACCCATCAGTGTGCTGTATTCAGGAAACCCATCTCACGTGCAGAGACACACATAGGCTCAAAATAAAAGGATGGAGGAAGATCTACCAAGCAAATGGAAAACAAAAAAAGGCAGGGGTTGCAATCCTAGTCTCTGATAAAACAGACTTTAAACCAACAAAGATCAAAAGAGACAAAGAAGGCCATTACATAATGGTAAAGGGATCAATTCAACAAGAAGAGCTAACTATCCTAAATATATATGCACCCAATACAGGAGCACCCAGATTCATAAAGCAAGTCCTGAGTGACCTACAAAGAGACGTAGACTCCCACACAATAATAATAAGAGACTAACACCCCACTGTCAACATTAGACAGATCAACGAGACAGATAGTTAACAAGGATACCCAGGAATTGAACTCAGCTCTGCACCAAGTGGACCTAATAGACATCTACAGAACTCTCCACCCCAAATCAACAAAATATACATTTTGTTCAGCACCACACCACACCTATTCCAAAATTGACCACATAGTTGGAAATAAAGCTCTACTCAGCAAATGTAAAAGAACAGAAATTATAACAAACTGTCTCTCAGACCACAGTGCAATCAAACTAGAACTCAGGATTAAGAAACTCACTCAAAACCGTTCAACTACGTGGAAACTGAACAACCTGCTCCTGAATGACTACTGGATACATAACGAAATGAAGGCAGAAATAAAGATGTTCTTTGAAACCAACGAGAACAAAGACACAACATACCAGAATCTCTGGGACACATTCAAAGCAGTGTGTAGAGGGAAATTTATAGCACTAAATGCCCAAAAGAGAAAGCAGGAAAGACCCAAAATTGATACCCTAACATCACAATTAAAAGAACTAGAAAAGCAAGAGCAAGCACATTCAAAAGCTAGCAGAAGGCAAGAAATAACTAAAATCAGAGCAGAACTGAAGGAAATAGAGATGCAAAAAAACCCTTCAAAAAATTAATGAATCTAGGAGCTGGTTTTTTGAAAGGATCAACAAAATTGATAGACTGCTAGCAAGACTAATAAAGACAAAAAGAGAGAAGAATCAAAAACATGCAATAAAAAATGATAAAGGGGATATCACCACCGATCCCACAGAAATACAAACTACCATCAGAGAATACTACAAACACCTCTACGCAAATAAACTAGAAAATCTAGAAGAAATGGATAAATTCCTCGACACATACACCCTCCCAAGACTAAACCAGGAAGAAGTTGACTCTCTGAATAGACCAATAACAGTCTCTGAAATTGTGGCAATAATCAATAGCTTACCAACCAAAAAGAGTCCAGGACCAGATGGATTCACAGCCGAATTCTACCAGAGGTACAAGGAGGAACTGGTACCATTCCTTCTGAAACTACTCCAATCAATAGAAAAAGAGGGAATCCTCCCGAACTCATTACATGAGGCCAGCATCATCCTGATACCAAAGCCGGGCAGAGACACAAGCAAAAAAGAGAATTCTAGACCAATATCCTTGATGAACATTGATGCAAAAATCCTCAATAAAATACTGGCAAACCGAATCCAGCAGCACATCAAAAAGCTTATCCACCATGATCAAGTGGGCTTCATCCCTGGGATGCAAGGCTGGTTCAATATATGCAAGTCAATAAATGTAATCCAGCATATAAACAGAGCCAAAGACAAAAGCCACGTGATTATCTCAACAGATGCAGAAAAGGCCTTTGACAAAATTCAACAACTCTTCACGCTAAAAACTCTCAATAAATTAGGTATTGATGGGACGTATCTCAAAATCATAAGAGCTATCTATGACAAACCCACAGCCAATATCATACTGAATGGGCAAAAACTGGAAGCATTCCCTTTGAAAACTGGCACAAGACAGGGATGCCCTCTCTCACCACTCCTATTCAACATAGTGTTGGAAGTTCTGGCCAGGGCAATTAGGCAGGAGAAGGAAATAAAGAGTACTCAATTAGGAAAAGAGGAAGTCAAATTTTCCCTGTTTGCAGACGACATGATTGTATATCTAGAAAACCCCATTGTCTCAGCCCAAAATCTCCTTAAGCTGATAAGCAACTTCAGCAAAGTCTCAGGATACAAAATCAATGTACAAAAATCACAAGCATTCTTATACACCAATAACAGACAAACAGAGAGCCAAATCATGAGTGAACTCCCATTCACAATTGCTTCAAAGAGAATAAAATACCTAGGAATCCAACTTACAAGGGACATGAAGGACCTCTTCAAGGAGAACTACAAACCACTTCTCAAGGAAATAAAAGAGGATACAAACAAATGGAAGAACATTCCATGCTCATGGGTAGGAAGAATCAATATTGTGAAAATGGCCATACTGCCCAAGGTAATTTATAGATTCAATGCCATCCCCATCAAGCTACCAATGACTTTCTTCACAGAATTGGAAAAAACTACTTTAAAGTTCATATGGAACCAAAAAAGAGCCCGCATCGCCAAGTCAATCCTAAGCCAAAAGAACAAAGCTGGAGGCATCACGCTACCTGACTTCAAACTATACTACAAGGCTACAGTAACCAAAACAGCATGGTACTGGTACCAAAACAGAGATATAGATCAATGGA